>NC_000015.10:39640510-39943540 GCF_000001405.40 Homo sapiens | reverse complement strand
AGGTGTAATGGGGAAGTTTACTGTCTTCTTTTAATTCCAGTTTAACAAATCTTACCTCCCCACAGTGTTTCTTGGCCAGTTCTTCTAGGCGAGATTTTAACAAATTGACACTTTCATTTGATAGACCTTTGGCATTTTTTAACTCTATTTCAGGAACTCTGGAAAAGGCAAAAAAAAAAAAAAAAAAAAGAGTTACTCCAGAAAGTATAGCCTGTTTGCATTAATATTTGCTAAACTGAAAGCACTCTGGGCCCAAGGCCCTTAATCTCAAAGGGACTTCAACCATATCCCTGCAACTCCAGTTGACAGTGGAGTCACCTGCGTCCTACAGGGAAGAAGTGGGCTGGCCAAAGCCTTCTGTCTGGGCTGTTAGACTTACTGGGCTTGACCCCTGTATCTAATTTCAGCTTTACAATCTGATTAAAATTTCCCAACATCAATTACTATTTATTTCCTACGATTTGACCTGGATCCCTAACTCTGAGTTCTTCACCTTAAAAAAAAAAAAAAATCATTCCAGTTCTGCAGCTGACTCTAGCCCAGTAACTTAACCATGTGCTCCTTTGTATGGTAATTCTCTACCCTAGCTTGCAGCCAATGAGAATTAACCTAGCTCTGACAGCTCACTGGCAAGGCCAAGCGCTCTGCATTCAGGTGTGCTCTAGCATAAAGCAGAACAAGAATAAATAGATGAGTGGAGCCCTGGTGATCCCTCTAGTATTCCCACAACACACTGCTGCATCCCAATCACTCATTCTGATCGAAACCAGGTGGAAATGCTCACTTCTTGTGTATAAATACATCTAGTCATGCACACTCTCTGCACCTCTGCCTAGAGCTCATCTAAGTCAACACTTTCAACTCAAGGACATTACACAACCAGCCCTCGGGTTTCATTTTATTCCCAACCAATAAATATCCAATAACAACTCTCTCAGATTAAATAGGAGTTATTTAATTTTACTGAAGAGATGATGACTCATCACTTTTTACCAAGCATTTCTGAGTAATTCATGGCATTTAACCAGTGAAGTCTTGAGTATGCACTTATCTATGCGTTCTCTCAATGCTTCAGTATGAAAGGGTGCTATGATCATTATCTATTTCTATAGATAGAAATCTGAGAGAAAGTAGTCTATATGAGGGAAAGAACAGAAAAACAAACCATACAGTCCTGACTCTATGTATGGAATCCTGGGTTAGATTCCTCCCCAAAGAGCTGGGATGGGGCTGAAATTTCTAGAATTCCTCCCCAAAGGTCTGGGATGGGGCTGAAATTTCCAGAATTCCAGAATCTAACCCGGGAGTCTCTCTCTCACAGTGGCACCCAGGACTATTCTGCAGAAAAGCAATGTTTTCCTGTACCACATTCAAAAGGATAAGAATATTACCCCAAATTAAGATTTTTGTTATAATTTAAAAAATAAGTAATCATAATATAGCAATATTAACAGAATGGAGAAAAAATCATCAATGATGCTAATTAAACTTCAAAAAAAATTCTAATGTTCTCTTTATTTCCTTGCTATATAATTCATAGTTTATGTAGCTGATATTATAATGTTTGCTTTTTAACTTTTATAAGCATTTCCATGTTAAAAGCAATCATCCCATAATATTTTTATCAAGTGGACACATTAAGATTTACCTGAATAGTTATCTAGTGCCATGATTCTTAACCAGGGGTGATTTTGGCCCCAGGGGATATCTGCCAACATCTGGAGACTTTTTTTGGTTGCCACAACCTGGGGAGAAATGTACTCCCGACATCTAGCAGACAGAGGTCAGGGATGCTACTAAATATCCCACAATGCCCAGGAAGGACCCCACAACAAAGAGTTATCTGCCCACATGTCAGTAGTGCCAAGGTGGAGAAACCTCACTCTAGTATTTGACATTTAGATTGCTTCCAATATCTTTGCTTTCACAAATAATGCTATAATTAATATTTTAGCACTTATATAACATTATAGCACTTATACCTTTTTCTTTATTTTGATTTTTCAAGAATAAACACTTTGAATTCTTGAGGCTATGGTATAATAAAAAAATATATATTTGATATTTGACCCCTGTTCCTGGCACAGAGATCCTATCACCCTTGGAATTTCCTGAGCAACAGGGGTGAGAGGAGCATCTTATGTTTTTCATAACAAACCCCTTCCAACCATACCGGAGTTAGTACTCATGAGGGAACTCTGGTCAGTACCTGGATAGCTTCAGGATCAGGACTGGTCACCAGAAAAACCAAGCCTTGATTACAGGGTGAGAAATTTCAGCCCCATCCCAGATCTTTAGGGAGGAGTAGGGGGCTGAAGATCAAGTTCAATCACCAGTGGCCAAAGATTTAATTAATCAATCATCTCTACATAATGAAACCTCCATAAAAACCCCTAAACGACAGGGTTCAGGGAGATTCTTGGTTGAAGAACACAGGGAGGTGCTGGGAGGGTGCCAGGCCTGGAGAGGGTATGGGAGCTCTGTGCCTCTTCCCACACACCTTACCCTTCATAATACTTCCATGTGGCTATTCCAGAGCCATATCCTTTACAACAAACTGGTAAATGTAACTCACAGAAACTGAGTTCTGTGATGCATTCTAGCAATTATCGCAACTTAGGAGGGGGTGGTGGAAACCCCTAAATTTATAGCCAGTTATAAATACTGGCTATAAATGGTCAGAAGTACTGGGACTTGCCACTAGCATCAGAAATGGAGGCAATCTTGTGGAACTGGGTCCTTAATCTGTGGGGTCTTTGCTAACTACAGATAGTGTCAGAATTGAACTGAACTACTGGACACCCACATGGTATCAGAAAAGGCATCATGTATTTGGTGTCAGGAAAAAAAAACAACCTAGAGAGGCACTCTTTTAATTTCCTTTCATAAATTTTTAATTATCTTTTTCATTAATGTTTTATAATTAACGTTTCGTTAATTAATATTTTTATAGTATGTATAGTATACCTACTATAATACTCTCAGGACAGTTTTGGGGGCCAAGAATGGTTACTGACTTCAAGGAGCTCAATTTTGACTTATCTGTCTTTTCATATCCTCCCTATCACTTCTTAGGATAATAAATTCCATAAATTTACCACCCACTGTGTAAAGCAGAGTTTCCTTTTACTTGTCCCTTTCCATCTCAAAAACCTTCACTGGTTCCCCATACAATAATTTCAAACTACTTAACGCCATCCAGGCCAACCTGCCTTTCCATGTGGGATGGGTGGGGAAAGATTACACCAAATAGACATGCTTAAGTGCTGATGGCTAACACTTTGGCTCTAACTAGTTTTTCTCAACCAGAGGTGACATCACCTTCAGAGGGAGTCTGGAAATATGTAGGTTATTTGGTTGTTTCAATGCCTGGAGGACACTCGTGGCATTGGTAGGTGGGGGCCAGGGATGCTAAACGTACTGCAGTGCACAGCACAGCCCTGCACAATGGACACTCGCCAGAGTGCCCCATTGAGAGGCAGGACAGATCCAAATACTCTCCCTCACTCTAGGCAGTGAAAGGTCATCTGAGGCACAGACTTGCTGAATTTCTAATACCAGCCACACTCTAACTATGCAAGGGCTTTCAACAGTCACCATGCCTTTATTGTTTTCTTCCAAATTTTCCTCTTCCTAACTTATGAAGAAATAAATAAACAAAAGTTAACACATCAGAGGAAGCAAAATAGTCACTAGGCAAATATAAGTATCTGTAGTGACAATTCTATAACTATGAACAGGCTTAAAATGAGACAGGTTTCATGAAAACATCTATTGCTGATGTAGTTTTGTTGAAATAGAGGAAATGAAATTTTATGTGGAATGGGAGCAGGAAGGAGAAAATACTACGAATTTCAATCTGTTTCTATGTTGTCAAAACAGAAAACTGAAACCACGTCAAAGCTATTTATAAATGTACTCACACATCTGGATAGGTAGGTGGGCATTTAACCCTCAAATCCACTTTTACATATACTTCTTCACCAGTTAGGCCTTGAGGGTACAAAACTAAATTGATTTCAGGGGGCTCTTTGACCTAAAAGAGGAAAAACAAAAAAAATTTTTTTCAAAGCTGTAGAGCCAATCATTAATGATTAAGATAATGATCATTTTAGATCAAAAGTTCTACTTTAAAAATATTTGTAATTATATTTTAAATAGATAATCTGGCATACTTTCCAAAAGCATGATTTAAAAACAAAACCTAAGCCAGTGAAAATGCACTTTCCTTTTTTAAGTTATCTAAGGAATGAACCAAAATGTTCCACTCAGCTTCCATTCGTTCAGATGTTACTGAGTTATTATGCCTGGGTGCTCTCCTGGAAGCTGGGAGTGCAGGGGTAAATTTAGACAGACACAGTCCCAACCAGCTGATACAAACTAGAAGACGAGTGATTTCAAATAGTGATGAGTGCTGTAAAGAAAACAAAGCAGAGTAGAGGGACATAGTGGTGGGCGAGGAGAAGGTATCTGGACAGGTAGGTCAGTGAAGGACTCTGCGAGCAGGGGAGATTTGAATTGAGATCTGAATACTGAGATATTAACAAATGAAAACCCTTGACAAGGAGAGAATTGCATATGTTTTCAATCAACTACTTTTCACCAAATCGCAAAATACCCTTGTTCTTCAATTTAGATACACTTTTTCCAAAGTGGATTTGAAGTAGTTCATATTATATGTATATAATGAACAAGGGGAGTCTGAGAGAAAAAACAATGGCTGAGCGCTCCCATGGTCCAGGCACCTTACCAACTTTGCAAGGCAGGTGTCATCTCCATTTTACAGATACAGAAGCTCAGGCTCAGGGAGTTTTACATTCTTGCCTACAGATACACAGGGACAGAGCTGGGATTCAAACCCAGCCTTAACTCCAAACCCTGTCTCCTCCCATAAGCCACTCTTTTATTATGCCATCCTAAGTTGCTGGGATTGAGCCTTGATTTTTTTCTCTGAATGTCCTGGCAGGCAGGGCAAAAAGAGAAACGTGGTATCATCAGAAAAGAGAAAGCCTAAAAATTATTTTAGGGAAGCAAAGTACTTATAATACTAAATTCTAACAGAAATTTATAACGTGAACCTTACAAGGAGTACCATATAATAAACACTGTACTCTTCTACTATGTGTACAAAATTTGTAAGATCAGTTCTTATATGGCTTTATAATAATCCTTGATAAATGTGTGGGTCCTTCCATAAAGCATAATTCTGCGAATGTGGTCTGGGGAAGGGTTAAGCACTCTTTGGTCCACAGGTCTTTCATCCACTCATTCACCCATCACACATCCATCACCCATATTTGCTAAGCACTGACTCTGTGTCAGGCACTGTGCTTAGTCCACGGAGGTGAGAACACAGATATGGTTCCAGCTCTCATGGAACTTCAGTCTGGTGGGGGAAAACAAACATAATAAACACATAAGTACAAGCTTAGAGAGTGCCGTTGAAGAGATGACGTGGTGCTCTCCTTAACAAACGACTTGGGGTGTGAGGGTATATACTTAAATGTGGTTATCAAAGAAGAACTATCTGAGGATGTAGCATTGAAGCTGAGACAAGCCAAGAGACCAAGCATTCCAGGCAAGGAAAAAAAGAGACTTGAAATACATTTGAGAATTATTTCATTCAGTAACAATTTTTGAAAGTTTTTTGTTTGTTTTACCAGGCACTGGGCTTGTAGGAATGGCATTTCAAATGAGTGGAAGACACTGAAAAATTCAATTGCCTATATTTGTCTAGCTGCCTAGCTGGAGGAGGAGGGATGCACACGGGGAGGTGGCCTAGGCCCGTACTTTGATGGAACGAAGAACTTAAAAAAAAAAACCTACTTATATCTTTATTTGATGAAAATTTAAAAACGAAGTCATGAACAAGTTAAAAGTAAACTTTGACGAATTTGGTTTTTAGTAACATTGGAACAGAGGGGGAAAAAAAACCCACAGGGACCATAAAAGAAAAAAAAGGTCATTTTGACTCTATCAACATTTTTTAAATCACATAAATTACGTAAATAAATGCATATAATTAGGAGAAAAATATATGCATTATATGACCCAAAATGCTAGTTTTCTTAAGATATTTAGCTCTTACAAATAAACAAGAAAATGGACCACAGAGTAGAAAAATAAACCAGAGTATGAGCAGTTCACAGAAAAAGAAAAATCAATGGTTTGTAAACAAAGGTGTTCTAGATAATTTATAAATAAATAAAAATTAAAATGAGATATGTTTCATTTATGTGGCAAAGATGAAAAAGTCTAACATATATAGTATTGTTGAAGATAAAGGAAAACAAACACCACCATACACTACTGGGGGATCCAGGGATTGAAGCAAGTTTTTTGGAGGGATGTTTCCAAAAGCTATCAAATTATAAATGAGCAGACCTTTTGCTGCTGTGGAAAGCTAGCCAAAATAAGTTAGTAATTTGTAACTATCTATAAATTATAGATACTTTAAACTAGCAGTGTCTAAACTTTTTACAAATGCAAAAGTTTTTAGCATGCACCTCAAAATGTTATTTATAAATGATATACATATGCTACTAAACTGAAATTTATATTACAACACATCCCCACTAAAAGAAGTTGAAAAAAAAATCTAACCTGAATTTATTGGCAGCAAATTTAGCCTGAACTGACATGAGGTTAGTTATAGTGTTTATTTGTTCAGTGTGAAATTTGAGTATTTCTATGTTTCATTGTGTTTGATTTTCGATGCTGCCCCAGACACTGAGGAAGGTATTAGGTAATGTGTGGAATGTGCACACATAAACGTGAACAGAAGCACTTCTGAATTCTGAAACCCATCAAGTCTCAAGAGTTTTGGATAAAAGGCTGGGCACGGTGGCTCACACCTGTAATCCCAGGACTTTGGGAGGCGAGGCGGGAGGACTTGAGGTCAGGAATTCGAGACCAGCCTGGCCAACATAATGAAACTCCATCTCTACTAAAAATACAAAAATTAGCCAGGTGTGGAGGCGGGTACCTGTAATCCCAGCTGCTCAGGAGGCTGAGGCACAAGAATCGCTTGAACCTGGGAGGTGGAGGTTGCAGTGAGCCGAGATTGCTCCACCGCACTCCAGCCCGGGCGACAGAGAGAAACTCCCTCTCAATAAAGAGTTTTGGATAAAGGATTTTGGACCTGCATCACTTTTCCCTGGCAAATAGCAGGTGATAATAAGTGCTTGTTGAATGACTAAACTCTGATTCATCCTTGAGACCATCAATTATTTGCCTGCCAGTCCTATGAATGTGTTGAGGCCATTTGCCCGGTGTACAATAGGCCACAGACAGCTATTTAAATTCTTCTGCCTGCCTTCTATAGTTTTTGCTTTGGTTTGTCTAGTATTCCATCTTGTTATGAAAGCCACCAGCTATAAATTCTTGAGGTTATCAATATCCCTACCTAAAAGAAGTTGCTTTTTCTCTTCCATTTTTCTGCAGCCCTAGGAGCAGACAACTAAGCTTGTATAAAGTAAACAAACTAGTTCAGAATGAAGCCTTAGGAGCTTTGTGTTGAGTCCCATGTACACTTTGAGACACCTATTTTGGCTGCTTCTTGGGCCTACTTCCTGATTCTCAAGGTTTGGGAAGATAGAAGTTCCCCAGTCACCAACTTCTCTGTCATGTTAAGGGGAATAATTTATATTTTTACCATTTCAGGTTAAAAATAACTTCATATTATTAAGCATTAGAAAAGTAAGCTCCCTGAGGGCAAGGATTTTTGTCTGTTTTGCCCACAGCTGTATTCCTAATGCCTAAAACAAATATTTAATGAAGGAAGAAGCACCCTGAGTTTGAGAGAGAATATTTTGTCCTGATAGCTCCAGAAGATGGTATTTCTTGAGGAAATCCTGGATGTGTAGATAGAGCAGATGTTGTGAAATGCCAAAGTTAAAAGCAGATGAAGAGGCCAGGCGCGGTGGCCCACACCTGTAATCCCAGCACTTTCAGAGGCCAAGGTGAGAGGATTGCATGAGCTCAGGAACTTGATACCAGCCCGGGCAACAGAGCAAGACTCTGTCTCTACAAAAAATTAAAAAAATTAACCAGGTGTAGTGGCATGTGCCTGTAGTCCCAGGTACTTGACAGGCTGAGGCAGAAGGATTGCTTGAGAATAAGCTGCAGTGAGCCGTGGTCATGCCTCTGCACTCCAGCTTGGGAGACAGAGCAAGACCCTGTCTCAAAAAGAAAAAAAAAAAAAGCAGATGAAGTTAGAACTATGTTTTAAATGATAATATGATAATATTCAGAAATAGTTTGGTAGATCAACTCTTCAAGGATGGGGAAAAAACTGTCAGTATAAATACTTTATAACGTGCCTTAATTTCCAGACAAAAAGGCAAAATATTATTTTAAACAAAATGCCATTTTAAAAGGTCTAGAGCTAGAGCAAGCTGGTCTAACCCGAGGCCCATGGGCCGCTTTGAATGTGGCCCAACACGCATTCGTAAACTTTCTTAAAACATTGAGGTTTTTTTGCGAATTTTTTTTTTCTTTTAGGTCATCAGCTATCCTTAGTGTTAGTGTATTTTGTGTGTGGCCCAGGGAAGCCAAAAGATTGGACACTCCTTCTCTAGACTCAGTCTAGAACCCTCTCTCTACTACAGCTAAGATGAATGTGTGCTTTATTCTGAGCTAAATGTCTTAGAGGAAGGTGCAGAGGTATGGAAAGTTCCTCCATACCGGAAAACACAGTGAGGATGCCTGGGGAGTACAGAGGGAATTATGTGGCGTGCAGATTTGAATGCATGGATGAGACTTGAGAATTCTGATTGAGGACGTAAGGCCTGTGCGAGAGCCCAAAAAGCGTTCTCAGAACAAAGTAGCAAGGGGCGCGTATGAATTGCTGTGGTATCATCCGCAAGGGCTTTCAGAGGGGAAAAAGGACAAGGTTGGAAGGAGGCAGTTATGTTATGGGATGTAGGCAGGAATAAGAAGCAGTGCCAGGTAAGAGGGAGGAATCCAGGGGGATTCCTCTGGGGAAATCATGGGGAAAGGACTGTAGAAGAATTCGGCCTAGGTGGGATTCTGCAGACCAGCTGCAGGTGCAAGGACTAAAGTGAGCATGGGTGGAACCTAAGGGATGAAAAGACTGCAGGATCCTAAAGCGGCGGCCCAATCTGGAAGTGTCCGGGCTTTGGCCCAGGGCCCGGGGAGGCCAGGGCACGCCAGCCCGGGCCTGACAAGCCACGTTCCTACCGGTCCGCAAGCGTCCGGCCGCAGGTCTTGGAAGTCCGCGCCGTAAATGGCCTCCAGGGCCTGTAGCTCGTGGTCCTGTCGTTGCGGGTAGCTCTCCGGAGGCTCGTCCCGGCCGCGCCCGGGGGCCCCACGGCCCCCAGCCATGGCAGCGCTGCGCCCAAGGCAGGGCGGCCTTGCCTGGGCGGCGGTGGGCCCCCGGCAGCCTGCGGGGCGGGGCTCCGCGCTGGGGACGGGCTATGGGCGGTGTTCCACGCTGGAAACGGGCTCGTGGGCGGGGTTCCGCGCCGGGGACGGGCCGTAGGCGGAGCTCCGCGCCGGGAGCTAGCTCCGGAGGCTCCAGAAGCCCAGGCGAAGGAAGAAGGCAGGGGGACAGCTTTGCCCACATCCTGCTGGGGGAAGGGGAGCAAAGGAACTCCACGAACTTAAGAAATGAATCACAGATAGGAATGAAAACGCCACATTGTATAGTTTTCACGAAACAAGTATCTTTAACAGAAGTGCTTGCTGGAACTTCTCCACCCTGGCATGGCTAGTGCGGGAAACTCTTTTTTCTTTTTTTTGGCAGAGTTTCGGCTCTTGTTCCCCAGGCTGGAGTGCAGTGGCGCGATCTCGGCTCACTGCAACTTCCGCCTGCCGGGTTCACGCGATTCTCCTGCGTCAGCCTCCAGAGTAGCTGGGACTACAGGCGCGCACCACCACGCCCGGCTAATTTTTCTATTTTTAGTAGAGATGGTGTTTCACCATGTTGGCCAAGATGTTCTCGATCTCCTGACCTTGTGATCCGCCCGCCTCGGCCTTCCAAAGTGCTGGGATTACAGGCATGAGCCACCGCGCCCGGCCGGGAAACTCTTAAAGGGCAGACGTCGATGGGTTCTGAGGTCACTTCTAATTTCACCTTGTACCTTCCCAGAACAAGACTACCGGGAGTAAAAATTGTGACCCCCCCCACCCTCCTTCCTCCCACTTTAGTACCCCCAAACTTATTCTCTGAGCCACAGATTCAACACCCTCATTATGTTCTCTGTCTCTACATTCCCCAGCTTTGGGGATCTCCACTACCACCTTGCAAATTCAATTGAAAACTGTCTTTCCACTCAGGCATCTTTATGAGCTACCTTCCCATGAAGAGAATCATGTTCCCTTCCCAGTTCACTCAGTGTGAATTTAGGGAGTCTTTGTGTTATATCCTGCCTCAAGTCGTCGTTTTTCAAGTTTATAAAATAATAACCTGTCTACCCAGACATTGTTATTGCACTTCATCTTCAGTAACTTACTAATGCTGCATGTCCATTTCGAATAATCCTATTGTACTAACCCAAGTTAGGTTTAAGTGACGTTTCTTCTGTCTACCTTGCTTACTCCTCCACTGTTCACTAAATAATGATTGTGTAAATTCCTTGCTGCCATCTATCCACTCATTTCTGGCCAGATAACACAAATGCACTAGCTTGACCCAAGGCCAATTTAAATCATCATCTTCCCTCTGCTGGAGACCCGTTCCTTCTCCAGTGATCTCTGACTAGGTAAATGGCACCATTCAACTGAGTGTGATTCTGAATTCCCTTTCTCTCAACTCACATCCAAATAGTCACCACTTCTGTCCATCCACTACACTCTAACCCATTGCCACTAACTTAGTTCAGGCTACTGTCACCAATTCCCTGGGTTACTTCAATAACTCTCTTAATTAGTCACTGTCTTCATTCTTGCCCCACATTAAGCCATTCTTCCTATTGCAGCCAGAGTAATGTTTCTAAATTGCAAATATGGCCATTGCACTCTAATCCTTAAAATTACTCCATTTCTCTATTGGTCTTTAAAAAAATTCTTTTAAACCTATATTTATGAAAATGTCAAACATACTTAGAAGTAAACTCCTCTGTACTCATCATCCAGCTTCAACAACCATAGATATTTTGTCAATTTTATTTCATCTCTTCTCTCCATCCCTCAGGAGTGTTTTTTTTAAGTCTCAATCATATCATTTTAAAAAATAAATACCTAAGGATATATCTCTAACTAGAAAAGGAACCAACATAACATATTACTAATCTTATACCCTAAAAATGTAACCCTTTGGCCAGGGACAGTGGCTCACACCTGTAATCCCAGCACAAGGTGGAGGATCACTTGAGGCCAGGAGTTTGAGACCAGCCTGGGCAACATAGCGAGGCCCCATCTCTACAAAAAATAAAATAAAAAATTAGCTGGACGAGGTGACATGTAGTCCCACCCTCAGGAGGCTGAGTGGGAGGATTGCTTGAGCCCAGGAGTCCAAGGCTGCAGTGAGCTGTGATTGCACCACTGCACTCCAATCTGGGCAACAGAGTAAGACCTTGTCTCTTAAAAAAAAATTAACAATTTCTTAGCATCGTTTAATACCTAATCTATGTTCAAATATTTCCATTGTGTAAAATTAGAATCTATACTGGACGCTGGACCTATAAAAGATATAATTAAAACAAACAGCAAAATTTGAAAGGAATCTGTGGATTACATGGCAGTATTATACCAAATGCAGCATTAAGGGGGCAGTGACGTATTAAATATGCAGTTAGCTCCCAAATGATTCAGGAAAAAGAAGAGAGATGATGCTAAATCAAATGTAGAATGTTGAACATTGGAGAATTTAGGTGAAGGATATATGAGAGCTCTTTGAGTGACTTGAAAATTTTATGTAAGTTGGAAATTATTTTAAAGTCAAAGTTCAAAGCAAAAAAAATAAGAAACTGTCAAAGTGTTTTCCAAAGTGGTTGTACCACTTTATATTCCCATCAGTTTATGGGAGTTCCAGTTGTTCTACCTCTTTGCCAGTAATTGGTATTGTAATGTTTTTAATCTTAAACATAGTAATTGGTGCTTAGCAGTATCTCAGTGTGTCTTAACTTGCATTATCCTAATGATTAATGATGTTGGGCATCTTTTCATGTGATTATTTTCCATTCATATATCGTCTGTCTTCTGTTTTTATTCACATCTTTGGTGCATTTTAAAAATTTTGTTTTTGTTTTCTTATTAACTTTTGAGAAATATTTATATATTCTGGACATGTATTTTTTTTTTTTTTTTTGAGATGGAATCTCACTCTGTCACCGAGGCTGGAGTGCAGTGGTGCGATCGCAGCTCACTGCAACCTCTGCCTCCCGGGTTCAAGCAGTTCTCCTGCCTCAGCCTCCCGAGTAGCTGGGATTACAGGCATATGCCACCACGCCCAGCTAATTTTTGTAGTTTTAGTAGTGACGGGGTTTCACCATGTTGGCCAGGCTGGTCTTGAACTCCTGACCTCGTGATCTGCTCGCCTCAGCCTCCCAAAGTGCTGGAATTACAGGTGTAGGCCACTGCACCAGGCCGGACATGTCTTTTATCAGATATGTGACAGGCAAAAATATTCACCCAGTCTGTGGCTTGCTTTTTCATTCTCTTAACTGTATTTCAAAGAGCATGTTTCTTACTTTAGAGGACATTTAATTTGTCATTTTTTTCTTACATGAATTATGTTTTGCAGTCATATCTAAGAAATATTTGCCTATCCCAAGGCCAAAAAGGTTTTCTTCTATGTCTTCATCTAGATAGTGTTAGATTTTACCTTTTGGCCTATCATCCATTTTAGTTAAAAACTTAAGCATATACCTACTATATGAAACAGCAATTCCATCCCAGGCATTTACCCAAGAGAAACAAAAGCGTATGTCCATACAATGACTTGTATGTAAATATTTGTAGCACCTTAATTTGTAATATCCCCAAACTGGAAACAAACCAAATGCCCACCAACACAAGATGGACATATTGAAGTATAAACAAATTGAGGTATATCAATACAATGAAATACTATTCAGCAATAAAAAGAAATACATTATAGATACAGCAACAACATAGACAAACTCAAAATAATTATGCCGAATGAAAGAAGGCCGACATAGAGTACACACTACATAATTCCATTTACATAAAATTCTGAAAAATACAAATTTGGTAACAGAAAGAAGATAAGTGGTTGCTTGGGGATAGGGAGGACATAGAAGAGCCAGGTGGAGGGATTAAAGTGGAACAAGAAGAAACTCTTGGGAGTGATGTCTGTATACATTCATTATTTTGATTGTGGTGATCATGTCACAAGTATATGCATATATCAAAACTTATCAAACTGTACAATTTAAATATATGCAATGTGTTATATGTTTACTATACCTTAATAAACTGTTAAATGAAAAAAGGAAAAGGTCATTTTTTTGTTTTGTTTTGTTTACAGTGGTTTGTTTGAATCAAAATTCAAACAAGGTCCACACATTGCATTTGGTTGCTGTATGTGCAATACGGGGTTAACTAAGCAGGCTTGCGATGTATAAACTCCGTATATTTCAAAGAAAAGATTTGCCCATGACTGGCTCCTGGGAGATAACCTCTAAGTCCTTGAGACATTCTGCCTCATAAGGATGTCTTTGTATACTTGGGGTTCACAAACCAACTCATCAGGACACCCCAACATTTCCTTCTTCTCCAAGTACTTCCTAAACCTTTAGATCAGTCTTCCAAAGAAGAGTCTCTAATCCTATATGTCCTTCTTGCTCCCCCAAACTACATCTCCTGGTCTTGCTGCTTGCCCTTGATGTTCCAAAGAGAAGCTCTCAGATTTTGGTCACTGTTTCCCAAATTTTAAAACTGCAATCCCTTTCCCCTTCATTCTTGAAGGATATTTTCATTGAATATAGAATTCTGGGCCAACTGTTATTTTCTTTCAGTACTTGAAAAGTGTGCCATTTCTCTCTGACCTACATGGTTTCAGTGAGAAATCTGTTATCATTCACATTGTTTTCCCACTAAAGGTAATGTGGCACTCCTCTTTGGCTACTTTCAAGATAGTTTTTTTGTTGTTGTTTTTTGTTTTTGTTTTTGCTTTTGTTTTTGTTTGAGACGGAGTCTCGCTCTGTTGCCCAGGCTGGAGTGCAGTGGTGCAGGCTGGAGTGCAGTGGTGTTATCCTGGCTCACTGCAACCTCTGCCTCCTGGGTTCAAGCAATTCTCCTGCCTCAGCCTCCTGAGTAGCTGGGACAACAGGTGCACGCTGCCCCACCTGGCTAATTTTTTTTTTTTTTTGTATTTTAGTAGAGACAGGGTTTCACCGTGTTGCCCAGGCTGGTCTCAAACTCCAGAGCTCAGGCAATCCCCAACCTTGGCCTCCCAAAGTGCTGGGATTACAGGCGTAAGCCACTGCACCCAGCCCTCAAGATAGTTTTCTATGTCTGAGTTTTCAGAAGTTTGACTATGACATATCTTGTAAATTTCATTTGGCTTATTCTGTTTAGAATTTGCTTCACTTCTTGAATCTCTAGGCTTATGATTTTTGCCAAATATAGGAAGTTTCCAGCCATTACTTCTTTGAATACTTTTCCAGCCAACCCGTCTCCTCTTCCGGGAGGTGAAGGCACTTGTTCTTGCAGCATACTGTGACTTAGCAGCCAGGAGCAGAGCGGCAACACTGTTCCTGCTGCTCAAGAAAGTCTGAAATAAAAATTGTTAGTGACTTTTGCATTACTTTGTGGGTGTTTGTGTGCATTTACATATTTATGTACCCGAATGAGTCTTGCCCTTTAAATTTTGGAATAAGTATATACCTTTATTCCACAGCCGTGTCATTACTTCAAAGTCAGACTATGAGTCATAGTATTTTATATCCATATTCCATCTTTTACTAAAGAATATTACTACCTTAATCACTTAATTCACCAGAATTTGTCTTAGATAACATTTGGCTCTTTAAAATAAATCCAATTTATTCTTAAAGGACATATTTATTATAATAAGTGATACAGGAAAAAATGTGTCAGCTTCCAAAATTAATTATAAAAGAGAAGTCCTAAAAAGGTGCTGAGAAATCATGATAATCTTCAGCAGCTAAATACCTTCCCAAGGTGACTCCTTTGAAGGTGATAATACTCATGGATATTTTAGTTTGACATATTTGCTATTAAAAATTAGTCTGGGCTGGCTGGGTGTGGTGGCTCATGCCTGTAATCCCAGCACTTTGGGAGTCTGAGGTGGGCAGATCACGAAGTCAGGAGATCGAGACCATCATGGCTAATAGAAACCCTGTCTCTACTAAAAATACAAAAACAAAAACTTAGCCAGGCATGGTGGCGGGCCCCTGTAGTCCCAGCTACTTGGGAGGCTGAGGTGGGAGAATGGCGTGAACCTGGGAGGTGGAACTTGCAGTGAGTCGAGATTGTACCACCGTACTCCAGCCTGGGCAACAGAGCAAGACTCTGTCTTAAAAAAATTAGTCTGGGCCAGGCACAGTTTCTCACACCTATAGTCCCAGCACTCTGGGAGGCCAAGGTAAGTGGGTTGCTTGAGCCCAGGAGTTCCAGACCAGCCTGGGCAGCATGGCAAAAACTTGTCTCTACAAAAAATATAAAAATTAGCCAGGCATGGTGGCATGCACCTGTAGTCCCAGCTACTTGGGAGGTTGAAGTGGGAGGATCACTTAAGCCCAGGAGGTCGAGGCTGCAGTGAGCTGTGATTGCACCACTGCACTCCAGCCTGAGTAACAGAGCAAGACTCTGTCTCAGATAAAATGAAATAAAATAAAGGTAAAAATTAGTCTGTTTGCTTTATGATCACTATGTGTGTGTGTCTGTGTGTATGTGACTATTGAGGCTTCCTGGAGAGGGAGGGAAGGAATATTCAAGTTCCCCCTTCCCAGATATTCTTGATGAATTTAACAGGAAGTCTGTAGGTATAAGGACTACTAGAAACTCCTGATATACCTTCTAATGCCATTTTCCTGGGAAACTGCATTAGGAGATATATTCATAGATTCATGTAAGTAGAAAACCGTTTCCCAATCCACATATTGCGATAATTTGGAATACATGAAGGGCTGTCTTATTATCTTTTAAACAGATAATTGCTTTGGATGGTAATTTAACATGCCCAAAACTAAGAACCATAAAAACTAAACATATTTAGGCCAATGATGTAAAGGCTAAATTCTGGACTTCTAAATCTTCAAGTCAAAATTCCCCCAAAGCCACTGTGTCCTTTGTTAATTCCAAAAAAGTGATTTTTTTTCATTTTTGAAATATAAAGCTTGTATTTTATTTAAATCTATAGCAAGAATTTTTTAAAATCTTAGATGGTGACTTTTCCCCTTTTTGATATTTGATTTCTTTAAACATCAACAAACAGGAATTGATCTTATATAGTTGCCCTTTATTGATGGCCTATAATGTCTCACTGTCAGAGGTTTTTATTGATTCAATATTTTGTTGTCCTCAAAACAGCCTTGCAAAATAGCCATCTTTATTTCTGGTAGAGGAGAAAACTGAGTTTAGAGAGGTCAAGTAACTGCCCAGTGTTACTTGAACACGATTGGAATGGTTCTATCTTAAATGGTTCTATCTTCGAGAAGATAGTCATCTACTTGAAGCAGCTCATCAGCACCAACAAGGAGACTACCTGTGACTGTAAGTTACCCCATCGAAGACATCAAGATCCCCTGCCTCTGTAGCTCCAAGAACTGCTGGGGACCCTCAACTAGGCCCTGGTGCCAGACTCAAAGGATGTCAGCCACAGCCTGGGGCTCTGGAGCATGGAGCCCAAGGCCCAGGGCCCCGGCCCCGCCACCTGCCCCCATTTCAGGTGCTGTCCTCTACCCAGTGGCCATGTCAGGGCCTGGTGCACCCACACTACACCTAGGAGCCCCTGGCTCCGGCCCCTCAGCAGGAAAGGGCTTCTCTATTGTTCAGCCCGCTTCTCTCTCATTTTTAAAAAATGCCCCTTTCAGAATTTTGTTTAATTTCAACATCAGCTTCTCTCTCTCTCCATCTCTCTTCCTCTTTCTCTCTTTTCTCTTTCTGGTTGTTATCCTTGGCCTCTTACCGTGAATGCTGCTACATTGTTTTGTCTTCTCTATTTTCTTCCTCATCGTGAGAAAAGATATTTTAACCATTAAAACCAATAACAACAACAACAACAACAACAAAATATTCAAGAGGTACAACTGACATCAACATTCATACTCCCTTATCTCTCCATATTAGGTTCTTTATCTTGAGAGCGTTAGTAGAAATCTGTATAAAGAGACAATCTAGGTCTCCAAGAAAAGAGAAATGGGTTATTGCCTACCCCAAGCTTAAGTACTCTCCAAAAAGCTGTTTCAACAACATAAGTTTATCAGAGACCAATATGCTTTTTTTGACTTGAAAAGCCCAATAGTTTAATTCAAAGATGCCCAGAGGCTCCATTATCAGCTACCATCTTTCATTTTACAAGGACCTAGGATATCCTTTTTGCCACTACTAATAAACACAGAATATTTTTAAAGTCCTGACTTAAAACCTTCCATTCCCCAGAAATACAATCTGTGCTCTCTTAAATATGCAGGCCCCAATTTTCATAACAATGTCTGCCAGGATAGGCTGGGTTATGCTGTGATAATAAGCAACTCCAAAAATCATGATTACTTATACAACAAAGTTTTATTTCTTATTCATACAAACTTGTTGTGTGTCTGGGTGGTTCTCCAGGGCATTTGCCCTCCCATATGGTGACTGAGACATAGACTACTTCAATCTTTTGGCTCTTCCGTTTCAACATAAAGCTCCTTCCACAATTGCAATGGCAGAACAGAAGAGAGATTTGAGAATCACAAACAACTTTTCACTGCCTCAGCCCACAAGTGACTCGTCACTTTTGCTCACATTTTATTAGTCATAATAGTCACATGACCCTGCCCACCTGCAAAGGCAGCTGAGAAATATAGTCTTCAGTATGCCTGGAAGAAGAGGAAAACGAGATATTGTTGAATATTAGTAATGTCTACACAATAATCTGCATTATCTATGTCTTTTTACATTGGCATAGAAATAGCCATTTGGAAATAGAACTGTTTATTCCAGATGGGTAGCCAGGGGCCATAAAAACTCCTCTTTTCTCAGCATGCTGCTGCTTGGGCTTACCAATACAAAATACTTCCATTTCTCCAGCTCTTCTCTTCTCTCCCTGTTTAGTAAGAGGCCACATGGGGGCATGTGAGGGTGTGTGATGGGGAGCAGGAGGGAGGAGGAGACCTTCAATGATAAGGAGGAAGAAGAAAGGCAACATAAAACCTTTATGTTCCCCAACTACCTCGGTCTTTGCAATGATCCTAAATCCTATTCCATCTCTTCTTCCCTCCACCGAACCCTCCTCCTGCTTTTCAATAAATACCTAAGAAAGTTGGAATTGGGAATTCTTCTGAACACAAAGGTAAGACAAGTGATTATCACCTAAACAAGGTTAAGTACTTGTTGGAAAAGTATTTATTAGCACTTATGTGATTTGGCCTATCACTACACTCACAAAAGTATAAGAGAAAAACAGAGAAGGAAAGAGTTTTTTTTTTTTTAAAAATTATGTATGGCATTAGGGTTCTCCAGAGAAACAGAACCAACAGAATAAATAGACATATAGAAAGAGATTTATTACAAAAAATTGGTTCATGGAGTTATGGAGGCTGACAAGTCCCAAGATCCGCAGTTGGCAAACTGGAGATTGGCAAGCTGGAGACCCAGGAGAACTGATGGTGTAGTTCTAGTCAAAGTCCAAATGCCTGAGAACCAGGAGAGCCATTACTGTTGTTTCAGTTCAAAAGCCAGGAGGCTCAAGACTCAGGAAGAGCTGATGTTTCAGTTCAAGTCCAAAGGCAGGAAACAGCCACCGCCCCAGTTCGAAGGTAGTCAGGCAGAGGGAATCCCCTCTACTCAGCTTTTTTGTTCTATTTTAGCCTTCAACCATTTGGATAAGGGCCACCCACATGGGGGAGGACAGTCTGCTCTACTCAGTCTACCCATTCAAATGTTAATTTTATCCAGAAACACCTTCACAGATACACCCAGAAATAATGTTTTACTACCTATTTGGGCATCCCTTAACCCAGTCAAGTTGACACATAAAATTATCATGACAACTAATTAAAACTTTGGAAACACAAGGTGCCTCTACGTTGGGAGGATACCTTCTTATACTATTCATTACAGGAGAGGACTGGGAGGAAAAATTACTTTTAACAGCATTATCTAGAGTGAGAGGTTGCCTATTTTTTTACTCCATTTCCCATTAACTGCTTTGAATGTAGCTTCAGAAAGTTTTGAATAAAAATTAGCTAGCACATAAATGTGTTGGCTGGTAATTCTAATCACCTGCCTTCACCTATGGCTGGGTATCTGATTGCTGCCAGGTGTTAACACTTACCAGCTCATATCAATGTAACAACTACTGTGGTCTGAATGTTTGTGTCCCCAGCCCCCCAAATTCATGTATTGAAACCTCATCACCAATATGATGGTATTAGGGGATGGGATCTTTGGGAGGTAATTAGGTCATGAGGGCTCTGGTGCCACAGATGAGATTAGTGCCTTTATAAAATAACCACTAATAGGAACCAGGTGTTTTAACATGTGCCTGTAGTCCCAACTACTTGGGAGGCTGAGGTGGGAGGATCGCTCAAGCCCAGGAGTTTGAGGCTAGCCTGGGCAACATAGTAAAACCCCTGTCTCTAAAAAATAAAATAAAATAAATAAAACTAGGGGTACTAATAAAAAAGGCACCCTTCTACCACATGAGGAGACAGCTAGAAGACACTATCTGTGAACCAAAAAGCAGTCCCTCGACAGGCACTGAATCTGCCAGAACCTTGAACCCGGACTTCCCAGTCTTCAGAACTATGAGAAATAAACTTCTGCTTTTTATAAGCTGCCCTGTATAAGGTATTTTGAACTACTATAGTCTGAACTTCTATAGACTTAAACAATACCTGTACCTGGTAAGTAATTGAAAGGGACTGTAATTTATGTGTTTTTTGACCTTTTCAGGTTTAATTTCAGAAAAAAAATCTGAAATGGTACATTTTAGTTTTTGTTTTGTTTTGTTTTTTTGAGACAGAGTTTCACTCTGTCATCCAGGCTGGAGTGCAGTGGTGGTACCAGCTCCCTGCAACCTCCGCCCCTGGGTTCAAGCGATTCTCCTGCCTCAGCCTTCCGAGTAGCTGGGATTATAGGTGACTGCCACCACACCCGGCTAATTTTTGTATTTTTAACAGAGACGAGGTTTCGCCATGTTGGCCAGGCTGGTCTCGAATTCCTGACCTCAGGTGATCCACTGGCCTCAGCCTCCCAAAATGTTATGATTACAGGCATGAGCCAACATGCTCAGCCTGAAATGGTACATTTTTTTTTTACAAAAGGAAAACAGATATTAATATTATGGGAGATTATATTTTCCTTAAATGACTGCAATAATATCTCTACTTAATCTCTCATTCCACATGCTCTTCTTATAATGTGACTAACACTCCTCCCAATTAGTGTCCCCTTTACTTAAATGTGGTGTTTTTGTAGCTGCTTCAACAAGTAGAGTACAGTGGAAGTGACGCTGTACAACCTCTGAGATTAGGTCATAAAAATCAATGCAAGCTGGTCTGAGTCTGAGTGCAGTGGTGTTTACAACTAATTGATCACAACTACTTTACAGATTTCTTTGTTCCTTCTCCACTCCCACTGCTTCACTTGGCTAACCTAAAAAGAAAGAGAGAAAAAAAAACGTCAGTGCAGCTTCTGCCTTGTCCTCTTGGGACTCTTGTCTCTCTTGGGATGCTCACTTTTGGAGCATAGCTGCCAGGCTGTGGGGAAGCCAAACAGCCACATGGAGAGGCCACATATAGATGTTCCAGCTGAGTTCCCAGTCAACAGCCAACATCAACTGCCAGACATAGAGTGAACAAGCCTTCAGATCCCAGACCCAGGCAGCAACGCTGAGCTACACTTCTGGAGTTATGCTCTAAGCCACGAAATTTGTTATGGTTTGTTGTGCACTGGTAGATGACCAGACAATTATAAAAAACACTACTACAGACATTTAATACATATTTAAATCGTGTCCAATCTTTTACATCACAAATCTTAAGATCTTTTGACTCATCCTTAAAAAAAACTCATACAGCACACAACTATTAAGAATTGTGCCACTCTATTCCTGTCTTTAGCCCTTCATTTTTGAGAGGCAATCCTTCCTCAAGTCTGAGAATCATGGTGATCTCAGCTGATTGGGTTATTTCTTGATTCTACTGACCATATACCCTAACACCAATTGAGGGGTTGTAGAGAATTTAGTGATATCTTTTCAGAATGAAAACATGAGAGCGGTTTCTTGCTTTCTCCATTCTCTACACTTGCAAAACTGATTCTTTTCTATACCTTTATCCCAACTGTTACTAGTTTTGAATTCGGGATGGAGGGTGAAGATGGGTAAAGGGATATTTTTATAACTGTTATCAAACAACTCTATTTACACAGATTCTTCAACCCTTCCTAAATGAGTATGCTGGATGTTGGTGAATTATTATAATTTTTGGTTTCTAATGATTATAGTGTAAGGGGTTTTATCTTGAAAACTATGTTTGGACTCCTGGAACTAATGTTAACCGCTGGTAATGGCGTTCTTGGGGGTAAAATACAATTAGTGTAATTAGTAATTTTCCGTCTCTTTCTCTTTCCCCTTTTTGGTCTCCAAAATGTTTAAAATAATTCTCACATAGATTACTATGTGAAGGTATTGTGAAACTCCAAATATGTACAAGACACGGATTTTTACCCTTTCAAGAGTAAATAAGGATTACCAGTGAAAAGGAAATAGCCATATTGTACCAGGATCATCCTTGGGGCAACCAAGGAATAACTGTAGTTTTAATCAATTCTCGAGTTGTTGTCCTTGGTCCCAGTCACATAATCAACATGTCAAAGTCTTCTACCATGTACCTCACTTATTAAAAAGAAACGAGTTTCCATAAAGTCGACCACGCATCTTTGTTCTCTTTATCCCAGATCCTCTCTCTGCATCCGTAGTTTCCTCTCCCACTTGGCATCTCTTTACCATTTCTTCTTGTTTACTTGACTATCCCAGCTCCCAACATTTTCTGTCCCGGAATCCACTAAGCCTGGGTTATACTGTGTACATGTTAGAAATGATATTCAATAAAAAGGCCCAGGAAACCATGCACTGAGTTCCTATATTTCATTTTTCTTAAATGCTCCAGCTACACCCAAGGACTGACTGAGGGGCCGGGAGACTGGGCTCCGTGCCCAGGTGGCAGGGGCGTGTAATTCTAACACCGCAGGCAGCCCCTGCTGACGAGATACAGAGGAGTAACGACAGTTAATAGTAAACGAAGCGAAGCCCCGGGAGGTGTAGCGAGCATGTCCACGACAGCCAGTCACTGATCCTCCGGCCTCCCACGCTTCCAGCCGAGACAGTCACGCTCCGCGGGGCCAAGATGGCGCCCTCCCCGCGGCAGCCTGGGCGCGAGGGGCGGGGTCGCGCGTGCCACGTGACCATCCTCGCCAGCCGCGCGCCCCCGGCTGCCCCAGGCGCGCACCGAGTCTGGCGGCCGCGCAGACGGTGCCACTGCCCCACTGGGGGCGTCCTCCTTCGTCCCCGCCCGGCTGTCAAGCTGTGTTCTAGCGGCCGAGGGACCGAGGGGGGCTAAGAAAGGGGGCGCCCAGCCATGCAGAGGCAAAAAGGCGCTGCGGAACGGGGTCCCCGTCGCCAGTGCTGAGGCAGGAGGTCGGAGCCACAAGTGAGGGGCTGGGAAGCAGGACCCAGCACGGGCGTCTTGGCAGGCGGCCGGGCGCAGGGCCAGGCTGCTGGGGACGCTCAGGGCTTTCCACCCAAGCCATGGGCGCTGTCGGGCACTCGGGGGTCCCCTCGTGGCTCCGGCCACTCGGCGTGGGCATTACGTTGGCTTCACATCGCCATCCAGCCTCGAAGCCAACAGGACTGAAAAATAGCTTCGGCCAAACGTTCTCCTCCCGCTAAGGAGAGGGGTCGAGTGCGTCAGCCCGAGGGGACTGGAGAGGGATGCCCTAGCCCTCGAGGGGCGGAGGACCCGCGGTTGAAGGAGGCAGCGGGAGCGGAGAGCGCCCTCCTTGACCATCGAATGCCTCCTTCTGTGTTTCCATTCCTGTCGAGTGGGCTGGGCCACGCTGACCACCCTGGAGGAGGGACGGACGACGCTCGGCGGGCTCTGACCGTGCCGCCTTCTTGTGGCTGCTGACTGGGATCCAGGAGGGAGTGGGCATGGGGCGCAGCCGCGCCTCCCTCCCTCCCCGCCTCCCGGGCGCCGGGGTTGGCGATGTGGAGACGTGAGGGGACCCGTCGGCTGCTCCGGCTTCTCCAGGACTCCGCCAGGCGCCCGCGCGTCCCTCCTCACCCGGAGGAGGAGAGGCTCCGCGCGGGGCTCCGAGGCGGGCGGCGCGCGGAGCCGGAGTCCCAGCCTCGCCATGGGACATAACGGGAGCTGGATCTCTCCAAATGCCAGCGAGCCGCACAACGCGTCCGGCGCCGAGGCTGCGGGTGTGAACCGCAGCGCGCTCGGGGAGTTCGGCGAGGCGCAGCTGTACCGCCAGTTCACCACCACCGTGCAGGTCGTCATCTTCATAGGCTCGCTGCTCGGTAAGCCTCCCGCGGGGCGCCTCCGGACCGGGCCTCCCCGAGGGTACAGGCTCGGAGAGCCGGGAGCAGGGCCGCCCAGCCGCCGTGGGTTTCGGGTGCCTGGCAAAGTGCAGAGAGTTGAAGGAAGCTTAAGGATCCCGGGTAGCTGCAGTGTAGTTAAGCAGGGACGGTGGACTCCAGCCCCCACGCGGGAGCAGAAGAGTTCAAATAGGGCTTTCTCGTGGCCCGAGGATGGAGCGGGATCCAGGCGGGAGTCCCCCTCCTCAGATGGCCCCGGCGGAATGCTCCTGGGTGCCCGGCTGGCTTCAGCTCTTGTTTACAAATAGCGAGGAATAAAGATTCTGTGGGAATTTGTTACTGATAATTGAACGGAATGTTACCCATTCTGTTAAAGATGTTTTGCGATCCCATCTTTCCATATATATCTCGAAATAATAATATATACAATTATTTTGATAGACCCTTATTTTGTGCGTGTTTTACTGCGTGCTTCTTCGGAACACCAACCTGCTGGTAAACAACCCTGTGAAGTTAAACTGTATGTCGCCTGTCGATTATTTAAAAAAAACAAAACCAAACCCACTCTACTTCCCCATCTATGTGTTGTTTAAGGTACAGAATAAAGGTAGGATAAAACACACACACACACATCCCAGATTTAGGTATACTTGTTCAGGGAAGAAAAGATCAACGAATTAAAATGAGTGGCTAGTAAAATATTAGCCTACTAGTGTGAGAATTACCTGTACTTCTCACTACTCTTAAATGATAATAGTCTTTATCGCTCCTCTTCAAACGTTAAATGATACAAGCAATATTCATTTCTATTAAGGTCTGTTGAACATACTGCATACCACTTGGATATATGTGGCTTCCTTTCCTGTGTCCCCGATATGGCGTTTATAAGGATGTGGTGTTATTGGCAAGAACAGTCGTAAAGTTTCAAAGTAGGAATAGGTTACTTTTTGTAGACACTTGTGAATTTCTATGGAAACCAAGATAACTGACATTTAATAGACTATTTTTAGAAGAATTTCAGATGTTTGGAATTTCCCTTCATACTTTCTCTAATTGTCATCATTCCATTTTACTCTATCATAGTATTTCTCTTCGATTTTTTTGTTACGAGGATATTTTCAGGAGTAGATACTACTATTGCTATATCTAGGGGTGTGTGTGTGTGTGTGTGTTTTAAGATGTGTTTTTATGACTGGGATGTTAAATGCACATTAGCAAAGCAAAAGCCTATGTTCAAAATACTTTAGGTATTCATGATGCATTGTAGGTTATTGGGAGTTAAATTCTGAGTATTGTCACACTTAAAGTGTGGGTTATTGGAGAGGTAGTAGAAGTGACTGTATTTTTATTTCTGCAGGTTTTCCCCCAATATACATATATATACATACATTCATACATACATGTATATATATTTTTCCCTCCCCCACGGATAACTTTAACTCTGAAGAAAGGTGGTGTTGGGAGGAGAAATTCTGAGAAATTTTCTCATGGTTTGAGTCTAAAAATTTGAGTACTATTGAAGTAGAAGACAGGACATGTATGTAAAAGACATAGCAAATCGTAAACATTTAATGAATGTTACTTCTGTTATCCATGTCCTTTCCATTTTTGTAGCTTGCATTGGATTCAGGAATTTCTAGATAAATCTGTCCTTATTTCAGCTTTTCTCCACATAGCACTTGTGAGTGACATGCAAAACCTTCTTTAGTAGATGTCTCCAAAGGACAAACTGATTTCCTCTTGATCTATGGTGCCTGATGAGCTAAGGAGTCTTTTTTTTTTTTTTTTTTTTAGACAGAGTTTCACTCTTGTTGCCCAGGCTGGAGTGCAATGGCATGATCTCCGCTCACTGCAACCTCTGCCTCCTGGGTTCAAGTGATTCTCCTGCCTCAGCCCCCTGAGTAGCTGGGATTACAGGCACCCACCACCACGCCTGGCTAATTTTTGTATTTTTAGTAGAGACGGGGTTTCACCATGTTGGCCAAGCTGGTCTCGAACTCTTGACCTCATGATGCACCTGCCTTGGCCTCCCAAAGTGCTGGGATTACAGGCTGAGCCACTATGCCCGGCTGGGAGTCTTCTATTACCCCTTCCACGTTACATGGACCCTCCTAAAAGAGAATTCAATTTGCTCCTTTTTATATGCAGAAAAAAACCCATAAATATGGACAGTATGTCTGGTTTCCTTAAAAGTTCAGCTGGGCTTGGCGTGGTGGCTCACACCTGTAATCCCAACACTTTGGGAGGCCGAGGTGGGCAGATCGCTTGAGATCAGGAGTTTGAGACCAGCCTGGCCAACATGATGAAATCCCGACTGTACTAAAAATACAAAAATTAGCTGCATGTGGTGGCATGCACGTGTAATCCCAGCCACTCGGGAGGCTGAGGCAGGAGAATCGCTAGAACCCGGGAGACTTAGGTTGCAGTGAGCTGGGATTTCACTGCTGCACTCCAGCCTGGGCAACAGAGTGGAGTCTCCAAAAAAAAAAAAAAAAGTTCAATCACAACATTGCCCTGTATACCTGTTACTTATTTTTATTTTTTTTTTGAGACGGAGTTTCGCTCTTGTTGCCCAGGCTGGAGTGCAATGGCAGGATCTCAGCTCAGCTCACTGCAACCTCTGCCTCCCGGCTTCAAGTGATTCTCCTGCCTCAGCCTCCCAAGTAGCTGGGATTACAGGTGCCCGCCACCACGCCTGGCTAAGTTTTTGCATTTTTAGTAGAGATGGGGTTTCACCATGTTGGTCAGGCTGGTCTCCAACTCCTGACCTCAGGTGATCAACCCACCGCAGCCTCCCGAAGTGCTGAGATCACAGGCATGAGCCATGATGCCCTGCCTACGTACTGGTATTCTTGATTCATTGTTTTCTAAGGACTTGTCCCATTCAAACACATCTGTGTACATTAGAATTCTGATAATGTCTGTTGAGGCTCAGAGCTTAAGTTTCAAAGCCATGTGCAGTCAGAAGCAAGGCAAGAAAACTTGGGAAGCACATTTCATAAAGCCTCCAAATAGAGAAAAATCATAGATTAGGAATAAAAGAAAAGGAATCTGTATGATTGAAAAGTAAATTGTGGGAGGATGGAATAGTACCTGGAAAAAATAACTGATTAAGTAACTTACTTTTCTTATTTCTTCTGCCCCCAAACATAGACAAATTCGTTTTTCTTTATTTTTTTCTCTTGAAACAAATTTAAATATACTTCTTATATTCTCTAAATAGACTTCTTTTTTATTGGGATTTCCAGAGGACCATTATTATGTGAAAATAATTCATTTGTACTACTGGTGTCTTGTACCTCTTTTTGAAAACTGTTTTAGTGTCTTGTATTAGGAAAAATCCCTAAGAACTTGGAATAACTGTAATATTCCAACCAGAAGGAACATTATTTGCTGTGTTGAAAATGAACACAAGGCTTGTACATAATATTATTCAAATAATATGTATTTTGGGGGTTTGCGTAAACCAGTGTTTCTCAGCCTTCTTTATACAACATCTTGGCATATCTTTAGGTATGTTGTAGATACTGAAATAGAGTAAAATAATTTAGATTCCTCTTCAATGGCACCAATCACTTTTAGTAGTCAAGAGTGTGAAATCAAAGACTCCAAAAGATCTGGAATCACCATTTCCAATTGAACTGGAAATGGTGGATTGAACTCCTCAGAGTTAATATTTCTCTTTTTCCCCTTCTCCTTAGATTCACAGTCTAAGTACCAAGAGAACTGGGCTCCTCTCTGGTGCTTTGACTTGAAAAAGGTAGGTGGCTATGATCTAGCCTATTACCTCTGAGCTCCTCCTACACAGGTTGCCTGTCATCTGTGGCAATCATCATCAGAGGTATAAGAGATTTTTATAAATGAATTTGCTTTTATTTAAAGAAAATTAACATGGTGGGCAATAACCCACAAGTATGTATCCTACATTGCAATTTATTTTTTAATTCTTTTTGTTTTGAGATGGCGTCTCACTCTGTCGCTCAGGCTGGCGTGCAGTGGCACAATCTTGGCTCACTGCAACCTCTGCCTCCTGGGTTCAAGCAATTCCCCCTGCCTCAGCCTCCCAAGTAGCTGGGATTACAGGTGCCTGCCACCACGCCCAGCTAATTTTTTTTTGTATTTTTAGTAGAGACGGGGTTTCACCAAGTTGGCCAGGATGGTCTTGAACTCCTGACCTCAGATGATCCATCCGCCTCACCCTGCCAAAGTTCTGGGATTACAGGAGTGAGCCACTGCGCTCAGCTGATTTTTAACATTTTTTAAATAGAGAAATCAGCTTTCCTTTGTCTGGCTAGACCGCAAAATGTATGGTTCTTATTCTTAAGCTATATTCCCTTTCCTTTATAGACTGAATGTTTATATTCCCCCTCAAATTCATATGTTGAAGCCCTAATCCCCAATGTCATGTTATTAGGAGGTAGTACCTTTGGGAAATAATTAGGTTTAGATGAGGTCATGAGGATAGAGTTCTCAAGATGGAATTAGTAACATTATAAGAAGGAACTAGAGAGCTTGCCCTCTCTTTCTTTGCACCATGTGAGGATATAGCAGAAGGCAGCTGTTTGCAAACCAGGAAGAAGGCCCTCCCCAGAACCCAACCACGTTAGCACTCTGATCTCAGACTTCCTAACCTCTAGAACTGAAAGAAATGTCTATTTTTAAAGCCACCCAGCTTTTGGTATTTTGTTATAGCAGCTGGAGCAGACTAATACACTTATGAATGGTCTGTAGTGAGCATGTGAAATTGATGACCCCAAGTAAAGATCCAACTTGCCTGTGGCTTGATTCCATGAGGTGGTTATTGAAGTATTCATTTGAAGGGAAAGGTGGGAAATCGACTTGTTAAATCTGTTCAGCAGATCTGTTGGATAGACACTAGTTTTGCTCATGCTTGCTTATAGTCTTTGAGCAAAATCATATGGGGTACCAGCAAGGTTCATGGTACTTGTTTGATAGAGAAGTATACTTGTGCTTTTGATATTATTTGAAATTAACCAGAGAATAGCTGGATTATTCTTGGAGTTCCTTAGTTAAATGTTTGATAGAAGATGTGTTAATACTATAATACTAGTTTGCACTTATAATTTGTAATTACTCAGGATCATTTTTAGTTAACAATACTTACAGCCAATAATAATATAATATCAACAGCCTTACTTCTACATGGAGTTTCTGTCTTTTGTATGCCTAAAAACCTAGCAGACTACGTTAAGAATAAGGTATCCTGGGCCAGGTGTGGTGGCTCATGCCTGTAATCCCAGCACTTTGGGAGGCCAAGGCGGGCAGATCACTTGAGGTGTTCGAGACCAGCCTGGCCAACATGGTGAAACCCTGTCTCTAGTAAAAAATACAAAAATTAGCCGGGCATGGTGGTAGGCGCCTATAATCTCAGCTATTCAGGAGGCTGAAGCAGGAGAATGGCTTGAACCCAGGAGGCAGAGGTTGCAGTGAGCAGAGATCGTGCCACTGTACTCCAGCCTGGGTGACAGAGTGAGACTCCTTCTCAAAAAAAAAAAAAAAAAAAAAAGAATAAGATATCCTGAATTGATGCCTAAGGAGGCAGGAGGTGGTAGGATCAATAGTTACTAGCTTAATATATTGAATCAAATTGCCTCACATTGTCTTTTATTTCTATATGATGTCTATATGATAGAATTCTTCCTGGAAATTAAATTCTCTGGTGAAAATTTAAAAAAAGCTTTATTGAGATAAAATTCATACAATATAGAATCCATCCAATTAAAGAGTACAACTCAGTGGTGTTTTTTGTTTGTTTGTTTGTTTGTTTTTTGAGACTGAGTCTCACTCTGTTGTCCAGGCTGGAGTGCGGTGGCGCTATCTCAGCTCACTGCGAGGTCCGCCTCCCAGGTTCACGCCATTCTCCTGCCTCAGCCTCCCGAGCAGCTGGGACTACAGGCACCCACCACCATGCCCGGCTAATGTTTTGTATTTTTAGTAGAGACAGGGTTTCACCGTGTTAGCCAGGATGGTCTTGATCTCCTGACCTTGTGATCTGCCTGCCTTGGCCTCCCAAAGTGCTGGGATTACAGGCGTGAGCCACCGCGCCCGGCCAACTCGATGGTTTTTTAGCATATTCACAAAGTAGTGCAACCACTACTACTACTGAATTCCAGAAGGTTTTTATCATCCCATAAAGAAACCATGTAACCTAAAGAAACCATGTATCCTTCGGTAGTAGCACTGCCTTTTTCCCCTCAATACCTTGAGCCCTAGGCAATCACCACTCATTTAGTTTCTTTCCTTCTTTCTTTCTTTTTTCTTTTTTTTTTTTGAGACAGGGTCTTATTCTGTCTCCCAGGCTGGAGTACAGTGGTGCGATCTCAGTTCACTGCAACCTCCACTTCCCGGGCTCAAGTGATTCTGCAGCCTCAGCCCTCTGAATAGATGGGACTACAAGTGTGTGCCACCATGCCCATCTAATTTTTGTACTTTTTGTAGAGATGGAGTTTTGCCACATTGCCCAGGCTGGTCTCAAACTCCTGGACTCAAGCAATCCGTCAACCTCAGCTTCCCGAAGTGCTGGGATTATAGGTGTTAGCCTCCAGGCCTGGCCCTACTTTCTGTTTCTATAAATTTACCTGTTCCATAGATCTGTCACACAATATGTGGTCTTTTGTGACTGGCTTTTTTCACTTAGCATAATATTTTCAGGATTCATCCATGTTTTAGCATATATTAGCACTTTATTTTTTATTGCTGAATCATATTTCATTGTATGGATATATTACATTTTGTTTATCCATTCGTTTGATAGACATTTGGGTTGTTTCTACTTTTTGGCAATTATGAATAATGCTGCTCTGAATATTTACGTACAAGTTTTTATGTGGACATGTGTTTTCAGTTCTCTTGAGTATATACCTAGGAGTGAAATTGCTATATCATATGGTAACTCTTCTTTTTAGGAACTGCCAGACAGCTCCAAATATCCCTGGTTCTGTAATGAATATACTTTTGTTTTATTTGGTGACATTTTGTAGACTAGGAGGAAATTTGTCTCAAAATGGGAACAAAGAAACATAGCTATGTTTTCCTGTGGGATGTCCAAGTCTCAAAGTCTCTTGTCCCTAGAGTTTGCCAAACAATTTCTGCATATGTCACTTAATCTAAATCTAAATAAGCCATTTAGATTCTGTAGTGACTGGGAACTGTTGTGAAAGGTTGTTTTTTCCTTTTCTTTTCGTTTTTTTTTTTTTTTGAGACAGGGTCTCACTCTGTCACCCAGGCTGGAGTGAAGTGGTGCGATCACAGCTCGTTGCAGCCTCAACCTCTCAGGCTCAGGTGATCCTTCTACCTCGGCCTCCAAGTAGCTGGGACTACAGGCGCATGCCACCACACCTGGATAATTTTTTTTTTTTCTTGGTAGAGATGGGGTTTCACCATGGTCCTCAGGCTGGTCTGGAATTCCTGGGCTCAAGTGATCCACCCACCTCAGCCTCCCAAAGTGCTGGGATTACAGGTGTGAGCCACTTCACCTAGCCATGAAAAGTTTTATTGTCAGAGAGTTTCCACATTAGCTGGGTGGAAGATTGTTGTTAGTCATATAGCGCAAAAACAGAGGCATTTTTGCCTAGCCTGGAAGGTAGGAGTGGCTCTAGGCAAAATTTTGTAGTAAGGATTTACCCTAGGCAAAACTAAAAAATAAGAAAACTTTATCTTAAAAAAATCAACTCTCATTTTCAGTTTTTATTGCATGTCTTCTCATAAACCTCGTTTTCTTGTTCATTTTGGATGCCCAATGACCTTCTTCTGAGTTGCTGACTTGTCCCCTCTCTTCCAAAGTTAGCAGTATCTGTATTCCATTCCTTCATGGTGGCTAAATAAATCATGTTAAATGCAGATGTTAACAGATGTTAGTGTATTAAAGTATTTTAAAATAGTGATCTTTGAAGGTACTTTTTTTTAAAAGAAGATATCTTAAGCATAAAGGATGATTTGAACATTTCATATATTTGAGAGGTAAGAGAGAGAAATGGGTTGGATGGATCTTTTAAGTTTGATTCTACTAAAATTGTATCATGAAGCTAGGGATTATTGACAAAAGGAAACTAAGTATAAATAAAACCTCCCTTAACATACTGTAAGGCATGACCAAAACTCAATAAGCTAAGCATGTAGCCCTGAACCCTCTCAGTTATCACTGTATCAGTTTTTATAGAAAGCATCCTCCCACTGCAGCACATATGGAGACATTTCTTCATGGCTTCTCTTACTGAAAACTTTTGAATGCCCCTGCTCAAGGAGGAAATTTGTTGTTGTTACTATTGTTTTCTTTTGTTTTTGCATTTGCAAGCAATTTCCAGAGAAATGCCTTCAAACTGACTTGAGCGATATTTTGATCAGTGGCCACATTTCATTCGGAAGAATCATATACGAAACAGTTGTTTCTGGCCTGTACTGAAAACTTGCTTCACCATAAATGAGATACTGAAAAACTTTCAGATTAAGCCACAAGTGTTTAGGTATGCTGGCACTAAATAAGTTTGTAACAATGGTTTATTATCAGTTTTGGAATTGTTTATTTATTTTTTGCTTTTTATATTTTTTTCTGATTAAAGTTCCTCCTTAGGGACAAAATTACAGAGTTAGGGGCAAAGCATGAAACCTGTCCAGACTCTCTGGTTTACTCACTTTTTTTCTTTTGCAGAGTTTAAAAAATACAGAAAAAAATTAACAAATTATTATAAATCTACCACTCAGAAATAACAAATGTTAACATTTTGTCATGTTTCTTTCATATATTATTTTATTTTATTTTATTTTATTTATTTTATTTTTTTGATACAGAGTCTCACTCTTGCTCAGACTGGAGTGCAGTGGTACAACCTTGACTAACTGCAACCTCTGCCTCCTGGATTCAAATGATTCTCCTGCCTCAGTCTCCTGAGTAGCTGGTATTACAGGTGCATGCCACCACGCCTGGCTAATTTTTGTATTTTTAGTAGAGATGGGGTTTCACCATGTTGGCCAGGCTGGTCCCGAACTACTGACCTTAGGTGATCCGTCTGCCTTGGCCTCCCAAAGTGCTGGGATTACAGGTGTGAGCCACTGAGCCTGGCTGTTTTATAAAAATAAAATGTTGCAGGTACAGTTGAATCTCCCCTATTCCTCTCCTCAACCTTTTCTATCTTGTCTATTCCAGAGCTAGTCACGGTGCTGAATTTGGTGTACAGTATAAACTTCTTCCTGTCTTTGTCCTGTTGTTTCTGCCTGTTGCTTGCCTGTGATCATGAAGTTGGTATTTTTTTTTTTCTTTTTGAGATGCGGTTTGCTCTTGTTGCCCAGGCTGGAGTAGAGTGGCGTGATCTCAGCTCACTGCAACCTCCCCCTCCAAGGTTCAAGTGATTCTCCTGCCTCAGCCCCACCAGGCCCAGCTAATTTTGTATTTTTAGTAGAGATGGGGTTTTACCATGTTGGTCAGGCTGGTCTTAAACTACTGACTTCAGGTGATCCACCAGCCTTGGCCTCCCAAAGTGCTGGGATTACAGGCATGAGCCACCATGCCCGGCTGAAGTTTTTACCAATTGATACCGATGCTTTCTGTGTAATTAGGTACCTTTGACTTATCTCCAATGTGGTAACTCCCAACCAAGAGTATTGCATTAGCCTTACATTTACACATTTATAGTTTACAACATATACCACATTATTTCTTTCAGTCATCATAATAACCTTGTGAAACAATGTAGGGAGCATTTTCTGTTCTTATTTTCTCAGCACATCCCTTCCTCCTAGCAATATTGCTCTCCCACAACACGTGCACTTCCACTGGTGATATTCCCTTCCTGTATTCATCAGCGTTCTTAGTTGCAGACAACAGATCCTCCTGTCAAAAGAAGACACAGCTATGAAAGCATTTAAAGAAAAATGTTTCCTTGTGAAAATGGATTGCAAGGGAGTTCGGGCTTTAAAAGGACTAGCTTGCCAAATGAAATATACAACAGGTAATTAAAAGAAAACCTCAAGATTACCAAATTTACAGTTATTATGTTGGTTGTGAAAAAAAGCTAGTTATTTCATGAGTGTTATAACCTCAAAGATTGTATCATCCCTTCAGATATCAGCATTAAAAGAGAAATAACTTTGTGAAACAACAAAGTTGTTTGTATTGGAAAGCAGTAGCTTAAAGAAAAGGCTCAAGTTTTCATTTATTTTGAGAACCAGAACTACATAGAACGGCCTTAGTCTTTTTAAATGTATGTCTTTGTTTTGGGAGAGGGAAGGGGTTCTGGCTGCAAGTGTTTTGTTTTTCTTCTGGCTGTAGGGTGTAATGTGCACCCACTTGCATAATGCAGCAGGACAAAGCATTAGTTTTACTTCTGTATCAAACTAGCCAGTGTATGAAGAAAGAAATTTATTACAAAGTATTATGTTGCTTTTAGAATTTATGAGAGGGTCTGGGAACCAAGCTTAGATGCCACAGAGCCAGGGACGCAGTCAAGAAATACGTACAGTGATTTCACTGTTCGAGCAGAAACCATGAAGCTGTTGCCATGTACCAACTATTACGTGAGGAAGTAGTCACATAACCCTAGGACACAGCTGGTCCAGAAGAACCAGAGGCATCCATCATCTCCCTGACCTTACAGAGAGAATCTGATGGCTCTGCATCCAGCCCCTACCCCACATTAATCACGTCCACTTTCCTTGGGAACATCTGTTGGGCAGAACCTGTATCATAAGCCTGCACCCTCACTGCAAGCCTGTCTGGAAAGTGGTGTTTTAAACTTTCCAGCCTTTGTAGCAGAAGGTAGCAGGTGGTTGAAAGATTACAGAGGGAATATTGAGTGAACCAGACTACAGTATCTGCCACTTTATACTTTGTGTGGTTTTTTAAAATATGACTTCCCCTCACAGTACTCTGTATAGCCCCACTCCCACCCTGGGATACAAGGGTGAGCACATGATTCAGGCTTTACTGATCCCAGTATCCTATTTCTTTGTCCATGAGGATTAGACCAGGAATGGTCATAGGATCCAAGCTTGATCAATCAAATCAATCAACGTCCTTGATATAGAGATGTTGCTAAAGGCGCCATCTTTTTCCACAGGGGCTGATAAGCAGGGATTATAGAAGCCAGGAGTATCTGCTTAGGAGAGAATGAGGATAGAGAGAGAAGCAGAGGTGAGGGTGAGATATAGACACAGGGAGTAGGGGGAGAGAATGAATCCTGATGATATTGTTTGTATCCCTGGAGGGCCTGAGCCTAATTCTACCCCTTGTGTTTTCCAATTACATGAACAAAAAAAAGAAAAAAAAAAAAAGAAAATCTCCTTTATTGCTTAAACTTGTTTGAGTTGGGTTTCTGTCACACAAATATCCTGACTGATAACATATAGTATTTTTGTACTGTTGGCAGATAAGTCAGATGTACGATTCATATCCTACATTTGCATGAACAAGTTCAGGGGGTTAGTGACTCATTTAATAGCACATTCTCACAGCCCTGCAGGGCCTGATGCAATGGAAATCAGATGCCCAGAAGAACAGCAGCTGCAATCCAGAGCCTGGAGAATTGAGCAGGAGCTAGGGATGGCCTGGCAACTGAAGAGATGCTCATAGACACTGAGGAGGATCATAAAGCCTGCCAGTGGAAGAAGGTGGGAGGAGAAAGTCATGCTTAGGCTCCAAGAGCCCAGGGATGTAAAGAAGGCTGGAAGCTGTGGGACTGGCAAAGGTTCATGGATGTGCAGAGGCAGAGGTCCAGGGGAGATTTTACTGGACCAGGAAATACTGGGGCAACTGTCCCAAATCAGCACACAGCCTCTGATTCTTTTTGTCTCTTATTTAAACATCTATTTTTTTTAAATTTTGTTTTGTTTTTGTTTTTGAGACAGGGTCTCACTCTTTCACCTAGGCTGGAGTGCAGTGGCATGATCTCGGCTCACTGCAACCTCCGCCTCCTGGGTTTGAGCAGTTCTTCTGCCTCAGCCTCCTGAGTAGCTGGGATTACAGGCATACGCCACCATGCCCGGCCTAAACATCTATTTTTAATCAATAGCTTTTTATATATAAATAGTTTCTGATAGTTAATTAACATAAAAACCTAGTGGCAAGAAAAAAAATCTAGCTGTGTTAGAAAAGGGAAATATTGGCACTGTTCGATGTAGCCCCCCAGAAGATGATGAACTCAATAGCCTCTAGGTCATAAACCGGCTTCAGTTTTCCTGAATGTTTATAAGAGCTTCTGGGGAAGTCAGCAGGCAGGGAGGGCTAAGGGTGAGTTCTGGAAACACAGCTCTTGCTACAGTCAATTATGGGGTGTGGATGAAATACTGGACATATGGCAGGTGTATGGTTGGGAAAATGAGCTGCTCCATGTTTTCTGGTTTAGATGGCTAGTGGCCAGCTCTCAGGATTGTCAAAACAGAACTCTCCTTTGGGGGTGAAATGAGTGTCCTCAGCTGATCCAAGCTCAGGGCTTGGAGGGCAGAGCGGGAGCTTTGTTAGCACAAAGCCCAGGCATCCAAATGGAGATAAGAGTCTGGGCTAGATCACGTGGGCATTGTCAAGTTAAATAGACAATGCAAAGGCAGAAGGCACCGAGCAAGAGGTGAAAGGTGGAGAGGAGCAAAGCAGAGAGATCCTGAACAGCCTCTAAACTATTTTTATGTTTCTTTAACTCATCAAGCTTAATACTTGCAAAGACCATTGACTTTGCTGTTCTCTCTGCCTTAGAATGTTCTTTCCTAGATGCGTCTTATGGCTGGCTTGTATCCATCCTTTAAATTGCAGCTCAAATGTCACCTCTAACGGGTCTTCCCCAATCACTTCTATCACATCACTCTGTTTATTTCCTCTGTAGCAGTTATAACTCCAGAAATTATCTTGTTTGTGTGGTGTTCTCCCTTGCTCCATTAGAATGCAGCACCTTGAGAACTGGGACTTTATTTCATGCACTGCTGTGTCCCCAATATTTAGAACAGTGCCTGGTGCATAGTTTGTGCTCAATACATAGTGATTAATTGAATGAAGTGCTTGGGGACAGTTACATAGGATGATTAATTAATCACTATTTTGATTTGCATGAGACTTAGGGGCCTTGTGAAAATAAACATGAATTTCATCCATAGCCAGGATTCAAACACACATGGCCATGCCCAGTGAACTAAAGTGGTGCTTACAAAAGCCAGATATCCGGAGGGACAACAGGTCTCTTGATAGGAAATCCACAGGGGCAGAAGGTTTCACCTGATTTAAATAAGAATGAGCCTATGACATAAGACAGGCAGCATTTTAAACCAGGCAGCATAATGTGTGGGGGATGTCCTTATAGCTTTTGGAGTCTTTGGGTCTTAGACAGGTCAAAAGTATGGCCAAAAGCAGCCTGGGGACATGACCCTTCCTATGGAAGAGTGGCCGAGAGGCAGTGTTGTCATCAGGGAGCTATACATGACATTTGGCTGCCTGTGCTGACACACATGGCTATTAGGTGTGTAGGATCAGAATGGCATCCTTGAGTTTCTGTCAACTGTTAGGGGACCACCCCTTCTACCCATCTATCTGGAAGGCTCAGTAGTAGGAGTGGGGTTGTGGAAAAAGGGCTGAAAACAATAGAATATTTTGACTGCAGCCAAGGAAGCCTGCAAAAATTAGGTTGAAAACCATGCTTTTTGCACAACTAAATGCCGTAGGTTTTACAAATAAGTCAAAGGGTCTTCCGCTGATAGAATGTGTATCAGTTTAATAAAGGCTGGTCGTCACTGTTGCTTCCATTTGTACACACAAAACCTTCAGCATCTTTTTAAAAACTGAACTTTTTACTTTGAGATAATTGTAGATTCACATACAGTTATAAGGAATAATAAATACAGAGAGATGCCTGTATCCTTTACCCAGTTTCCCCCAGTGGTAGCATCTTGCAACAAACAGTGCTTGTGTGTGTGTAGTTTGTGTGTAAGGTGGGTACAATACAACAACCAGGACATTGCCCTCGAAATTTCCATCACCACAAGGATTCCAACTGTTGCATTGTTATGGCCACACCCATTTCCCTCCCACCCGATCCCCTCCTTCACCCTTGGCAACCACTAACATGTTCTACATTTCCATAATTTTGCTAATTCAAGATCGTTATAGAAATGGAATACTGTGGTATGTAACCTTTTGGGATTGGTTGTTTTTCATGCAGTATAATTCTTGGGAGATTAATCCAAATTGTTGTGTTTGTCAACAGTTTGTTCCTTTTTATTTCAATTCCATTTATATGACTTTATTTTTTCTGACACAGGGTCTTACTGTCACCCAGGCTGGAGTGCAGTGGCATGATCTTGGTTCACTGCAGCAACTTCTTGTGATCAAGCAATCCTCCCACTGTTATGTGCCGCCACATCAGCTAATTTTTAAAGTTTTTTTTTTTTTTTTTTTGTAGAGACGAGGTCTCACTATATTGCCTAAGCTAGTCTCAAACTCCAAGTTTCAAGTGCTCCTCCTGCCTTAGCCTCCCAAAGTGCTGGGATTACAGGCGTGAGCCACTGCACCCAGTCTATATGACCTTTTTGAATGAAAGCATGACAACCCTGTAACTTTTCTGGTTATTCTTAAGTCACAAAACACTCTCAATTTAGTACATAATATTTGTTGTCTGCTGATAAAAGAGGCAAACCACCAACCTTGATTTAAAATAAAGAATTCTCTCCTCCACAAAATCCCTAGTGCAGGCCTGGTGCCTGGGAGAAGCCTGAAGTTGAACACAGGAGTCTAGTCTGCTTCCTCCTCCATTCTGAGCTTCTGGCCAAGTTTGCTTGGCTCTCCAAGATTGCAGCTGGGCTGGGGTTGGTGGTTGTAGGGGCTGGAGGAGGGAGTTGTAGGAGGGGCAGGAATAGGCTTACATGATGCTGATGGTGTTGTGAGTGGCTTCATACTCTGGGCTGTTGCCTGTTTCCTTGATGGTGATGATGCCCTCTCATATTCTGTCCTTGCTCCCTGCAAATGCTGCTCTACTTCTAGCTCCTCTCTGTTGAAGCCTGTTTACCTGTGCAGGTGACTGTCTTGGACAAGCCCTGACGTGACCCCATGCCATTGCTCTCACACCCTGGTCTATACCCATTATACAGGACACATGCATTCTTTGCCCCCATAAGTTCGGGGAGTGCAGGCTGCCCACTGTAGCCTCTTCTTTGAGCAGCTTATCAGCCCATCTCTTGCTCTTCAGGTTTCTCAAACAGAAAACAATCACAAATTCACAGTGAACCCCAATTGCAGGGGACACAAATCAAATGTCTGCATGGGCTTGTTGAAAACCCCTAACCAGGCCTGAGGGCTTTGATGAGCACCCCCACCCTTCCTTCCTGGGTAAGTAGGACTCACAGTGCACCCACAGTTCTCTATCTATTCCATTATATCCTCCAGGTTGGTGAAGGTTTGAGTCTTATACCTCTTGACTACACCTGTGAAACATTTACATCTTGATCTGATATCTTACTTTATATCTATTATATCTTGATGCCTTGGTAGAATTTTCTGCTTCTGATTATCAAAAGCATGTGAACCAGAGCAACTCCATCTTGAACAGAAGCTGGGTAAAATAAGGCTGAAATCTGCCGGGCTGCATTCCCAGACAGTTAAGGAATTCTAACTTATAGGATGAGATGGGAGGTCAGCACAAGATACAGGTCATAAAGACCTTGCTGATAAAACAGGTTGCAGTAAAAAAGCCAGCCAAAACCCACCAAAACCAAGATGACAACGAGAGTGACCTCTGGCCGTATTCACTGCTACACTCCCACCAGTGCCATGACAGTTTACAAATGCCATGGCAACATCAGGAAGTTACCATATGTGGTCTAAAAAGGGAAGGCATGAATAACCCACCCCTTGTTTAGCATATCATCAAGAAATAACCATAAAAATGGGCAACCAGCAGCCCTTGGGGCTGCTCTGTCTATGGAGTAGCCATCCTTTTATTCTTTTATTTTCCTAATAAACTTGCTTTCACTTCACCCTATGGGATTCGTCCTGAATTCTTCCTTGCACGAGACCCAAGAATCCTCTCTTGGGGTCTGGATTGGACCCCTTTCCTGTAACACAATGACCAGACACTATGTTAATTTAGAAGCATTTTTCCCCCTACTTAAAATTCATGATGCAGTTTTGTTCAAAGTCTCCATATGCCTCTTCAACATCAGCATCTGCTTTGGCTGGAAGCAGTTTGGAGCCATCTCATACAGTTTTTTGGAGGCCCATCATCATTACTTAAACCTGTGTAAGATGCCACACTTAAAAAAAAAAACCTCACATATGATGTAGCCACTGAAAATATTATGCTAAGCCACAAGTAATCATTCTCATTTTTTTAGGACTGTTTTTCTTTCTTCTCCCTGTTTGTCTGGTTGCCATTCACAAATGCCATGACATAATAATATATGGATTTTTAAAGAGAGCTTATAAAACTTACAGTTGTGAACTCACACACCCAGGAATGATGAATAATTTGCTTCTTTTTAAAACGTACTGCATCAGATGACCTCTACAGGAAGCCCAAAGTAGCATGGACAGAGATAATTTCAGGTCATCGTGCCTTCTCCAAACAAAGTTCCAAATAATTTGTTATTTGTTTCGAATAAAGTACAGATGCTCCTTGACTTATGATGAGGTGTCCCAGTAAATCCATTGTAAGTTGAAAGTATAAGCTGAAAATGCATTTGGTACACCTAAACTGCCAAATATCATAGCTTAGCCTAGACTACTTTAAATGAGCTCAGAACACTTACATTAGCCAACAGTTGGAGAAAATCATCTAACACAAGGCCTATTTTATAATGAAGTGTTGAATACCTCATGTAGTTTATTAAATACTGTACTGAAAATATATTGCTTTTGCACCATGGTAAAGTTGAAAAATTGAAAGTGGAACTCTCATAGGTTGGGACCATCTCTAATTGAGAGAGTGCCTTGTATTAGGAGTGACTTTGTATTTTCTGAGCAAGAATTTTTGAGGACATCTCTGCCTTGTATAGAATATGTGATATTTACTCCCTGGTTCCCTGGGCATCCCTTGTGTGCTCATTTGCACCTTTAATTACAACTACTTTTTGTTGGGGCTTCCTGTGTAGTTTCTTAGGGCAAGAAACACTTTCAGAGGCTGCTAAATGGGAAGGAAAGAATAACTCTCTGAAGTCAACCTGAGTGTTAATTCAATTTCCAGGAACACAGAGTTCAAGCGAGACTCCAGCAGAGACAAAATAATCAAATCTCAGTTTTCAGACCCTTTCATTGATTGATGAGAATAGCACCTTTTGTATTTGACCTGTTGTTTCTGTGGCCTGCTCCCAAGGTTGCAAGTCTTTAGTAGCAATGAATCTACAAATGACCAGAAGCCTTAAGATGAAGCTTTCTGCGTCTGCCAGGTGAAAGGCAGGATTAGGGACTAGAGGGCTAACTGCCTGTTTCTCTGCAGGATGCTATTATTCTTAAGATTGGATGGAACTTTTCCCTGAAGAGTGTCAAATCATTTTTCTTGTTAATAACAAATCAATGGGCTCTAGCAGGTAAGGATCACACCAGGTGCTTGGGAAGGGTAAATTCTAGCCTGGCCTTGCTGCTGAATGGTGGGTTGAGTGCTGGTAAATCACCCTGCCTCTTTTGTGATTGTACTTGCAAGGCAGAGATTCTTAAACCTAGTATGCATAAAAATCACTTGTCAAAATGCAAATTATTGAGTTTCACCAACAGAAATTCTGTTTTAGTGGGTTTGACATGGGGTCTTGGAGTCTATTTTTTCGTTTTCTTTGAGACAGAGTCTCACTTTGTTGCCCAGGCTGGAGTGCAGTGGCACAATCTCGGCTCACTGCAACCTCTGCCTCCTGGGTTCAAGCGATCCCTCCACCTCAGCTTCCCAAGTAGCTGGGATTACAGACATGCACCACCACGTCTGGCTAATTTTTTTTTTTTTTTGTATTTTTGGTAGAAACAGGCTTTCAACATATTGGCCAGGCTGGTCTCGAACTCCTGACCTCAAATTATCTGCCTTCCTTGGCTTCCCAGAGTGCTGGGATTACAGGTGTGAGCCACCGTGCCAGGCCTGGAGTCTATATTTTTAATGAACATGCTAGGTGACCTTGATGCCGGTGCTTCACACTTTAACATTGATCTAAGGGATGCCTGAACAACTTCTTAGTGTCCGTGGAGATGACAGGTGAGCATCAGGGATACTCCCAGGTTATAGTGCCAGGAGAGTTGGGAAGGGAAAAAGCTGTTTAAGATAAGTGCTAAGGTCATTAGAAGACTTTTTTGTTGTTGTTCCTAGGGGAGTAATAGCATTGCCCAAAGCCAGCTTATTCTTGCAAAGAGAATGGTTGGGACAGAGAAGAAGTAGAAATTTAATTTTGGGGTTATTGGTACCAGTCCTACCCATCTTTTAATAACTAGTGTTGCTTAAGGGCTGAAGGTAAAATGGAAAAATATAGAGACTTTAATATGAATAGGCAGGGCCCCTTCCGTAATCTGACTTATAGAAACTTTCCTAAAAATTTTATACCTAAGATCATTGGAGTTCCTAGTTCTGCTTCTGCCAACCATTTCCATATCATTCCATATCCTATAAGTAATAACTAAATTATTTATTCAAAAAGGCAGGAGGGGAGTTCTATTTGCCTTTTGGGTACATCTTGTTATTAATATAAAGGTAGTGTTGGGTATTAATATAAAGATCATTGAATTTCCTAGTTCTCCTTCTGCCAACCATTTTCATATCATTCCATATTCTATAAGTAATAACTAAATTATTTATTCAAAAAGGCAGGAGGGGAGTTCTATTTGCCTTTCAGGTACATCTTGTTATTAATATAAAGGTAGTGTTGGGGTTAGGTGACCGCTTCCCATTCTCTTCAGGCACTTGTTCTCTGCCTCACAACCTGATATCTCACTGTGGAGGAGCAGCTGGAATACTTGGCTGTCAGAAACATGATAGAATTGTCTGAAGCTTTCTTTTTTTCTACTTCTGTTCTAATTCTGTTCTTGGCAGTTTTTTAAAAATTCACAAAACTTTCACTAAGATAGAATTGGAAACTTCAGACCATGTGCACCATGTCAGGGAACTCATCATCTGCCACTCCTCATGTTGCAGGCTCCTCTCCCCTTCAGCCATTTCAGTCATGCTGTGTTCTGCCTTCTTCTGGAATGGTGGGTCAAAGGTTGTTTTCAGCTGGGCACAAAAGAGAACAGAGGGGGCAAGTGGGTGATCAGAAGGACCAATTGAGGGCTGTTTGGCTTTGGGATAATTGTTACTGATTTAGCATGCAAATCTCTTGTTAGAATATGGACAACGGGAGTACGTGGGCAGCTTTAAAAGTAACTGTACTTCCATTTGGTCTGCTTATTAGGCATTCTTATTATTAATATCAGACATCTTTAATTTGTGTACTGTTTCAAGGCATGAATGCAAAGGCTACATGAAATCTCCATGGCCAACTTGTAATCTTAACATGAGTCTTATGTTGTTGTGGATGAAGAATGTAGGTTTAACTGAATTCACATATTATCCTTCATGTTAACTTCCATATGTTGACTAATTGAAATTAACCTCTACTACCATTCTCAAGCCTTTATTTGGCTTACTGCTGTTAGGCTTCTTCTTTTTTTTTTTTTTAAACATCCTTGTTTTTATTCAATTTAGGAGCCAAGATTAGCACTTTATCTTCATCATTTAAATTTACCTAGATTTTATCATTTAAATTTATCTAGATTTTATTTTAATTTATCTAAATTTAACTAACATGTTTTAATTTTTTGTATCAACTTGTTAATTTTTTTGGTGGGGGAACATGATTATACTATATAACATTATTGCTCTAAGTGATACTACCTTTGTATCTTTTGTATTTCATCTAAATTATAATTTTTAAAAAAGAGTTTAACGGTCAGGAAGAGAAGGTTGGAAATCTTGCCATTGGAGACCTGCTAGAATCTAGGATGATTTTAATTTACTAGTCAAAACCATTTGGGGATGATCATTAAGCCAGTTATGAATGCATTCAATAGAACTCTCACCCAGCCCATATTTCCTTATCTTGATAACACCTTGTCAAGACTTTAATACATTTTGTCAGATACATTACCAAAAGCCAGATATACTATGTCTACTGCATCATTTAGGCTTATTGATGTAAGAAAATAAGGAGAATCTACATCTACATGATTTATTCTAGTGTATCCAAGCTGGCTCCTAGTGACTACTTCTTGCCTTCCTCTTGATCATTCATTCTAGCATTAGGTTGACCAATATGCATTTTGCTATATTTTTCTTGTTCCCCTTTTCCTTGTCTCCAGGCTTCTGGTTCCTTTCTTATTATCTGTAATTCCTTAAAGTTCTTCAGAGTTGATCTGGCACTTCTCATACATCAATGTGTAAAAGAATCTGCTAGGCATCTTGTTACACAATACAGGTCCAGGAATCAAGGGGTAGAAACAGGAGTGGCTCCCTTTACTGTCACTCCTAGTGATCCACTAGGAAAATTGTTGTTTTCCATCCTTAGAGACTTAGTTCCAAAGGGAGGGATAGTGATTCCCTTGAACTGGAAGCTGAAACTGTCATCCAGCCCCTTTGGGTTCATGCCTCTCAGTCAACAGGCAAAGCAGGGGGTTGCTGGACTGGCTGGTATGATTGGTCCTGATTACCAAGGGTAAGCTACTACTACACAATGGAGGTAAGGTAGAGCATGCCCAGGAGGTCTACGATGGAGTCCAGGATTCTGCATTTCCTGCAAATGTCTAGCTGATGTTGATGCTGCTGGTCCACAGGCTATATTTTGAGTAGCTAGGGACTAGAAGACTTGGTGTTTTAGGTAGGAGGTAGCTTTCAGTGCTCCTCTAGAACAGGAAGGAGGTCTCTAGTGGGTAGTGCTCTCAAGTTCTTATTCCCACACTTACAAACTCACCAGTGTCCTTATCGTCCAACAGGTATGTCCTTTATTCTTTCATCTTCAAGGTCTCTTGCTCCTTGACCCCTTCTCCCCCACCCACACAGTGCTTTCTTTCTTCTTCCTTTCATAGTCATACTTCTTGGAAGAGCAGCCTTAAATTTTATACTTCCATTTTAGCCCTCCCCAATTACTCTGCAATCAACAACTCTGATCATGTCTCTTTACTCTTTGAAACCCTGCCCTGGCTCCTCATTCCCTCTGGCTTCTTGTAGTGACATCCCCTACATGGCTCCTGTTTCCCTCCCTAGCTCGTCTCTTTACACTCCAGGAGTTCCAAATTACGCTTGGCTCCCAGGGTACATTATTCTCTTTCCAGTCTTCTTGCATTTGCTTTTGCTCTTCCTCTGTCCATAAAAGCTCTTCTCTGCTTTGTTCACTGGCTATCTCCTCTCATTCTTCAGCTGTTCCTTTCACTCTCTGTCTTTGCTTAGGAACCTAAGTTCCTTTCTTTGCTTATATGTATTATTTGTATAATTCAAGAATAATTGAAAGGAAGGACACCTGTGTTTTCCCTCTCTGGGGTGCATCTGTAACTGCAGAATTATTTTAAGGCGGTATTATCTTGACATGGTAGTGGTCAATCTTACTGAAGGGTTTTAAGGATACCAAGTAACTTGGCAAAGTCACCGTAAATCTTGTTTGAAAAAAAAAGGGGAAGACTTAATCACCACTCTGTACATGAAGAGGAACATTTTAAATTAGTTTATCATTGTGTGTTACTCTAGTTGGTCTACACAATATTCACTGACATTATGGTTTCATGAAAATGAAGCAATAAAATAAAGATAATAAGTTTTATCAGATGAGAATGTTTTCACTAATATGGTCCCCAGAGACAGTGATGAATGGTAAGGTTTTCAGATGATAACTTAGAATTTTGACAACTTCTTGCATTGGTCACCCTTGGGAGCAGTGACAGATAGGGTCACTTGCTGGTTAAGAGAGTGGCCTCATGCACATCACTAAGCTAATTGGGTTTTCTCAACAATAATAGGGAATAGAGATGGAGAGCTGCCAGAAAAGATGCAGACACTGAGGCCTTGATGGATTATTAGCTGATTAGTCAAGCTATATCTCAGGCTCAGGACCTGAGATAAATTGAATTAAGTCCAAAAGAAACTAGGCTATGGCCAAATAATTTTTTAAAAATAATATTTGGGGCTGAGGCAGGAGAATGGCGTGAACCCGGGAAGCAGAGCTTGCAGTGAGCCGAGATTGCGCCACTGCAGTCCGCAGTCCGGCCTGGGCGACAGAGCGAGACTCCGTCTCAAAAAAAAAAAAAAAAAAAAAAAAATATTTGGATGTTTCTCATGATCTCTCAGGCAATGAGTGCAATTTGCTATCAGCTGCATTGTTGCAATGGCACTTGCAGATAGCAGAAGGGATGGTGAAAGGTGGAGGGTGAGGCATTCATAGACTTAAAACTTCATTTGCAAAGTGGCCTTAATGTGTGTGTTTGAGAGATAAGTCTTAATCTCTTGCACACAGTAAGTGTTTTGTAAATGTGTATAGACTAAGTTGTGTGAAATATTTAAATTAAATGAAAGGAATGCCCTTGCTTTCAGGAACAGTTTTTTATAGTGTGGTTTTGTGTCTGCTGTATCATGTTGTGTCCTAGATTCCTGTCACTTTTATGGAGAAAGGCATGCAAAAGAGAATCAGAATTGCCAGCTTCATTAAGGATACAGCACAGATATAATTTCCTTTTCCTCAGGGTCATGGAACTGTTGATGAGTTATTTTCTAGCTGACATGCTTGGAGTGGGAGCTCTGGCCTCTTTTCTCATTACTGATTTCCTGGGCAATCTGTCTTTGGGTAATGACTCTCTTGGTTTGTGTTGCATTTCAGCATAATGCATTTTTCCAGACTGAACTCTGTCTTTTATATAGGTTGTACCAGCAAACGAAGAAACCACAACCAGAGATAGAGGCAGTGTTTTAAATTGTGAAATCCCATAGTCATAATAGTTTATTTTGTGAGAAAGTACTTGGTCACACAAATCTATTCCTCTCTCTCTCTTTATAGAGACAGGATCTTCCCATGTTGCCCAGGCTAGATTCAAACTTGGATCCTCTGGCCTCAGCCTGTGGAGTAGCTGAGATTATAGGCAGGTGCCACCATGCCTGGCTTATTCCTCTTCTGAGGATGATGTTCCTGGGACTTTACCTAAGACCTGTGTGGGGTAGTGGATCAAAGGGATTTGGAATCAGCCAGCTCTGAGTTTAAGTCCTGGTTCTGCCCTTTGCTAGTGTTTTGTCCTTGAGTCAGCTTTGATTATCTTAAAAATAACTTTTTACTAATTATAAAATAGTAGAGAATTTAGAGAACATTGAAAGTTACAAAGAAGAAAAGAATATTCACGTAATAATAAGATAAAATGCTCATGAATAACATTCTTTGAAAGTATCAATTTATATATTTATATGAGATTCAATTATGTAACCATGTAACCATTCTTATATTTTTTGACATTGAAGATATTTCTTGGTTGGACCATTATAAACAGTATTGTCATGAAGGCCAGTTGGGTTAGCTTTCACCTTTAATCCCAGCACAGGCTGAGGCAGGATGATGGCTTGAGGCCAGGAATTTGAGACTAGTCTAGGAAACTTTGTGAGACCTGTCTAGGAAACTTTGTGAGACCCTGTCTGTACAAAAAATGAAAATACTAGCTGGGTGTGGTGGCATATGTATGTCTGTAGTCCCAGCTACTCAAGAGGCTGAGGTGGGAGGATTGCTTGAACCCAGAGGTTCCAGGCTACAGTGAGCTACGATCATGCCACTGCACTCCAGCCTGGACAACAAAGCGAGATCTTGTCTCTAAAAAAAAATAATAATATAAAAAATTCTGAAAATATTGTTGTGATGAATCTCCTTTAATTACAAAAATTTAAGTATCTTTTTCAATGGAGTAGTTTTCTAGGAAGAGAGTTTTGCTTGAATATTTTAAATATTTCCTATCGAAGCTTTTAATACTGGAAAGTTTTTCAGAAAGGCTTTGATAGTTTATAGTTTTACCAATAATTGTGGAAGAGTAAAGGGTAAGTAATTTAACTGAGCTTCAGTTTTTAAATATATTTGCATCATAACATTGGGAGGATATGGCCTAACATAAAGTACCTAGCTCAGCGACTGGCAAATATTATTAATGTTTTTAGTGTCTGCTTTAATATATTAAGTGTCCATACCATATCATTAAATGCTCTACCACCCTCATCATCCATTAAAAAAAGGGAAAATAAGCTTTTACAGAGTTGTATTTGTTGTGATATAGAATTATGTGTGAGTATCTAGCCTAATGTTCTCTTTTTGAAAACTGCCTTTTAAAGTAAATATGTTTATTAAGGTGAAAAGTAGAGGGGAAAGACAGTGTGGTATTTATTAAAAGTATTTCTTTTGAATTAATTTTTAAAAACCAGGAAATTATGGCAGTTCTTTGAAAGCTTGGCCCAACTGTTCATTGTATTTATACTGGTTTTAATATAGTGTCAAATCTTATGTTGCACAAATGCTTGAATTCAATGTGTGTTTCAGTTGCATGTGTATTGGCTGGTGGGAGAAGCAAGTGAGTTAGAGATCGCCCTCCCCCTCCCCCTCCCCCTCTTCCTCTCCCCACGGTCTCCCTCTCCCTCTCCCCATGGTCTCCCTCTCCCTCTCCCCACGGTCTCCCTCTCCCTCTCTTTCCACGGTCTCCCTCTCATGCTGAGCCGAAGCTGGACTGTACTGCTGCCATCTCGGCTCACTGCAACCTCCCTGCCTGATTCTCCTGACTCAGCCTGCCGAGTACCTGCGATTGCAGGCTGGCGCCGCCACGCCTGACTGGTTTTGGTGGAGACCGGGTTTCGCTATGTTGGCCAGGCCGGTCTCCAACCCCTAACTGCAAGTGATCCGCCAGCCTCGGCCTCCCGAGGTGCGGGGATTGCAGACGGAGTCTCGTTCACTCAGTGCTCAATGGTGCCCAGGCTGGAGTGCAGTGGCGTGATCTCGGCTCGCTACAACCTCCACCTCCCAGCCGCCTGCCTTGGCCTCCCAAAGTGCCGAGATTGCAGAAAGATTGCAGCCTCTGCCCGGCCACCACCCCGTCTGGGAAGTGAGGAGCGTCTCTGCCTGGCCGCCCATCATCTGGGATGTGAGGAGCCCCTCTGCCTGGCTGCCCAGTCTGGAAAGTGAGGAGCGTCTCCGCCCGGCCGCCATCCCACCTAGGAAGTGAGGAGCACCTCTTCCCGGCCGCCATCACATCTAGGAAGTGAGGAGCGTCTCTGCCCGGCCGCCCATCGTCTGAGATGTGGGGAGCGCCTCTGCCCTGCCGCCCCGTCTGGGATGTGAGGAGCACCTCTGCCCGGCCGCGACCCTGTCTGGGAGGTGAGGAGCATCTCTGCCTGCCGCCCCCTCTGAGAAGTGAGGAGACCCTCTGCCCGGCAACCGCCCCGTCTGAGAAGTGAGGAGCCCCTCCGCCCGGCAGCCGCCCCGTCTGGGAAGTGAGGAGTGTCTCCGCCCGGCAGCCACCCCGTCCGGGAGGGAGGTGGGGGGGTCAGCCCCCTGCCAGGCTAGCCGCCCCGTCCGGGAGGGAGGTGGGGGGGTCAGCCCCCCGCCCGGCCAGCCGCCCCGTCCGGGAGGGAGGTGGGGGGGTCAGCCCCCAACCCGGCCAGCCGCCCCGTCCGGGAGGTGAGGGGCGCCTCTGCCCGGCCACCCCTACTGGGAAGTGAGGAGCCCCTCTGCCAGGCCAGCCGCCCCATCCGGGAGGGAGGTGGGGGGGTCAGCCCCCGCCTGGCCAGCCGCCCCGTCCGGGAGGGAGGTGGGGGGGTCAGCCCCCCGCCTGGCCAGCCGCCCCGTCCGGGAGGTGAGGGGCGCCTCTGCCTGGCCGCCCCTACTGGGAAGTGAGGAGCCCCTCTGCCAGGCCAGCCGCCCCATCCGGGAGGGAGGTGGGGGGGTCAGCCCCCCGCCCGGCCAGCCGCCCCGTCCGGGAGGGAGGTTGGGGGGGGTCAGCCCCCAACCCGGCCAGCCGCCCCGTCCGGGAGGTGAGGGGCGCCTCTGCCCGGCCGCCCCTACTGGGAAGTGAGGAGCCCCTCTGCCAGGCCAGCCGCCCCATCCGGGAGGGAGGTGGGGGGGTCAGCCCCCGCCTGGCCAGCCGCCCCGCCCGGGAGGGAGGTGGGGGGGTCAGCCCCCCGCCCGGCCAGCCGCCCCGCCCGGGAGGTGATGGGCGCCTCTGCCCGGCCGCCCCTACTGGGAAGTGAGGAGCCCCTCTGCCCGGCCACCACCCCGTCTGGGAGGTGTGCCCAACAGCTCATTGAGAACAGGCCAGGATGACAATGGCGGCTTTGTGGAATAGAAAGGCGGGAAAGTTGGGGAAAAGATTGAGAAATCGGATGGTTGCCGTGTCTGTGTAGAAAGAAGTAGACATGGGAGACTTTTCATTTTGTTCTGTACTAAGAAAACTTCTTCTGCCTTGGGATCCTGTTGATCTGTGACCTTACCCCCAACCCTGTGCTCTCTGAAACATGTGCTGTGTCCACTCAGGGTTAAATGGATTAAGGGCGGTGCAAGATGTGCTTTGTTAAACAGATGCTTGAAGGCAGCATGCTCGTTAAGAGTCATCACCACTCCCTAATCTCAAGTACCCAGGGACACAAACACTGCGGAAGGCTGCAGGGCCCTCTGCCTAGGAAAACCAGAGACCTTTGTTCACTTGTTTATCTGCTGACCTTCCCTCCACTATTGTCCTATGACCCTGCCAAATCCCCCTGTGTGAGAAACACCCAAGAATTATCAATAAAAAATAAATAAATTTAAAAAAAAAAGAGAGTTAGAGATCAATATTCTCGATATGCCAAATTGTCAGTGTTAATTAAAATGATTTGAGGGTGGTGAGCCACCTTAAAAGAAGGCATAAAATGGTATGGTAATTTTAATAACTAAATCAAGAAATAATGAAACTTTATATCTTATTTTTCTCATTTCTACCTATTCTACAGCATAGAGCTTGGCCGCATTAGTTTCCTAAGACTGCTGTAACAAACTCCTACAAACCAAATGGCTTAAAACAGCAGAAATGTATTTTCTCACAGTTCCAGAGACCAGAAGTCTGAAATCAAGCTGCCGGCAGGGCTGGTTCCTTCTGAAGGCTCTGAGGGAGTCTGTTCATGCCTCAGTCCTAGCTTTTGGCGGCTGCCTGCATCCTTGGCCTTCCTTGGCTTGTAGCTGCATCACTCCAGTCCCTGCCTCTGTGGTCACATGGGCTTCTTCCATATGTCTCATCTGTCTCTGTGTGTTCTCTCTTCTTATAAGGAAGGGCTCACCCTAATGCAATGCGACCTCATCTTGATTACTACATCTGCAAAGATTGTTTCTAAAAAAGGTCGTATTCGCAGCTGGCCAGGGGAGAGGGTGAGGTAGAGGAGGGGTTATTACATGAACATATCTTTTTGTGAGGACACAGTTCAACTCTTTACAGTGGCAAACACTAAGTTCAAATAGAAACTCATAATCTCTGCTTCCTCCACATCCACTACTGTCATCTCTAACTTCAGTTTATTTGGTCATATTACTTAATGTAATGTAATTACAGTAGGCTTCCCATGCCTACTGTATTTGGTTTAAGTTTGTCTGCTTGGCTCTACCTTTGATAGACAAGATGATTTCTGATAGTAAGAAATAGCTCTTTCTCAGCTTGAATCTTACTTTTTTTCTCTCTTTGTGCTGTCACCCCTGCAGGGAAGGCCTCCTTTCTTCATCTAAGTAAGTCTTATTCCTAAGGATGGGGTGCTTCATACTTTCTTTTTCCCTATAGCACCTGGCACAGTGCTAACACATATGTGCTCAATAATTATTTTAATTGATTTTCAGATAAAGTAGAAGGATATAGATTATAGATTGGAAAGAAAAGTAAATAATGGCTTTACATGCTTGAGTCCCAAAATTCAAGTTGCTTCAGAAGAAAATTCAAGTTGGTCTGCTTGATAGCTTCAATTAATCAAGTAGAATATTGTTTTCTCTTTGTTTTAACATTTCTACCTGGAGCACTAGTATCATTTTTTAATTTTAATTTTATTTTTTTAGAGACAAGGTCTCTCTCTGTCATCCAGGCTGGAGTGCAGTGGTGCAATCATAACTCACTACAGTCTCCAACTCCTGGGCTTAAGTGGTCCTCCAACCTCAGCCTCCCAAGTAGCTGGTAGTACAGGTATATGCCACCACTCAGTACTGTATTTTAGTTTCATTCTGGTGCCCGTCTGTTTTGGCTCTAAGATAGCATGAACATGCCAGGCATGGTGGCACATGCTTGTAATCTGAGTGCTTTGGGAGGCTGAAGCAGGATCACTTGAGGCCAGGAGTTTCAGACTTAGACTGGGAAACATAGTGAGACCATGTCCCTGAAAAAAGTCAGGTATGGTGTGTACCTGTAGTCTCAGCTACTTGGAAGGCTGAAATGAGAGGATCGCTTGAGCTTAGGATTGGAAGCTGCAGTGAGCTACGCACCACTGCACTCCAGCCTGGGCGACACAGCAAGAACTCATCTTTAACAACAAAAAAACCCCGAAAATATCATGAGCAGTTGCTCCTGTCAAGAGCATCTCTTGAGAGTGGCCCTTTGGAATTGAGTAGTATAGAATCATATACTTTGATTTTGACTGTAAATTATACTTTTTGTTTTATTTTTAAACAGGTTTGTGGCATTTATTATGTGCCAGGCTCTAGTCTATTTGCTAAGCAAATAGAAGTTTTTGTTATTTATTGTCAATACTGAGCTCAGTGTCTGAAAGATAATTTCTTATCAGTGGTATAATATCTAAAAGCATAAATGAAACCAGCTGTGTAGTTTGTTTTATCTTTATTATCATCATTGTTACATAGCTAAAAAGATTTAAGAGGTTTTGCTCATCTATTCTTCTCTACCTCTTCAAAAAGAGGCCCAAGGCAACACTGCTACCTCCCCCTTGGGTTCTGTCTTACTCCATTAAACTCTACAATTATAAATTTGAAGGGATATATACCAGGGTGCCAAATTTAGTATATGGCCTTATGGAAGCCTAGTCAAGCCCAAGCCCAACTCATCCATGGTCTGGTGGACCTCAGCTCCAGCTCAGGTTTCTTACCATTACCAGGCCCAGAGCCATTAACTGGGCTCTGATGGTGAGAAGATTTATGTTTCTGTTTTGTCATGGGCAAAAGGATAGGAGTCAGTAAGGGTTCCTTTGTCTGGGTGATATTGAACACTTGTGTGTGTGTGGTATTTGTAGCTAGAATGAATGAATATTTGCTAAGCAAATAGAGCTTGGCACATAATAAATGCCACAAACCTGTTTAAAAATAAAATAAAAAGTATAATTTACAGTCAAAATCAAAGTATATGATTCTATACTACTCAATTTCAAAGGGCCACTCTCAGAATCTCCATACTTTCCCAGTGGTCTGCGCCTAAGGCGTATCTCCTCAGCCTTCCATTCACCTCTGTTTTGAGATCTTTGTCCTTGGTCTGTTAAGTTTCATAAACTGTAACTTTTGGCAAATGGGAAATGTCCTCACAAAGGAGTCCCTTCAGTTTTCAGTGCAATCTCTTCTATAGTGACCTGCAAAAAACCCGAATTAGAAAATTAGTGTGAATAGGTATTTTTACAAAATAAGTTGGCACTTGCTGAGCTTAATTTTTTCCTGCCTTTATGTTCACAGAAAAGAGACATTGTAAGTCTTAAGGGCAGTGGTGTGCTGGTAAATGTTTAACATCAGGCTCTCTCTAAGAAAACCCAAATTTGTAGTGGTTTGTGATTTTCGTAGGCTCTAAAAAAAGCCAGGCGTGGTGATATTTTCATATCATCATATTGAAAATGATGATCAAAATTTTCATCATTTTGAAATTGGCCATGATGAAAATATCATCATTCAAACTCCCAGTGTGACCTCACTGAAGTGGAGTTGGGCAGATATATGGACATAGGCTCTAAAACACCTCTGCAATAGGCCTTGGGTAGATGGAGAATTGAGGGGATGTGCCTTAGATCTGGCGCTTAGAGAGGCTATGGAGATGCTGAGACTAGCTTTTCTCTGTGTTTTCTTTTGTGCATACATTCATTCTACAAATATTTACTAAGCACCTGCCATGTGCCAAGCATTGCTCTAGGTACTAGGGATATAGTAGGGAACCAAACAAAGTCCTTACCTCCAAGGAGTTTGCGTCCCAGTGAAGGTATTCACAAACTTGCAATTTCACCTCCTTGGGACCCTAGCGTTCTCATATTTGGGACAGTTAGAGTCAAGGTCCCATAACACTTTAATGTTTTGTTTTGTTTTATTTTATTTTATTTTATTTTATTTTATTTTATTTTATTTTATTTTATTTTATTTTATTTTTGAGATGGAATTTTGCTGTTATTGCCCAGGCTGGAGTGCAATGGCACAATCTCAGCTCACTGCAACCTCCACCTCCTGGGTTCAAGTGATTCTCCTGCCTCATTCCCCCAAGTAGCTGGGATTACAGGTGTGCGCCACCATGCCTGGCTATTTTTATATTTTTAGTAGAGATGAAGTTTCTCCATGTTAGTCAGGCTGGTCTCGAATTTCCAACCTCAGGTGATCCACCCACCTCAGCCTCCCAAAGTGTTGGGATTACAGGCGTAAACCACTGTGGCCGGCCAATACTTTAATTTATTAAATGAAGGAAATAGCATGGGCCTATTTTAGTTTTCCTAGTTGTAAAGCAGGGATTATGGAGGAGGAGGTAGAATTGCTCTCTGAATTGTCTCCATCTTGGAGTCACAGAGATCTAAACCTTGCAATGTCAGGAGCACTGGCTTATCTTACATGGGAAACTCATGGTAGATAAAGCTTAGTTAGAAAGTTTGTTGTGTAGATTCTCTGATGCCCTCTCCAGGCTGATAAGGTTCTAACGTAATCTCTGGTGATCAGCCTTTGTCCTTCCTGGATTCCTTTTTAAATAGCTGGTGCCTCAAGGGGGAAAATTGGAGAGCAGGGATGATAAGAGTCTTGCTGGGAGTTCCAGTCCCCTAACTAACCCAGAGGAGGTGACTGTTTATCGCAAACAATTACCTGTCTCATTAAAAGTTATCACAGCTAGAAGCTTATGGAGTGGATAAGCTTCTGGAAATGGAAATTGTGTCTAAGAATCGGGAAGGTTCATATCCTCAAGATGGGTAGGAAAGGGATTGATGAGGCTACTCTGATGGTAGAACTCTGGAGAGAAAGATGATTTACACATTGTAGGGGAAGAAAAAAAATGTTCTCTTTACCTTTCTGAATTCTGGGCTGGGACCCTTGTAACAAAAGGTAGATTAAGAGGAGAAGAATAAGCTGGGCAAGGTGGCTCAAACATGTAATCCCAGCACTTTGGAAGTCCAAGGCAGGAGGATCAGTTGAGGCCAGGAGTTTGAGGTTATGGTGAGTTATGATCACAGCATGGCACTACAGCTTGGGCAACAGAGCAAGAGTCTTAGCCAAGTGTGATGGCCTGTGCCTGTAGTCCTAGCTGCTTGGGGGACTGAGGTGAGAGGATTGCTTGAGCCCAGGAGTTTAAGGATACAGAGAGCTATGATCATGTCGCTACACTCCAGCCTGAGCAACAGGGTGAGACCTTGTCTCCAAACAAACAAACAAAAAAAACAAATAAAAAGCAGATTCCCTTCACCCCCCAAAAAAACCAACAAGAGAAAAGCAAGAAGTTAACACATATGTGTTATATGTATATGGGAGATACCAGAGAAGTGAATAGATCTCAAAGAGGTGGCTTAGTACTCTGGCTTTACAGCATTTTCAACAAAGAACAGTAAATATTTAGATAAATGACTGCAGAAAGGGAAAGGACCTTGAGTCTCTAGGCGTGGCAAACTGTGGGAAGACAAATAAAATACATGGGAAACTCCTGGTAGATAAAGCTAAGTTAGAAAGTTTGTTGTGTAGATTCATTCCTCTGGTGCCCTCTCCAGGCTGGTGATCAGCCTTTGTCCTTCCTAGACTCCTTTGCAGATAGGAGGATGGCAGAGAGCTTCTTTTATATCTGCATCTTCCCAGTTGCCTTCAACTCCAAATAATCCTTATGCCAAAGTGGCATATTTTGGGATGGCATATTCAGCTACCCTTCAACATACTCCTCTGGAAGAGGATTTAGGATTCTCAGTAAAGAACTTTGAATCTTTCCGCTTGAAAATCATTGTGCCAGGCTTACTAATAGGTGGTATGATTTGAGCGGGTGAGATTTTCTTCTAGGAAAATAAGTCCTCAGGAAATTCCAGAAGCTTTAGACAAGTAAAAGCAGAAAGGAGACAAGCTTTTTTTTTTTTTTTTTTAAATTTAAATTAACTGTTGGATGCTGCATAAATCCTGGTCAGGTTTGCATGATTCTGCAGAGCCTCTGCCTTTGCTGTTTTTCACCTGTTGGATGAATGATTCATTTGCCCCTGCTGTTTCTCACCTGTTGGATGAATGATGCTGCTGTTTTACACAGCGGCATTCCAGCAAATGTGGGTGGTGGGCCATTCACCTCTTTGTGTTGATCTGGAAATATGCATTGTTCCATTTATGCCTGAGCCACCTCAGTCTTCCTCATTAGCAAGGACTTACATATGCACTATGCTGGCTTGGAATTTAATTCTTGACTGTGCTGTTTTTAACCAAATAAGGAAAACCCTGGCCTTTTTCTGCTTCTAGGACCCAGCCACTTTTGAGTTGCCAGTGTGTTTCCAAGTATGGATTTTGGATTACCTGCATCAGAACCACTTCCTGTGCTTGTTAAAAATATTCATTTCTGGGATGCACTCCCAATCTACTGAACCACAGCCTCTGGAGTGAGGCTTAGGAATTTGCATTTTTAATATGTTTCTCAGGTAATTCATAGGTACATCAAAGTTTGAGAATCACTGGTTTAGACTCATAGAATATTAGAGAGGAAATAACCTCGTGTTCCCTTGGGGTCCCAACGTATGGCCCATTGGAACAAATGCAGACTGCTTGATGCTGGAGTTAAGCCTGGGAAAGGTTGGTAGCATACTTTTTCCATTTAAATTAGGAATTAGGATACCCACACAATCTGGTAGGTCAGTAAGGACAAAGCCCCCTCTTAAGGATCACTATTATGTGACACCTTGCTATTAGCAGGCCCAGGTCTGTCATTACAGTTGAAGGTGAACATAATTAATTACAGGCATTTCATTTTCAGCTGTTACAGTTTAATTCTCCTAATGTTATATTATGGAACCGGAACATTTGCATAATAATTTACAAAGGAGATCAGTGTGAGTAAGCACTTTTTGTGCCTTTGACTCAAGCTTTGTCACTCTAATTAGTATTCGTGTGCCAAGTGTGGATTCTCTCAACTCATTAAAATTTTTGAGATCATTCAGGCTTCACACTTAGATGTTTCAGACCATTTGGCCCACCGTTGAGGGAAAAACAACACAGATATCTTAACTTGGTCCAATGCTGTAATTTTATAGATGTGAAAATCAAGATGGGGGTGGGGGATGAAGTGACTTGTGCAAGCATGTCAGGGCTGGAACAAGTCCCCAGGTTGTGCTGCTTCTAGGTGGGTGTTCTTTCCTTCTTACTGCTGACACTCAGCAGGAGGGAAGTATACCTGTAAAATTCTCTGCTGAGTCTTACAGTTCCTGGTAGGCAAAGTCTAATATTCCCATTTCTTTCTTTCTTTTTTTTTTTGAGACAGAATTTCACTCTTGTTGCTCAGGCTGGAGTGCAATGGCACGATCTGGGCTCACCGCAACCTCCTACTCCCGGGTTCAAGTGATTCTCCTGCCCCAGCCTCCCGAGTAGCTGGGATTACAGGCGCCCGCCACCATGCCTGGCTAATTTTGTATTTTTATTAGAGACGAGGTTTCTCCATGTTGGTGAGTCTCATCTCAAACTCCCGACCTCAGGTGATCCACCCACCTTGGCCTCCCAAAATGTTGGGATTACAGGCATGAGCCACTGTGCCTGGCCTAATATTCCCATTTCTAAAGATGCATTGTTTAGTGTTCCCTTGTGAAAGCAGGGAAATTGCATTGAATTGTCTATTCAGTATGAGACTTGGAGAAACTGTCTTTCTCTTGTCTTCTACATCAGTGTCTTGTTCTACATCACTTTTTGAGATAGGTACAGTGCATGGCTGAAACATGTAATTATTTTTCTTTCTTGCCATAAGCAAATGGAATCAGCAATCTATTATTTTCTATTTTTCTTACATATAACAAGATCCAGAAGATATATGCATAGCAACAAAAAAGGACATTGTGTGATTACAAAATTCCTATGATAAATCTTTATTCAGAAATAAAGATTCTGAAATAAAGATTGCTTCATACCTAGATGAAGCAATCTAGACCAGGGGACTGCCCTCAGTGCCTGTGAGAGCAGGTGTGTTGTAATTATCAAGTCCTGTGATAATTGTGCTACACTTAATTAATTGGAAGACTTGTCTCTAATTTACTTTGGAGACCTCCAGGTGATTCAGTTAATGGGGTAGAGCAAGGAGGTGGGGGATGGATTTGTTTTTATTTTGCATTTCCATTTTTCCTTCTTACTCCCTGATTTGCTTTGGAGGCCATCCTGGCTTTTAAAAAGGGCACAAATATATTTCTTATGTGGAATTGGCAGGAAACACACTCTGTTGAACAGAGCAATGCTAGAGGGTTAGCTTGATTCCCTCAGAGGTTGCTGAGGAGCTGGTATATCTTTATGTCCTCTTTTCAAATGCTCTTTGAGGTTGTTGCTAAAGTAGTTTTTTTATAATAGAGTGTGTGATCAATCCTTTTGGGGAAATATGGGTAACATAAGTCAATTGTGAAGAGTAAGTTTGATGGCAAACGATCGGGAACTTAGAACTATTTCTTGAAGGGAAAAAAACTGAAGTTAGTAGACAGTTTGAGGTTTAAGTTGATGGTTTTTGACTTGTAGAACTTAGCAAAAACTTTAAATGTTCTTTATCCTGTGGCAGCCTCTGCTCCTTGCCTACTCAGTATCCATGCTTTTATTATTCCTTATTTAAAGGACCCCGGTTTTGTTTAGGGCAACAATGTGCCCAGATAAAAATACCTTCCAGACTCTTGTGCAGAGTGGGGGTGGCTGTGTCACCAGGTCTGACCAGCGGGTTGTGAGTGGAAGTTTACTGGGTGGAGCTCTGAAATGCTATTTTTCCTGGTAAAAATGAAAAGCTGGGGCATGTCTTTTGCCCTTGGCCTTGACCCTTTCCCCCTTCTGCCTGGTATACAACACCTAAGGATACATTCTGCCTGGATACAACACCTAGGGTTAGAATAACCATCTTGCAACTATGAGAACACAAACCATGTGGGAAGAATGGCAGGGAGGAAATTAGAAGTCTAGGTCCTTGCCATAATGACTTCTTTGAGCAGCTGCCCCAGCCCTCTTCTGGAATGTGGGTTACATGAGAAAAACAACCTTTATCAATTAAGCCATTGTAGTTGGATTTCTGATACATAAAGTCAAATACAAACTTGGAAAACTGCTAGTTAGGTGGTCCTTATACAAGGTGTGTTTAATCATAGTATAATTCAATGGACAGTTTAGCTTATTACATAGAGTTGGAAATTTTGGATATAGAGAGATTCCCATGTCTGCTAGGCTTATTTTTTGGAAATTACAATATGCAGAAACTTTCCAAATATTGGTCCACGTAAGGCAGTGCCTAACAGCAATTGGGTATTACCTGCACTGTTTGCAGCTCTTTGCTGAAGGAGTATTATGTCAAAAGTCAGAGGGATTAGGAGCCAACAAGTTAGTGTGACCCCTTGTTTGAAGGGAGTGGGCCCAGAGGGGTTTGCCTACAACCCACAGGTAAGCTCTGTGAGCACGACCTGGTAACTGCTTCTGAGAGATGTTTGGAGTTCTTTTATTTTTCCTCTTCTGGGGCAGAGATGTTGGTCCAGGATCACATCCGTCCATAAATCTGTTACCTTATTTGAGGCAGTTCCATTGAGCAGGCTTTCTTGAATACATTCATTAATCAGCAAATAACCATATTTCTGAATAAAGATTTATCATAGGAATTTTGTAATCACACAGTGTCCTTTTTTGTTGCTATGCATGTATCTTCTGGATCTTGTTATATGTAAGAAAAATAGAAAACAATAGATTGCTGATCCCATTTGCTTATGGCAAGAAAGGAAAATAATTACATGGTGAACGTTCCAGGACCTTTAGACCTATGAAGAAGAAAATTGTCCAAGGACCACACAGAATATTGTAGAGAGTATTTATGTGCCATCATGATGTTTCTCAGACTTTTAGCAACTGCAGACCACCTAGACACTGCTTTATGTACGAGTAGACCATAATTTGAGGTAAATTTTTAAGAAGTAAAAAAATTTTAATAATGAAAAACTTGTTTGATAAATGAGATGGGGGAAACTTTGGGAGGTGATGGATATATTTGTCTTTCCTTCATGGTGGTAATGGTTTCACGAGTGTATACCCCAAACTATTTGAATTGTGTACATTAAATATGTATAGCTTTTTTCATGTTACTCATACCTCAATGAAGTGTTTTTTTTTAAAAAGCATGCTTGAAAATTAATAGTAAACGTTTCTCATATCAGTGAAAGATAGTATAATTCTGAAGTAAAATATCTAATATTTAGCTATATGATGGGTTCCTTATCTAGTGTTTTTTCCTTCTTCATTATTTTACCAAAATAGAAAATACTTCGTTATAATTAGAGTCTGTCAAGAATAGCAGTAAATGTATGATGGTTCCATCAGTTTGGAAAGTTTGGATAATTCAGATTGAAACTGTCTAGAAATAGTGGCAAGATTTCCACCTGAAAATCAGAGTCAGGGTTTCATCACGTACGAAGTCTACAAGTCTCTAAGCACATCTTCAAACTTGCTGTTCAGTCTTCTCAAAGAAGCTCTATACTTACTCTCAGTGTTCAACATAAACATGTTTGGGTTCTGGATGAGAGGATCAGGAATATCCAGATACTAACTGCATTGCCGACATTTGCCACTTGAAGCTATGGAACTGCTCCTTCCTGACATTATCTGTGTGGAACAGGAATGTTCCAGTCTCATTCATCATTTCAAAAGTCTGCATGAGCACCCTTGATGACAACCACAGTGCTTCTGGGGGAACAATCAGTCTAATGCCCTCTGCCCATTTCTTTGCAGAACATGCTGAGAAAACATATACTCAGATCTGATTATATTCACACTTGAAACTATTTTCTACAACACCACATTAAGATTAGAAACCATATTGTTGTGTGTCATCTGTTTTGGTGAATAAAGAAGTGGGTGTTTTGGCATAAAGGTAACACTTTTATTTGTGTCACACCTTCTTCCTTGCTGCAAACATAGCTGGTTATTTCATCAGCACTGATCCTAGTGAACCTTTTCCAATTTATATTATTGCCTACAAAAGAAATGTTAACTCATGAAAAGTCTCTTCCGTAGATTGGGTTCTTGGTAACACATAGAGCCAAGAGTTTTTAAGTACTTATCCCTCAAATATGTTCCACTAATATGCTAGTTGATATGCATACTCTGCATATCATTGATTTCACTTAACTATAAGGCAAAATACATGCTAGTGTACATATGTGATTGTAATTCTTCCACATTGCATGCCGTTGATATGTAATGTTTGATAGAGCCATTAATAATTTTGCCAATACTTGCATAGTCCAATTTTCCTCTGAGCATGTGATTTGTCATTAACCTTGTGACTGGCTTTATCAGTTTCTTAGAAATAGAATAATCTTTATTTGTTTTGTCTCAGGAATATAACTTTGAGTAATGCTTCTGTAGTTTTGGTCTCTTTCTGCCCTTAATGACAAAATGAGTCAATTTCATTCCAGAAAGCATTATTTTGTACTTGTTTTGGAACAATTCAGGAAGTTTAATAGGGACATTGCTGTGCACATTTTGAAATGTAGTTTGAAAATGTTATGAAATCTTTGACGCTTCTAGCTGCTCTTTGATAAGAATTTGTGACAGAAACACACTGGCAAATGGAATAATTGTCCAATATATTCCTTGGCAGCTGCTGGGACCAACTTCACTTGTGAGAAACCATCCCAGTTGCATATTCACATTTTTTACTTGTACTAGAGTGAGATTCACTGTTTGTATTTAAAACATTATTGTGAGGTCTAGGATTTTTGTTGCTATATTCATTACTATGTTTATACTGTAATGAGCACTTTTGAACCATCTATTCATTTGTGTGAGCTGGGGATAAAACAAAACACATTAGTAACAGTGAGAAATGTAAATTTCATTAACAGAGAGTAACACACAAAGATGTTAAACTATGTTAAAAGGGACCAGTTGCACTCAGTACTGCTTTTAAGATTGTGGTGAGTGTGATGATTATTAAGAACATAACCGCATTGCTGTGAAAAATCCTAATCAGTTTTGCATTCAAGTGTAAGGTGTATGGGAATAAAACAATTTCTCTCAAACAGCCAAATCCCGCCACTGGACACTTGACCGATTGATTGCCTGAGAACGCTATACTGTTAGGTCCTTTAGTGACATAGTAGGTAGTAGGTAGACAGTCATGCCTTTTAATAGGAAGTTTCTAAATGTATCCATTCATTCATCAGCATTAATTGAATGCTAAATATATGCCAACCACTTTATTAAATGCTGGAGATATAAAGATGACTAAGATTCAGTTGCTTCCCCAGGGAGCCGGTTTATGGTCTGTTGGGGAAGACAGAAATATGAACTAAGTTATAATTCATTATGCTAAGTGCAATGCTGGAGACAGGCCAGTGAGAGCAAAGCATGGTACTTGGAGATCATAGACAGGGTGGTGGGAGCATAAATTATAAGGTGAAAAGTGAGGCTGGAGGGGTGGGCAGAAACTAGATCCCACAAGATGGAACTGGCTGGTTAGGAAGCTTTGAGTTTGTCTTCTAGGCCTCAAGGAGCCATGGAGTGGTTTTAAACAGGGCAGTGATAAGGACAGGTTTATGTTTTAGCAAGATAATTCTGTGGGCTGGGTGAAGGCTGGAGATGATGGAGGTAAAACTAGAAGTAGGGAGACTAATTATGAGGCTGTCGTGATTTCTAGCTGAGATATAATGAGGACTTAGGCAAGGGCATGGCAACAGGGTTAAAGAGTTTGTGACACATTCAAGAAGTAAAGGAGATAACATTTTCAGGACTTGGTGATTGACCAGGGGTGAAGGTTGCGTTAAGACAGAGCCAAGGATGATGCTTAGTTCTCTATATTGGGCTTCTGAGGGGGTGGAGGGGAAAGAGAGAGAGTGTGAAAGAGATTGAGTTTAGGAGAAGCAGGTGGGGTAAAATAAGGTATATAGGAGACAAAGCATTAGGTATTAAGTTTGGTACAAATTGACTTTGAGGCACCTGTGAAATACCCAATTTGATCTAAGAATCTAAAGCTGGAGGGTCATCAAGTATTGAAGTCATCAAAATTGAGTGGTAGCTCAAACCATGAGAGTAGATGAGTTCACCTAATGTAGAGTGGACCTTTTAACAAGCAGGTTTAAGAAGAGGAGTGCCATATAGGAGACAGCAGACAGTAAATAAATGGTCAAAGAGGTGGCAGGAGAGCTGTGGTAGAGAAGTGCCTCAGAAGCAAAGGGAGCAGAGGATTTCCAGGAGGGAGTGATAATAGCATCAGACCCAGCAGGGAGAGACCAGACAGTGTCCACTGGATGCAGAGGAATGCATGATGACTTTGGGAGAGAACTGTTTCAAAAGAGTGGTGGGGGTCCATTGCTGTACTTTTGGAAGTGAGTGGAAGGTGAGAGAGTGAATTTCTCCCTTTGAAGCCACTGTGCCAGGAGTTGAAGATTTCCTAGCCAGAGAAGTTCTGAGTCTTGAGAAGGTTGAAGGTGTTCACTGTGTGCATGAGTAAAGAGCAGGTTAAGTTCATTTGTTGATAAGTATAGGAATTGTGGGTCTTGTCACCCACATAGGACTTTGAAATTATCCTAAATAATGGCAAGGCCTGGGTGGGACAGAGGCTATGAGTCAGATACTAAAATCTTTAGCAAATGAGAAGGAGTTACCTGGAGGCTGATAGGTTACAAAAACAAAGAGGGAGTAGAAAGAGATGTAACCAGATGACAGGAGTTAAAGGAGTCTGGATTTTATATAAATATAGAAGGGCAGTGTGTTAGATGTACAAATAGGGAGTGAGTGAGGAATAGGATGACCTTATTCCCAACTTCGAGGTGGGGTGCCCAGGAGACTGCACAGCATCCAGTGGGGAAGCGGGCCCTTGGGTTTTGGTTAAGGCCAAGGTCTGTGAGGTAGGCACGATGTTGTCAAGTGTTAGTCCTGTCATGCAACAAGTTGCAGAGGGTCCAGTAAGAGGTTAGAGAGGAAAGGGGAGTAAGGTCAAGGAGGGGGAGCTCTGAGCAGCATGGGCATGAGGGTTTGAGAGTACAGTTTTGCACATATGACAAGGATGTGAAGTGTGGTGGCATTAATTGGCCTGAACATTTCAATAGACCTTTGGGATGAAGTTGCTTTAGGTTTCCCACAGGCATCTAAATATCAGCTGATGACCACTGACCTGTTCCAGTCAAGGCTGTGTGGCTCCTGGGACCATATTTTTCCAACATTACTGAAGGAGGTTAAGTGGGCTCCCAAGCAGCAACACCCTCATTGGTCAAGGTTTTAGTACTGGACAGGGAGTTAAGAAACAGGGTTTTAGGCTAGCTTTGCCTCTAACCTACTTTATGGACCTGGGCGAATCACTTAAACTTTTAAGGCCTCACTTTCCTTATTTTTAAGTGAGGGGTAGGCCCAGTAGTCTGTAAAATGATAGTTGACCCATTTGTTCTCTAGTTTTCTTCCATTAAATGTGGCACTTACGGTACTGTTGTAGTATCATTACAGCACTCAGTAACCTCTCAGTAATCTTCACCAAGGTGTACCACCCTTCAGGCCTAGCCACATATACATACATCCAGCAACGCCTACTCTCATCTTACCTCATCTGTGATGTTCAGGAAGGACCGTGTCCTCAGTGCCTAAATACATAGGGGTTTCTTCAGTGTTGGCCTTTCGGCCAGCCACCCCTCCCTGACTGTCACTCTGGTCATTTACTTTTTGTTTTATTCTCTTCTTTAGAATAATAGTGAGCTTTATTATCCAAAGAGCTTTAAAGTGGTTTTACAACTAAAGGCAGGAAACCTCGTACACTGGTATGAATGTAAATTAATTGGAACAACCATATGGAAAAGGGTATATAGAGGTTCTTAAAAAAACTAAAAACAGAACTACCATATGATCCAGCAGTCCCACTTATGGGCATGTATCCAAAGGAAATAAAATTGGTATCTCTAAGAGATAACTGCATTCCTATGTTCATTGCAGCATTATTCACAGTAGTCAAGATATAGAGTCAACCTGTGTCTGTAGACAGATGAATGGATAAAAAAATGTGATACACACACACACACACACACACACACAAATATTATTTGGTCACAAGGAAGAAGTCTTGTCATTTGCAACAGCATGGGTGATCCTGGAGGACATTGTGCTAAGTATAATAAGCCAGCCACAAAAAGACAGTACTGTATGATTTCACTTATATGTGGAATCTAAAAACATTGAACTCATGGAAGCAGAGGGTAGAATGATGGCTGTCAGGGGTGGGAGAAATGGGGAGATGTTGGTCAAAGGGTAAAAAGGTTCAGTTGTACAGGATTAATATGTTCTGGAGATCTGAGGTACAATGTGGTGACTACTGTTAGTAATACTGTATTGTACACTTGAAATTTGCCAAGAGAGATCTTAAATGTTCTCAACACACACACACACACACACACACACACACACACACACAGGTAACTATGGGAGGTGATGGATATGTTAATTAGCTTGATTGTGGTAATCATAATGTACATGTATATCAAAACATCATGTATACCTTGAATATATACAGTTTTTATTTTCAGTTATACTTCAGTAAAGCTGGGAAGAAAGAAGTGCTTATAGTGAAGGAAAATGCGGCTGTGTCATTGTTTTGAACATCTCTGTTGGGAAATACTGCATGAGTAATGGAAAGAGCATGGAGTTGGGGCAGGGTGCGGTGGCTCACTCCTGTAATCTCAGTGTTGTGGGAGGCCAAGGCGGGCAGATCACTTGAGGTCAGGAGTTTGAGACCAGCCTGGCTAATATTGTGAAACCCCATCTCTGCCAAAAAATACAAAAATTAGCCAGGTGTGGTGGCGTCTGCCTGTAGTCCTAGCTACTTGGGAGGCTGAAGCAGGAGAATTGCCTGCACCCGGGAGGTGCAGGTTGCAGTGACCTGAGATCCGTCATTGCACTCCAGCCTAGGCAACAGAGCAAGGCTCCAACTCAAAACAAACAAACAAAAAAAAAAAAAAAAGAAGAAGAAGAAGAAGAGCATGTGATTAGGAGCCAGGAGTCCTGGGCTTGATGCATCTGCGACCTAGTTCATAGGTGAATGCTAATTTAATACAAGGCAATAAAATGTTTAGAAAAATATTTGCTCACATTTGATGGAACATCTTTTGTGTTTGCCTACATTTGGATTTGGGGGAATTTGGGGTGAATATGACTATAAATGAGTGTGTTCAGGGATGTTCACTTAAACGTATCAGTGTGGCTGGGGTTGGGGGAGAGGAGAAACTTATTCTCCTCTTAGCTTTGTCCTCCATCTTGTTTTTGTGTTTTCTGGCAACAGTAACTTTGATAAAAGAGATCTTCCCAAGCCTGATGAGACAGCAAACTAGGGAATGAAAGAAGGGAGGATATAAATAGCACTGAGGACCAACATGGATTTTTTTAGGTGTTTCAGAGCTGCTAGACTCAATAATTGGGTTTTCTTATGAGACTTTTAATTGCTTTATTAAGAAAAATAGGATAAAATAAAATTGAACAAATTAGGCAGCCAAGCTCTGGAACTAGTAAAGAAGGCTCTATTTGTGAGTTGAAGAAGTAACCTTATTTTTTCCCCCTGATTCTAAGACTACTTTGAAGGAACAGAAGATAATGTAGATCACCTATTCTCTTTCATTCTCTCTCTCTCTCTGTCTCTGTCTCTGTCTCTCTTTCTCTCTCTCCCTCCCTCCCTCTCTCCCTCTCTCTCTCTCTCTTTTTGTAACAGGGTCTGGCTCTGGAGTACAGTGGTGGGATCTCAGCTCACTGCAACCTCAACCTCCTGGGCTCCAACCATCCTCCCACCTCCCAAGTGGCTGGGACTACACACCCAGCTAATTTTTGTATTTTTTTTTTATAGAGAGGGGGTTTTGCCATGTTCTCACTGTGAAAATTTACTACCAGAAAATAGGCTAAGAAAAATAATAGCTTTCATGAGATACTGGATAGGCCATTCCATAATAATAGCAATAGAAATTAAATTATAAACATTAACATAAACATCAACATCATTAACATTATATCCCTCACTGAAACAACTGGTAGAACACCACTTTGAGAATTGCAGCTCATACTGATCTTGTATGCAAGAAGATGAGAGAGAAGGTGTGTTTAAATCCAATTTTATTAGGCCTTAGTTCGCTGTGCACAAGAGGGTAGTAGCAATGGATTTAAGTTCAAAGGAAAAAGAGGTTCCTGAAATTCTCCCTGAAGTGTAGCATCTGCTATTTATTTCACATGTTTACTATCAATTTTGAATATATGTTAGTAGGACCATGAAAGAAGTTATATGTTTATGCAGCTGAAGCATTTATTTTTATTCTTCTGCTCAATTCTCTTCTTCTTCTTCTTTTTTTAAAAATATGTATTTCTTGAGTCAGGGTCTCACTCTGTCACCCAGGCTGGATCACCCAGGCTGGAGTGCAGTGGCAGGATCGTGGCTCACTGCAGTCTCAAACTCCTGGACTCTAGTGATCCTCCCACCTCAGCCTCCTGTATAGCTGGGACTACAGGTGTGTACCACCACACCCAGGTTAAATACATATATATATTTAAATTAAATATATACATATATGTAAATTAAATATATACATATATTTAAACTCATATATATATATGAGTTAAACATTGGGAGGAATAAAAATAGATTACAAAATATTGCAAAAAAGTACACACCAAATAAGTCAGATGATGACAGGTGGTGGTTTGTGTATGTGGAAGAAACTTCTTTGAGTTAAGCAAGATGATAAAGGGAGTATTTTAAATTTTTATCATACTTAATGATTTTAAAAACATTTTCACATATGTTATTCACTTTTCTCAACATACCCATTAGGTAAGGAGGCTCGGCACTAAAACCCCATTTCCTACATGAAGAAATTGCAAGTCAGGATTTGACCAAGCTCATGGAACTGAGTGGCAGATTGGATAAGAATCTGTTTGCTGACTCTTGATCCAGTGGGCTTCCTAATACTGCCGATTGTCTATGAATAGATAGCATTGAAAAGCTCAATATTTACAAATGAGTCAATTTTGCTTGTATGTGAGAACATATGCAGTTCTCCAGGAATGCTTTAAAGTGTCAGCTCCAAGAGTGATATGAAAATATTTGTCCATCTAGCATGGATTCTGCAAAGACAAGTATTTATCTGAAAACACCTTACCAAACAAATTATTTCTTTGTAGTCAAAGAAACAATAGAAATTCCAATTTGTATTGTCATGATAATCTAAGACATTTTTAGAAACGGTTGGTTTTTGCTTTTATCAGGCTCAAAAAGCGAGATAGTGGCTCCCATATTTAGGAATTTTGAAACTATTAATTTTGACAGGTAGAAACAAAGCCATTATTCCAAACAAAAGTGAGTGAACTCTGCCTGGCACCAACAGATGGCAGTATTGGTTGTGTACTGGGCTCCATGTTCTGTTGTTAGTCTATGGTAGACTCACGTTTGCTGGAATTGCAGTTAATTTTTTGTTTGTTTGTTTTTGTTTTTGAGATGGAGTTTCGCTCTTGTTGCCCAGGCTGGAGTGCAATGGCGCGATCTTGGCTCACCACAAACCACGCCTCCCAGGTTCAAGTGATCTCATGCCTCAGCCTCCCAAGTAGCTGGGATTACAGGCGTGCGCCATCATGCCCAGCTAATTTTGTATTTTTAGTAGAGACAGGGTTTCTTCATGTTGGTCAGGCTGGTCTTGAACTCCCGACCTCAGGTGATCCACCTGCCTTGGCCCCCCAAAGTGCTGGGATTACACACATGAGCCACCGCACCCAGCTGGAATTGCAGTTAATTTTTAAGCATTTTTGTGACATTATTAACCTCATGTAAGGTGTATGGAAAGCAATGATAATAAGAAACATTCTATTACTCCAAGTCTTATTGACTTTTAAGAAAGTAAAGATGATAAAAGGTGAAGCAACAATGATGACTTCCCTAAGTATGCAAGAGAAGAATCACTTGACACCAGATTGTTTCTGAATGACAAACTGCAGACCATGTAACACATGTAAACTACTGTTTCAATGCAGCTAACAATACATAGCAAGATGAAAGAAATGTGACTGAGGAGAAGGAAGAACTTTGGAATTTGTTATTGCATAAAGCTCTGTCAATATAAAAAAAAGATGCCAATTAGGCTAATATTTGGAGAAGATGAGAAGGTTTGGTCTGGTGAAAATGGATGGTATCACAGGCTTTATGACTGTTCCCATCAGCAGATCATCCATGTGAGATGTCATTGGTAAGCATCTGACATAACCCCTGAGGGGTTGTCAACTCTTGGGGAGTTACTATTGAGGGGAGTTACTTACCACACTACAGGTCAATTTTGGAAAAAGATGCCCAAATCTAAGGAAGATCAATGAAAAGAAGAGGAGGATGACTGGTGTTGAAACTCTGAAGTGTCACCCACCTGTTTGGTGGAAACTCATATAGAGACTGCAGACTTACGTAAGTCACTTGAGACTTACAGACATCTTCTCAATACCTAACCTTCGTGCAATACATTTTGAGTTCTTCATGTCATTAGGTTTTGGGGGAAGCATGGCTAGTTGATTTCATAGATTTCCTTTTTGCACAGTAATTTAAAAACCTGCCCTTGAAAATCTTTAATCAGAAACACTTAGCAGGGGCAAATTTTTATCAGCTTGAATTTCACCATCTGACTTTGTACTTTTCTGCTTGGTGATAAAGATGTAGTTAATGAATAGAATGGCCAAAAGGGGGACAAGAATAGAATAAGATGAAAGACAAATGACTGGTTGACAATCGTGGGGGCTGGCTTGTGGTGATGGTGAAGGTGCAGGGTGCCCATAGATAAGTGTCAGTGTCTCCCACTTGGTTGGTCTACTAGGAAGCTACTTCACCTTCTATTGAATATATATTAATAAGAAAAACTAGTCTCAAAAAAAAAAAAAGAAAAGAAAAACTAGCCCATGGCTGGTTAATTTCTCATAGAATGAGGTGCTAATGTATGAGCCTAGGTCACCCATGAAATTCACAGATTAGCTCTTCATTTGCTGCAGCCAGTGTTGTAGTTTTCGGTTCTATGCTGTCATCTTGGCCTGTGATATCCCTACCTGCGCACAGCTGGTATTTTTGGTTATATTTGATTTCTCTCTCTTCCTCTTTCTCATTCCCAAATTGATTCTGCCCCTGAAATGTTTCCCATTATCACTTGCCACTGCTGTAGTCCAGACCTTATTACCTGAGAAACAGTGTAGTAAAAATTTGGGCTTTGGAGTCAAACTTGACTTAAGAACCTGTTCCTTCCACCCACTAGCTTTATGACTTTGGGAGAGCTGCTTAACTTCTCTAAGCCTCTGTTTTCTCAGGCAGAAAATGTGGTTAGTTATAGTACCTACTTTGTGAGGTTGTCTTGAAGATCAGATAAGACAATACAAGTATAGTGCTTAATGTTTAATATATGTTAGCTATCAGCACCTGTATTTTTCGAATGGACTCTTCACTGTTTTTCATTTCTCTGATCTTTAGCTTCTTCAAGCCATTTCTCCTACTGTTACCAAAGTTATTTTCTTAAAGCACTGTTTGGATTCTATTACTCTCATGATTACACACACACACACACACACACACACACACACACACACACACACACACACACACAGATATTTTGGATATTTGTCCCCACCAAAATCTCATGTTGAATTGTAATCCTCAATGCTGGAGGTGAGGCTTGGTGGGAGGTGTTTGGGTCATGGGAGCAGATCCCTCGTGGGTTAGTGCTATCTTTGCGAAAAGTGAGTGAGTTCTTGTGAGATATGGTCTTTTAAAGGTACGTGTGGCACCTCCCCACCAACTCTCTCTCTTGCTCTTGCTTTCATCATATGAATGTGCCTGCATCCCTAGAAGCAGTTGCTGACATTATATTTCCTGTACAGCCTGCAGAACTGTGAGCCAATTAAACCTCTTTTCTTGTAAATTACCCAGCCTCAGATATTTCTTTACAGCACTGCAAGAATGCTCTAATACACACACACTAGCAGCAGCAACAACCACACAGTGAAGTCCTTTCCTGGTATCTCATTACCTAGAGGATAAAGTTGGTCTATTTTGATCTCTTAACAATTGGGTCTCATCCTGCAAGGGATGTCCTATTGTGTCCAGCCTCATGTCCTGCTGTATCCAGTTGTCAGCCTGTACTCCTCCTTCTCATACTCCCCATCTTCTCTGTACACATCGTGTATGTTTAGCTTTCTCTCCACCATTGACTTCATCCTGCTTCAGTTTGGAATGAACATCCCAAATGCCCTCACCTATTCATTCTTCAAGGCCCACCATGTCAGACTTCATACCTCTTCTTTTCTCCTACAATGTTGTTTATCTCTCTATTATACAACTTATTTCTTCTTGCCTTAAAAGAGTTTTACTGAGTTATTTTCATGCAGCTGCCACCAGCATATTCCAACCTTGGGAATGTAAGGAACTTGTTTTAGGAATCTTTGTATTCTCTATAGAGCCTAACTCAGTGGGTTGCATATTTGTAAGTGCTCAGAAAATAAATGCTGAATTGGATAAAATTGGCCTCATTATCCCTTTCCCATTAAAAAGCAATCTAATTTGCTAATTCAGGGTTTATTTATGAATGTCTTTCCATTTTAGCTTTTAGGTCACTCAGTAGGGATCAGTACATAGCATGGTATTGACATTAGATGAATGTATGTGCTTTGAATTCAAATCCTAATTAGTTAGATTCCCAGGCAGGTTGACTTTTTTGGTTGCTAGGAAATCAAGTAATAGAAAGGTATCACTCCATCAGTCATTGGTCACCTGCATGGGTGGAAAAGTTCGTGCAGATACTCTTGAGTTTATTTAGGGAAGCTTGGGAAAGGGTTTTGAAGCTTTTAGCCATACAGCGGTGAGGAACTACAGTAGAGTATTAGGAAAGGGGCCATGAGGATGAGGTCAAGGTGACAATCGAAGAAGGCAACTTGAGCATGTGGTGAGCACTGTCTGTTGTGTACTAGTTCTGTTAAAGGCAGTGAATCCTGCCCTGAGGGATGGAGGAAGTACTGTATTTCTCTCTACAGAAATACTTTGCAATGAAACATACTCCTACATCTCCACTCTCTACCTTGCCCTGTGTGATAAGAGATGGAAGGATATTAACAAAGAATGGTTTATTAGTCCCCACTTTTTCTTTATGGAACTCTCTTACTCTTTGATATCATGTCAGATTGGAACCTCAAAATATTATTTTTTGACTGCTCCATTAGACCTCAGTTTGGTGTTCTTCATCTGTTTTGGGCCACTGGCTTGTTGAGGATATGATGCAAGTTATGAACCCATTCCTTAGTTAAATGCACACGTACTCTAAAATTTTCATATAATTTCAGATAGTTTATTGACCCTCCCAAAGTCTGTCCTTACAATTCTCTTTTTAAATTCTGTGCTTGCCAACTGTATTAGTTTTCTATTATGCTTGGCAGTTAGTGACTTAAAACAACACAAATGTATTATGTCAGTTTCTGTGGGCCAGGATTCTGTCATGGGTAAGGTGAGTCCTCTGCTCAGGGTCTCACTAGGCTGAAATGAAGGTGTCAGTGGGGGCTGCAATCTTATCTGAGATTATCTTAGCTGAGGTCCTCTTCCAAGCCCATTCAAGTTGTTGGCAGAATTCAATTTCTTGCAATTCTAGGATGGGGTCCTCATTTTCTTGCTGGCTGTTACCTGGGACTCTAAGCTCCTAGAAACCCTTCCTCAGTTCGTAGTGAGAGGGCCCTCTCACAGCATGGCACCTCACTTCAAAGTCAGCAGGAGAATCTCAGTCAGTGGGCTCTGACAGAGTCTCATATATTATGCAGTGTAATCAAGGGAGTGGCATCCCATCATACTCGCAGGTCCCACCCACATTCAAGGGGAGAGGATTATACAGGGTATGTAGACCAGGGATTGGGAATCTGGGGGGCTCAATTTAGAATTATGCCTCCCACACCAATTCTCCATTTTGTTAGTTTTCTGGTTTTGGTGTTATGACACACTGATAAGTAAAGATAAGTTGTAAGATATCACAAATAATCTGTTATCAATAAAGTACTGGAATTTATCATTTTCTTCTAATAGGAAGAGATTTGCGGTTATCCTTTAAATGATGTCATTCCCTTTTGCTGCTCTCTTGAAGGGAATAGAAATGGATGGAGTTGCTATAGCCCCCCTGTAGTAGGCCCCCAAGATATCCATGTCTTAATTCCTGAAACCTGTGGCTATTACCTTATATGGCAAAAGGGATTTTGCAGATGTGATCAAATAAAGGATCTTGAGATGGGAGATTTTCCTGGATTATCTGGGTGGGCCTTAAATGTCATCACAAATGTTCTTGTGAGAGCGAGGCACAGGGAGGGAGATTTGACTACAGAAGGAGGAGATGTGACAATGGGGGCAGGAAGTTGGAATGACACGAGGAAGGGATCATGAGCAGCCTTCAGAAGCAGAACAGCAAGGAAACAGATTCTCCCCTAGAGCTGCCAAAGGAACTGGCTCTGCTGACGCCTTGACTTTAGCTCAATGAAACTGATTTTGGACTTCTGCCCTCCAGAACTGTTAGAGAATAAATGTGTGTTGTTTTAAGCCATGAAATTTGTGGTTAACTTGTTTTTTAGCAGTCCTAGGAAACTACCCTTTAATAACTGTGTTTACTTCTAGATATACTAATGGGACACCACCACCCCACATCTATGATGTCTACATTTTAAAAAAAATATGCACTGAGACTATTTGGGGATAAAGTTGGAAGAGGTCAAACAAAATGGGGAATATTTCTAAGGATCAAATGTGATTGGGGTAAAGGATTAATATTGTGCTATTGCAAAGAGACAGTAGGCCTTTGAACAAGAGTTCAAAATAAATAATAAAATAATAAATAATTGAGAGAAACAAAAGAATGAAGGGATTAAAAAGGGAACAAAATGTGAGGAAATGAAGATGAGGAGAAGAGAGAAGAAAAAAATAAGGAATGGAGAAGTACAATTTGGCCACAGATGTGCTCTGTAAACAGCTTGTGACAAGTGGCTCTTGTCTGGGAGGATTGATGGCTCAGGGCTGCACCTCTGGGAGCTGAGACACCTGCCCGAGGTCGGCATCATGACAAAGCTGTTTCTTCTCCACAGCTCGGTAGCGATGTCATGAGCACCTTGCCATTGCCTCTTGTGGCTTCAACTGCTGTGTCTGGGACTCCAGATCCAAGAATCTCTGCCTTCTTTTAAAATAGTTTGATGGAGGAAAAGATATAGGGTATTTTTTATTTCACCTAACCTAAGTATTTTCCAAAATACCCATGATAGAGTCCTTTTTAAAGTAAAATGATGGACCCTAAAATAGCAAAATAAAAAGCTCACCACAGTGTTCTTTTTTTTTTTTTTTTTTTTTTAAAAAGCAGTTGTGGGAATGAAGGACAGTGCTGCCACTTGAACAGAATGCAGAGGGGAGTGTATACACAGTGCTTTTGGAAACTCAGATGTCTCAGAAAATGTTCTGTAGGACTAAGCACTTATTTGGGGGAATTTTTTTTTTTTTTTGAGACAGAATTTTGCTCTTGTTGCCTAGGCTGTATTTGGGGGATTTCTTACTTCACTAGCAAGCCCATTTCCCATTTCCGGTGACCTCAGACTCTTTTATGAAGCCAGACCTGTTACCTCATCGGACAGGTCATTCAGGTGAATTTCAGGTATCTGCAGAGGACAGACACTGGCCTGGCTCCTGCCCCTTCGTATGGGCACAACACTGTCCAGGTAGCCCCTGCACAAGGACTGGAAGCTGATGGTTACTGAGATTTTGGTCTGTCCCCCACATTTCATTGTAACCGCTGGGTTAATGGGCTAATGTTAGCACTAATTAAAGATGTCTCTCTTAAAGCCTTTATCCTGAGCATTCCTAAAAGTCCAATAAAAAAACCCACAGCAAGTGTTTTGGCAAAGTAGTTCTAAAAATGACTGTATGCATAAAGCATTGGTTTGTCTTTGAGTGACCTCTTTGACTGACCTAGATACCATGATTAGCCATGTGCCAGTTCCAGGGAAGATGTGCCCAAGTTGCTAATTCCTACTTCGTATCTCATTTGTATGTCTTACTAAAATCAGAAGATCCCCCTTCTGCCCTGCTTTCATTTAGAAGCTGCCTGATACTCACAGTCAGCATGGGGACCCTGCTTGTTTTTAGGCTGGTTTATGGACTGCCTTTGTTGAGAAAAACCACTCTGCTGCCTGTATTCTGATCACATCACCAATCACATTGCTCCTGACCATCAGTCACATTTGTCAAAAAAGTGACAAGGACTCCAAGAGCCTGGAGAAACCCATTTGTGGGTGGCTGTTCGTGATCCCAGACTTTTGTTCTGCTGCTAGCTTCCTGCTCCTGCTTTCTCCTTGCACCAGTGTAAAACTCAGTTCATTCATTCCTGGTGCCCTTTGCACTTAGCTATCTCTTAATGATGGTAGAAGGTCCTTCCAGCCCCCCATCCCACTTATCTAGTAAGATGTCATTTATTATCTTAACAGGTGGCATCATGGCTTAGGCTTTGGTTGGATCAGCCTGAGAAAATAGCTGGAATCCAGGTAATAATATAAACATTGAAAGAGACTTCAAACCTCATGTAAAATCTTGCCCTCCAGCCACTCAAACTGTCTCCTATTCCAAAATACTTGAGCAGAGTTGCTGTAGTTCACATCCCTCATCATAGATGGTCCTGAGCAGTCTAGATGGTGGTCGGGATACTCTGGGCCCCACTCTGCCTTAGCCTTGTGTCCACTCCTCACTTCACTCTTTTCCTCTTTTCTCTCCTGTCAGTTTGACCTCATAAATATGCCTCCAGGATCTGCTCTTTCTCCGCTGTTTACTCACGTCTTGGGGAGAGGTGCTAACTAGATTTCTGTCCCTCCTGTCTCTTGCTCCTCCAGTTCTAAAATCCTCCCCACCCCGCATCTGCTGATTTCACTCAGCCACCTAAAATCCTCCTTTGGCCCTGAGTAGCCTCCAGCGTGAGGTTCAAACCCTGGGGCCTTTGAGGCGTTTCCCAGCTGGCTTGCCCCTCACCTCCCCTCCTGCCAGCCATGACTTTGGCATTTCCTGGCCAGCTGTGCATTTCCCGATGTCCTTCTCTGTGTGTCTGCTGTCTTCTCTCCCATCCTTCTCTGCCTAACTTATTCTTATTGTCCACATTTGGAATCTCAACCCCCAGTTTGAGTCCAGTTTTCCTTTTCTGTGGTCCCATTGCACCTTCTAGCAGAGTCCTTAAACTGGACACAGCATCATGGTGGTAGAGTCAGTTGGCCTTGGCCCCACTACACATGTAGCCCATGTATTATGGGACTGATTGGTATCAGCCGGCATGAACACCTGTAAATTCGTTTTGCACTTTATAGCTTCATCTCAGGACATCACCTGCCACCTTCCTCTCTACTCTCAGAGTAAGAACCATCTTCCTAAAATTAATCTTTCACTTGGATTCTGGACTCCTCATGACTTTGTGCCACATGTTGATTATACCTCATATGAATTCTCTTTCTCCTCTCTGGATGCCTGCCCACACCTCAGGTTTCCATTCTTTCCTTCTCTCTGTCCCTTGCTTGATCCTGCTGTACCCTCTTGTTCCCTCAGTTTTAGAACACGGGCACCACTACTCACTCCACCTTGCTCCCCCTTTGTATGCTTTCCAATCTGACTTTTGGACAGTCCACCTTCCTCATATGTTTCAGTGATTTATTTCTTCACACATTTATGGTATCATTTAAAATAGTACATTTAAAAAGTTCAACTTTATTTTAGATTCGGGGATACACATGCAGGTTTGTTACACAGGTGTTTTGTGTGATGCTTACATTTTTGAAAATATTTTTCAAAGTAAGAATTATCACATTTCTGAGTTGGTACTTTTATACATATATTTTTCTCTTAGAGTATCTTGGTTCTTAGAACATTAATATACTCACTTAAAAAATCCTATAATATACTTAAATTAGTTTCAAAATTGCTACTGACAGTAATCCTACTAGTGAAGTTTGCTATTTCTTACTATCCATTTTGTCCTTAGACTATATATTGACAAGGATGTACGGTGTTCAAAAGTTTCTTGAAATTATTCTTTCTTTGTGTAGTTATGTTACTAATGTGAGACAATTACATTTACTTGTTTTTGTTTTGTTCAATCATAGGGTCTGTTTTTCCCCATTTTAGTTTAATGTAATTTATTAAATATGTTAAACATTTACTTTGTTCAAAATGGAGAAGTATATCGAGAGGGATAATTAGAAAAGTCCAGCCTGTCCTTTCCACAGCATCCACCCCACCCCTTATAGATATCCACTTTCCATACATTTTTAAATTTATCTTTCTGGTATTTCTTTTGCAAAAATAAGCAAATATGTAGTATATATATTCTTATTTTCCACTTTTTCTTATACAAAAAATAGCATACCATATATTCTTTTCTACACTTTTCTTTTTCACTTAACAATATGTCTTGGAAAAAATCCTTTCATATCTACTCACAGAGATCTTGCTCATCCCTTTTTATGATTCACAGAACTCCACTGTGTGTATATAATTTATTTAACTGGTTCCCTCTTGGTGGATATCTGTTTTGTTTCCAGTCTTTCACCGTTACAACTAATGCTACAATGAATAACTATTTCATATATTGTTTTATTTTTGTCAAAGTGTATTTTCTAGATGGGTTCATAGAAGTGGGATTGCTGGGTCAAAGGGAAAATGCATATGAAATTTTGTTAGATGTTGCCAATGCATATGTAAATTTGTTAGATATTTTTTCCATAGGGTTTAAAGAAATTGGTGGCAGATGGCACTTTGATATAGTCCTTTTTTGGTATAAATTTATGGGGTACAGTTGTAATTTTGTTACACGCATAGATCACATAGTGGTGAAGTCAGGTCTTTTAGGGTATCCATAATCCAAATAATGTACATTGTACCCATTAAATAATTTTTCATCATCCATCCTCCTTCCACCTCCTCACCCTTCTGGGTCTCCATTTTCTGTCATTCCATGCTCTACCTCCATGTGTACACATTATTAAACTCGCACTTATAAGGAAGAACATATGGTATTTGTCATTTTGTGTCTGATTTGTTTCACTTAAGATACTGATCTCCAGTTCCATCCATGTTGCTGAAGAAGACATGATTTCATTGTATTGTATGGTTGAATAATATTCCATTGTGTATATATGTAACATTTTCTTTATTCATTTATCTGTTAATGGATACTTAGGTTGATTCCATATCTTTGCTATTGTGGATAGTGCTGTGATAAACTTATGGGTACAGGCATCTTTTTGATATAAGGATCTGTTTTCCTTTGGGTAGATACCTAGTAGGGGGATTGCTGGATCAAATGATAGTTCTATTTTTAATTCTTTGAGAAATTTTCATATTTTTTCCATAGAGGTTATACTCATTTAAATTCCCATCAATAGTGTATAAGAGTTTCCTTTTCTCTATGTCCTTGCCAACATTTGTTATTATTTTTTTCTTTTTAATAATAGCCATTCTTGACTGGTGTAAGGTGATATCTTATTGTTGTTTTAATTTGCATTTCTCTGATGATTAGCAATGTTGAGCGTTTTTTTTTTTTTTCCACATGCCTGCTGGCCATTTGTATGTCTTCTTTTGAAAAATGTCTATTCATGCTTTTTGGTCACTTTTTAATGGGATTATTGGGATTTTTTTGTTGGATTGTTTGAGTTCCTTGTAAATTCTGGATATTAGTCCCCTGTCAGATGCATAGTTTACAAATATTTTTTCCCATTCTGCAGGTTGTCTGTTCACTCTTGATTATTTTGCTGTACAGAAGCTTTTTTAGTTGGGTTAAGTCCCATTTGTCTATTTTTGTTTTTGTTGTCTGTACTTTTGAGGTGTTAGTCGTGAATTCTTTGTCTAGACCAATGTCCAGAAGAGTTTTTCCTAGGTTTCCTTTTTTAAGTTTTCTGTCCTCACAATCTGTTCCCATTTCCTAGGTTTTCTTCTAGTATTTTTATAGTTCTTAGGTCTTACGTTTAAGTCTTTAATCCATCTTGAGTTGATTTTTGTATATGGTGAGAAACAGGGGTCCAGTTTCATTCTTCTGCATATGCCAATCCAATTTTCCCAGCGGCATTTGTTGAAAAGGATTTCCTTTCCCCAGTGTATATTCTTGTCAGTTTTGTCAAAGATCAGTTGACTGTAAATATATGACTTTATTTCTGGGTTCTCTGTTCTGATACAGCCCTTTTGATGTGGTGACAGTTTAATGATCTGTTAAACTTTCAACCTTAAAAAAAGAATAGGTGAAACAAACATTTGTTAGTTCATCTGAGCCTTATTCCATTGCTGGTCAGGAGTAGGGGATCTGAGTACCAAGTGGTAAGAAAGGGGGTCAAATCAGGCAGCATCTGGTAGGAAACCACTCTATGTGACATAGAGTCACATATTTACCACGCTTTTCAGCTTAGTAGGGGTTGTTTTGTATACCTGTTTATTTTCTGAGAGTTCAAAAATTATTCAAGGGAAAGAATATTTGAACTATGATATGAGCCCATATTCTCAACACCAGACTGCAGTGGCAATCTTACACTCAGTAATATACAAGCCTTATATTCAATACATAGTCATGCTTTGCTTAACCATGGGGATACATTTTGATAAATGTGTCATTAGGCGATTTCATCACTGTGTTAACACCATAGAGTGTACTTAAAAAACCTAGATGGTACAGCCTGCTACGTACCTAGGCTAGATTATTACACAGTGGTTAAGTATTTGTGTATCTAACATAAAAAGGTAGAGTAAAATTACAGTTTAAAAGATAAAAAATGGTACACTTGTATAGAGTACTTAACATGAATGGAGCTTGCAGGACTGGAAATTTCTCTGTGTGAGTTGGTGAGTGTGAAGGCCCAGGACATTACTCTACACTACTATAGACTTTATAAAGACTGTACACTTAGGCTATGCTAAATTTATTTTTGAAATGTTCTTTCTTTTAATAATAAATTAATAAATTAACCTTAGCTTACTGTGGCTTTTTAACCTTACAAACTTTTAAATGCTTTAAAGCTTTTGGATTCTTTTGTAATAACACTTAGCTTAAAACACATTGTATAGCTGTACAAATTTTTTCTTTATATCGTTATTCTATATTCTATTTTAAATAGAAAAAATTATTTTAAAAATTTTTATTTTTTAAACTTTTAAACTTTTTGTTAAAAACTAAGACATACAGGAGATCAAGACTATCCTGGCTAACACGGTGAAACCCCATCTCTACTAAAAATACAAAAAAAAATTAGCCAGGCGTGGTGATGTGCACCTGTAGTCCCAGCTACTCCAGAGGCTGAGGCAGGAGAATGGCATGAACCCAGGAGAATGGCATGAACCCAGGAGTCGGAGCTTGCAGTGAGCCGAGATCGCACCACTGCACTTCTGGGCAACAGAGCGAGACTCTGTCTCAAAAAAAGAAAAAAAAAAAAAAGAAAAACTAAGACATAAACACACACATTAGTTAGGCCTACACAGAATCAAGATCATCAATATCACTCTCTTCTACCACCACATCTTGTCCCATAGGAAGGTCTTCAGGGGCAATAACAGGCAAGGAGCTGTCATCTCCAAGATAATGGTGCCTTCTTCTGGAATACTTCCTATAGAACCTGCCTGTGGTTATTTTAGTATATATATATATGAGATACACTCTAAAATAAAGATTAAAAGTATAATGTGGTAAATACATAAGCAAAAAGTACCATAGTAGTTTATTTTCATTATCAAGTATTATGTACTGTGCATAATTGTACCTGTTATACTTCTATATGAATGGCAGTGCAGGTTTGTTCACACCAGCATCACCACAAACACATGAATAATGCATTGTGCTATGACTTTAAGATGGCTGTGATGTCACTAGACCACTAGGTGATAGACATTTTTTTAGCTCTATTATAACCTTATGGGACCACCATTGTATATTCAGTCTGTCATTGACCAAAACATGTTTATTTGGCACATGACTGTATTTATAGAATTGTTGCAAGTGTGTGACCTGAAACTAACTGTAGTGGTCCACTGACTTTTGGAAAGGATTCTTAGAATCTGTATGATTTTCACCTCTGTAGTGTTTATTTACATGAACCAGCTCACATGCCAACAAATGCATCAAAAAGCCTGCTTTTCCTGATGGGGAGACTATCATCACTTATTTCATCAGGTAGGATATCATGTTTAAAAGTTCTTACCTTATATTCTTACAGGTAAGCTCAAGCTTTTTACACTTTTAGCAAAATTACTCGTAATACACATTTTTCTTTTCTTTTTCTATTCCCTATACCTTACTGCTCAGAATAAAACATAAAATTTTGATAATTCTGTTTTTAGATTGTACCAGTAAAAATTTAAGTTTAAACAACCAAACACTGAGAGTGGAACCAGGAGAAGTGAATTCTCACTCCAAGGGCAAAGGTAGGGCCAGAAATGGGGACTAAGCCAAGAGGGTCAGCAGTTCTAGTCAGGCAACCACTAGAGTGGCAGTTTCTAAAGGCCTCCGGAGGAGAAAAGGGTCCTACACAATAACCTAGAACAGAGAGGGACTCAGCCGTGGTACTTGGGTATGTCATCTTGTTAAAAGGCACAGGATTCATTTGGGCTGATAATTCAACATTGATTCTAAAGACCTGCAACAGTCGTCTTAAGATTTGCTGTGCAGCTACTGCTTTCTTTGTAAAACAGACCTTTAACATTTTGATGAGAAATTTCTGAATTGAAATACTAGCAACTCTCCAGCTGGCAGCCAGCTGATGTCTCTCTGATGTGAACTGATGTCAGATTTCCTGCTGGGCACACTGTTTATGTCACTCTTTAAGAGTACAGAATATTAAATGGAGATTGTCAGAAATCCTGAACAAAAAAGAAAGATTTATCTTGCAAAGCCAGGTTAAAGATACAATTTCTTAGACACATCAACACTAAAATATAGGATTTTTTTTTTTTTGAGATGGAGTCTCGCTCTGTCACCAGGCTGGAGTGCAGTGGCATGATCTTGGCGCACTGCAACCTCTGCCTCCTGGGTTCAAGTGATTCTCCTGCTTCAGCCTCCGGGTAGCTGGGACTACAGGTGCATACCGCTATGCCCAGCTAATTTTTGTATTTTTAGTGGAGACAGGGTTTCACCATGTTGATCAGGGTGGTCTCGATCTCTTGACTTTGTGATCTGCCAGCCTCGGCCTCCCAAAGTGCTGGGATTACAGGTGTGAGCCACCATGCCCGGGCTAAACTATAGTTTTATAATTAAATTATTTCAGACACTCTGCATATTATAAGTAAAGTAGTTCCTAAAAAGATCTGCCATGTTTACGTTATGTCATGGTTGATAAACTTTGCTAGCTGTCATATTGTGTGGCTTTTTTCTCTTAGATAAGTAGGGTGTTTGGAGGCTTTCCATCTAGAGTTTGTTAACTCTAGATTGTTTAGTCAATCAGCTTGGTGAGACATTGGACTCTTAGGATATTTCAGGGATTTATAGTTGGTATGAACAGAGGGCTTGCAGTCAGTACTATCTCAGAACCTCCATTAGTAGTGTTTCTCTTCTTCAGAGTAATTGATGCTAATTCTTTTAGGCTTTCCACCTGGTACCACCTTCCCAAATGGAGCCAGTGAGTGGGCATTCCAAGGCGCCCAGCACCATATTAATTGAGAATGGAACTTACGTTTCATTTTCAGGTAGGTATCAGTATCGGGAAAGTTGTAAAAACCAGAATGTAAGTACTCACAGAAGAGCAAAGTCAATCAGGCTCTTCATGACTCGGAGTAGCGTCAGCCTAAAATCCTCATCGGCAAGCAGGTCTAAGTTAGCTTCTCCTATCCATACTAGGGTAAGCCTGTGTTATGAGCCTTCAGGTCTCTTTTATTTCCCTGATTTAGCCAATCATGGGATGTATAGTCGATGACTTAAAAATGATTATAAACTAAGGCATTTTCTCAACAGACACTCTAAAATTACAGCTAACAGAGGGAGTAGAAGCTGGAGGAAAAAACACATGATTGGGAATATTTGCCATTGACACTGTGTATGATGCAAGAAGGCCATTGAACTCCCCTAGAAACTGAAAGCAGTCAGCCTTGCTTCTGTTCTCCTTTGCAGGAGACATGGAGAATGCACAAAGGGTATGCACTTCCAGTGCCCTGGGCAGGGGAGGAATGTGCTTTTTCCCAGCATCGATGATGCTAGAGAAGCTGTTTCTTGGCTAAGGATAGCCTGAAGCTCATCAGCCTGAACCCCGGCCTTTACCAGGACTTGAAACATTTATTTAAAAATCCTCTGTCTACATTCTTTGCATTGCCCATCCTCTCATCCACTAATGAAAAGCATGTATTCACACCATTGTTAATTCATTCATATGGATAGACTTTTTTTATTACTCTAGTATTGTTTTCAGTAGATTATCACCTTGAAATCTGAGGGCCAAGGAATTAATACAAGTGGCCTATATGTTGAGTTTGAATAATTTCTGTAATTTGAAGAAGTAACAATGGCTTTTTTTTTTTTGATTTAAGCCTTTTTTATTGTGGCAAAAAAAACACATGCCACATATTTACCATCTTAACCATTTTTAAGTATGTAGTTCAGTAGTGTTAATTATATGCACATTGTTGTACAGCCAGTCTCCATAACTCTTCATCTTGCAAAACTGAAACTCTACACCCATTAAACAACTCCCCTTTTCTCCCTCACCCCAGCCGCCGTTAACCACCCATCTACTTTCTGTCTCTACGAATTTGACTACTTTAGGTACCTCATATAAGTGGGATCATACAGTATTTGCCTTTGTGTGACTGGCCGATTTTACTTGGTATAATATCTTCAAGGTTGATCCATGTTGTGGGATTGCTAGATCATATGGTAGCTCTACTTTTAATTTTTTGAGAAATCTTCATACTGTTTTCCATAGCAGCTTGCACCATTTTACATTCCCACCAACAGTGCACAAAGGTTCCAATTTCTCTGCATCCTTGCCAATACTTTATTTTTGTTTTGTTTTTTTTTTTTTCACAGTGGCCATCCTAATGGACATGAGGTGATAGCTCATTATGGTTTTAATTTGCAATTCTCTGATGATTAGTGGTGTTGGACATCTTTTTATGTGCTTGTTAGCCATTTGTATATCCTCTTTGGAGAAATGTCTACACAAGTCCTTTTCCTTTTTTTAATCAGGTTATTTTTGTTGTTGTGTTGTTAGGAATTTTTTATATATTCTGGATATACATATAACATATATACATACATGTTACTTTTTCCTCAGATATACCTTTTTTCAGTGTTCATTCCTATATTACGATTCTATTCTTTCTTAAACATCTTTGATCATTTTAAATATACTCATTTTATAATCTTTTAAAGATTTTTCTATCCTAGTTTTTGGGTGCCAGTTTTCACATTTCTTGTGTCTGCTGATTCTCATGATGATTTGTTTTCTCACAAAATTTGTATTTTGTGGCCAGGTGTGGTGGCTAACACCTGTAATCCCAGTGTTTTGGGAGGCCCAGGTGGGTGGACCACCTGAGGTCAGGAATTCAAGATCAGCCTGGCCAACATGGTGAAACCCTGTCTCTACTAAAAATATAAAAATTAGCTGGTCATGGTGGCATGTACCTGTAATCCCAGCTACTCAGGAGTCTGAGGCAGGAGAGTCTCTTGAACCTGAGAGGTGGAGGCTGCAGTGAGCCAAGATCATACCACTGCACTCCAGCCTGGGCAACAGGGTGACACTCCATCTCAAAAAAAAGAAAAAAAAAGAATTTGTATTTTGTTTTTAATTGTGAGTTATTATCCTTTTTTTCTCACTCTGTCACCTGAGCTGGAGTACAATGGTGTGATCACTGCTCACTGCAGCCTTGACTTCCTGGGCCCCAGTGATCCTCCCTCTTCAGCTTCCCAAGTAGCTGGGACTACATGTGTGCACCACCACACCCAGCTGATTTTTTGATTTGTAAAAACAAAGTCTCATCATGTTGCCCAGGCTGGTCTCAAATTCCTGGCCTCAAGTGATTCTCCCTCCTTGGCCTCCCAAAGTGCTGAAATTACAGGCATGAGCTGCTCTGCCCAGCCCTTCAATGGTATTTTTTTTTTCTGTAGGAATTCAGTGCATTCTGAGTTGCAATCTTTCATAGAACAGTTTTGTATTCATTTCTGCCAAAGCCTCAGGGATTCCACAAATTCAGGACTAAATTTTATATTTCTTGATTTGGGATTCCCATATTATGCTTGGTGCAATATTGGATTTTATTTCTAACAGAATTTCTCTTCCTACCCAGACCTTCTGTCTTCTTGCTTGCTTTTTTTCTGCCAGTAAGCACCGTTTTTCTAGTTCCCTTTTCAGACTGGTCAACCTTGCTTGGGTCATAGCTTCATCCAGGTGTCTCATTTCCAGCTCCCAGATTTCCTCTTCCTCCACATAAGCATGAAAACCCTGGCCCCCAGGTCTTATGGCCTGTGTAGAGCTGGAGATTTCAGTACTGGCTTAGAGTTTCCTTTTTTTTCTTTTTTCTTTCTTTCTTTTTTTTTTTTTTTGGAGAAGGAGTCTCACACTCTTGCCCAGGCTGGAGTGCAGTGGCGCCATCTCGGCTCACTGCAAGCTCCACCTCCCAGGTTCACGCCATTCTCCTGCCTCAGCCTCCTGAGTAGCTGGGACTACAGGTGCCCGCCACCATGCCCGGCTAATTTTTTTTTGTATTTTTAGTAGAGACGGGGTTTCACCATGTTAGGCAGGATGGTCTTGATCTCCTGACCTTGTGATCCGCCCGCCTTGGCCTTCCAAAGTGCTGGGATTACAGGCACAAGCCACCGCGCCCTGCCCTTTTTTTTTCTTTTTTGAGACAATGTCTTGCCTTGTCACCCAGGCTTGTGTGCAGTGGTGCAATCACGGCTCACTGCAGCCTGGACCTCCCTGGCTCAAGTGATCCTCCCACCTCATCTTTCCGAGTAGCTGGGACTACAGACATGCACCACCACACCCCACTAATTTATGTATTTTTTATAGAGATGGGGTTTTGCTGTATTGCCCAGGCTGGTCTCTAACTTCTGGGCTCAAGCAGTCCTCAACCTCCCAAAGTGCTGGGATTGCAGGCATGAGCCACTGTGCCCAGCCGTATTTCCTTTTTAAGGCTTTCACTTTTGTTTTCTTTCAGGCTCAGTGATTCAGTATTATTATTTTTTATTGTGTCATTTGTGTATGTTTGTATTTGGGGCAGGGGGAAGTAAGGGTTGGGTTAATGAGTTTGCCCTGCTGCCAGAACAGGAAGCCAACCTAAATTCCCTCTCTGAACATTCATGGACTTTGACATTCATCAAGATTTTGTCCACTGCTCCTTTTTATCCTACCTTTTTCTGGATTATCTCATACACACCCATGGCTTTGCTTACTTGCATATGCTGCTTATTTCACATCTATGTGAGCTATATACAGTTAGACAGCTTTCCCCAAACTCAACCAATAAATATATATGGAATGCCTACTGTGCACTGGAATCTTCCCCAAACTCAACCAGTAAAGACATATGGAATGCCTACTGTGCACCGGAATCTTCCCCAAACTCAACCAATAAATACATATGGAATGCCTACTGTGTACTGGAATCTTCCAAAAACTCAATAAATACATATGGAACACCTACTGAGTACTAGATATTGCAGATCTAACAATGAACAAGTCATAGTCCATGTTTGGTAGCCAGTCTCCAAGATGGCTTCCAATCCGCCCATCTCCAATGTATTCATCCCATTGAGTGTGATTAGACTTAGTGACCCACTTCTAATCAATAGAATAAGGCAGTATGTGACTTGGAGACTAGGTCTTAAAAGACATTGCGGCATTATTATCTTGCCTTTTCTTGGATCAGTGTCTCTGGGAGAAGTCAGCTGCCATGTGTTCAGACAGCCCTGTGAAAAGGTTCACCTGGCAGGAACTGAGGCATCTTGCCAACAGCCATGTGGGTGAACAGAGCATCCTCCAGCCCGTTAACCTTCAGATGACTGCAGCCATGCCCCATAGCTTGACCATAGTCTCCTGAGAGACGCTGAGCCAGACCACCAGCCCAACTACTCTTGTATTCCTGACTTACCCATCATACATAGTTGTTGTTTGAAGCTGCCAAGTTTTGATGTAATTTGTTATGCAGCAGTAGATAACTAATATACTGTCTAAAGATTATATTTGTATGAGGGATAGACAGTAAGCAAATAAATGACATAATTGAGGAAAGTAGTGAGTGTTGTGAAGAAAACAAAGCAGCGTATGGTAAAGGTGTGTGGCTATTTTGGATAGGATTGTCAGAATGTGCTTTGTTTGGCCTGCACAGTATGTTTTGAGGAACTTTAATTCCAGACCCTTTAGATTGGGCATGCCTCCATGTCCAGATGTTGACCAGAGAGGTGGCATACTGCTGTCGTTTTGAGCATGGTTCTGGAATCAATTGCCTGGGTTTGAATCTTGTCTCCTTCACTTACTAGCTAGGTGATATTGGTCAAGTGATATATTTTTCTGAATTTGTTTCGGCATCTTAAAATGCAATGAATAATGATATCTACTCTTATGGTTGTTTTGAGGTTAAATGAATTTACATATGTAAGGTGGTTAGAACATAGCACTGCAGTCTTAGTAAGTTTAGTAAGTGTTACTGTGTTATTGCTGTTAATTTCCTGGATAATCCAGGTACTTCCTCCCCAAACTTAACTGTCTTTATTTGATCAGAGTTTTTGGTTGCAAACAGCAGAATCCACTTTGCTCAGCTGATGGGTATTTTATTAGAGGATATTTGGCAACTCACAGAATCTTAGAGATGGCCACATAACTCAACTGAGTTACTAAACAGAAACAATACAGCCAAAAGTGCAGCCCAGAAAATCCCCAGCCACACTATTCTAGTGGCCTTTATAATGCTGGGGCTTGGATGCCAGAAATTCTGCCACAGCTGCTTGCGAGAACCAAAACTCCTGCTGCTGTGCTCACCAGAGGCTCCACTCTTCCCACAGGAAGAGGAAATCACGCCTCTGTACACTAGTGGCAGGGGATGCTTGGGAAATACATGATCTCTAAGCTCTGCAATTATTCCTAAACATAGTGTAGCATTTTAGGTGGGCTGTGAATTGACGAGAAATAGGACCAGGGCTTATTTGAATTCCTCATGCCTTCACTATAGTTGGGACACACAAGACGAAATTGGGGAAAGAGTAAAATGGGGAATGTGGCTTCTTTATTGGAAGGTTCTTCATGCATAGTTTTGGAGTTTTGGAGTAAAATAGCATTGGCGATGTACTTTGTCATTGTAATACATGGAGAAAATAGTATTCTTTTAGCAGGTACTATGAAAATTCCTTCTGGGAAAGACTCATCTTTGTTAAGAGAGTTCTTTGATGAGTTGGCATAATAAGACCCTTTGGGACAAGTTTCAAGGTTTCCAAGGAGAGAATGAATTACTTTTTTTTTTTTTTTTGAGACAGGGTCTCACTCTGTTACCCAGGCTGGAGTGCAGGGGCATGATCATAGCTGACTGCAGCCTTGAACTCCTTGGCTCAGGTGATTCTCTCACCTCAGCCTCCCAAGTAGCTGGGATCACCGGTGTGCACCACCACACCCAGCTAATTATTATTTTTTTAGAGACTAGGGGTGTGGTGGGGGGATGTCTTACTATGTTTCCCAGGCTGGTCTTGAACTATTGGCCTCAAGTGATCCTCCCACCGCAGGCTCCCAAGGTGTTTGGATTACAGGTATGAGCCACTGTGCCTGGCTTGATTTACTTCTGAGTGGGAGGGGAACCAAGGGAGGAGAGGGGAGAATGACCACAACAGGAGACACTGTTGAGTCTTCCTCTATGTGACTGATTTCTATGCTCCCTACCAAGATTTCAGAGAAGTAACCCCAAATCACAGAACTCTTGGTATGGGCTAGATTTTTGTTATTATTTTATTTTGTTTTATTGGAGATCAGTAAAGAGAAACTAAGACTATGTCAGGGAACAAGATAGAGTGAGCACAAATGGCTACAGACCCTGAGATTCTAAATTCATAGGACATGATTCATAGAAGTCTTAGGTAATACTTTGGAGTTTTCTACACCATAAAAGTAAGGGGTTCAAGGAAATTTCCACTCCTTATGATATAGTATTAGAGAGGCCCTGGACACCATTTTGGTTATATAATCATCTAAAGGAGCTGATTCAAACCTCAAACAAATTGCCTAATCTTTGGAAAGAGACACTGGAATGAGAAGACATCTGAGATTTTCTTTTGGGCTAGAGTTTACATCACAGGTCCTGATTGCCTTGGGAGAACCTTATTGTCTGGGGATCCTTATTGTCTGCTTTCCTGAGCAACTCAGGAAAGTCTTGCTCTGGGCAGTGCTCTGAGATTGGGTTAGTCAGAAGCATCAGACTTTTGAATGTATTACAGACTCTCCCTCCCTTTCCCTCAATAGTTTCCTGGTGGCAAATATGGAAGGATGTATAGTAGACTCATTTTGTAGGCAACTTGACCTCAGTTTACTGTGTCAAATACAAGTTAAGGAAATAAAAACTTCAGTCTTCACCTAGAGTTAAATAATAATAATAATAATTATGATGATGATAATTGTAAGGCTAACATTTTTAAGGCTCTGAGCTATGCATTTTATATACCCTTATTGAACAGAAAACTCTTGAGCAGGATTTAACAACCTGACACTATTGACATTCTGGGACCAGATAATTTTTTGTTGTTGGGGGATGTCTTGTGCTTTGTGAGGATGTTTATAATAGCATCCCTGGCCTCTGTCTTCTAGGTGCAAGTAGCACTCCTGCTCCCAGCTATGACAACCAAAAATGTCTCCTTACATTGCCAAATGTTCCCAGGGGGACAAAATCACTTCTGATTGAGAGCCACTATTCTAGAGGAGAAAGAAATCTTTCTGTTCATTGATTTAATAGGTATTTTAAAAAATTATGTTAAAATATAACATAAAAGTTACCATCTTAACCATTTCAAGTGTATAGCTCAGTAGTGTTAACTATATGCGCATTGTTGTGCAGCTAATCTCCAGAACTTTTCGTCTTGCGAAACTGCAACTCTACATCCATTGAACAGCAACTCCCCTTTTCCTCCTTCCCCAGCTCCTGGAAACCACCAATCTACTTTCTGTCTCTATGAATTTGACTACTTTAGATATCTCATATAAGTGGAATCATATTTGTCTTTTTGTGACTGGCTGATTTCACTTGGTATAATGTCCTCAAGGTTCATCTATGTTTTAATATATGTCAGAATTTCTTTTCTTAAGGTTGAATAACTTTCCACTGTATGTATATATCATGTTTTCTTTATCCATTCATCTGTTGATGGATGTTTAGGTTGCTTCCACCTCTTGGCTATTATGAACAATGCTGCAATGACCATGAGTGTGCAAATATCTCTTCAAGATTCAGATTTCAGTTCTTTTGTATATGTACCCAAAAATTAGATTGCTGGATTATATAATGGTTCTATTTTTTAATTTTTTGAGGAACCTCCATACTGTTTTCCATAGCAGCGATACTATTTTACATTGTTATCAAGAGTGTACAAGAGTTCCAATTTCTTCACATCCTCACCTTGTTATTTTCTGTTTTTATATTTTTTAATAGTAGTTATCCTAATGGGTGTGAAGGTAACAAGAACTTTTTGAGTGCCTATTATGTGCCAAATATTACTCTAGACATTGTGGATATAATGGTAAGTAAGACACACAAACTGTGTTCCTAATGGGTTTATATTTAAATATGTGCCCTAAGTTGCTTTTCTGTTAGTAATGATAGTTTTGAGCTGATATTCATACATGCTTTTAAAATCTGACACTTAAAAATGTCTGATGTAGTATATACTTGTGGCATAGCTGGTTAGGCTAAGAATACAGCAGTGTTTGGGCAAGAGAGAAAGGCTAAGAGACCCATCTGGGATTCCTCTATGACTTTGCATTTGCATCATATTTTAACTGCCTGAGTTGATGGGTGTGGACTAGTTCACTTTGCAAGTGAGTTATTCAGACTCGTTTTCAGATTGTTTTGCAAAATCTTAGCTCTTGTGTAAGGATTAGTTTTTGACTCCTACAGTTAAACAGAGTGCTGAACTTGACATTTTGAAACACTAGCTAAGATTCTAGTACCCAGATGGCAAATTGCCCATGTCTGGAATGTTGTGTTGAGAAAGATTCTGAGGTCTTATACTGGGCTCAGAGGGAAAGAGGGCTGTTGTAGATTTTCAGTGTTTGTCATGGGTGAGATAGAGGGAGTGGTAGTGTAGGTGCACTCTAAGGCCATTTGGAAACCCCTCAAACAACAAATCACTGCCTTCATGATTTTTTCCCTGTTTCTCATAATATTACAATTGAGAAAATTCATCATTCTTTTTTTCTTTTCTGGGCCAGCAGGAAACACTAGACCAGAAGAATAAGACCGTGAAAGAAAGGGATATGTAGGACCTTTCCTTCAGGATATTTCAGTAGGTTATTGTTGCCTTGTGGGCTGAATCTGATTACATGTCTTTATGATACTCCTGGGGCACAATACCAAAAGCAGACTGTTCAGGAGCTGATAGCAGCCAAGGAAGCACTTACAATCAAAGGTCTAATTAAGGGACAAAGCTGGAAATCTTTTTTTGGTCTTGGTCTTTAGTCACTATGACGTTATATAAACAAAACATATCTCAGACAAAAGAGATGACTGGAAATGGCAACAAATTCTTCATGTGCTAAAATATATGTTGGGAAAAAAAGTGCTACTCGAAGTCTGTGTTCTGAGAAAACCATTTTGGTGCGTGAAATTGCAGTCGCTATGACAACCAGGGGCTGCAGCCCACTGACTCGCATTTGTGAGGAAAACAAGAGTTGATGTTAATGGATGAGAACCAAGCATTGCCTTAACAGAAAAGACTGAGTTCTGGATGTGTTCATTTAAGCGCCAGACCCTCATCATGTGTCTCAGGGCAAATAAGTTTTCTAAGGTCATTCAGTGATGTCTAACTAGGTGAAGCACCCTTGTCTGACCTCAGGAAGAAAACACCTACATGAGAACATCAGTTTGAGTGGAAAAAAATATTTCAAGTAGACAGTTTGTTGACAGCTTCAGGGTAAGCAACCCCATCTTGCTCTGGTATTAAAATTCTTGAAAAAATGATGGAATTGAGAGTTTGTGACTCAGCAGTACTTTCTTGTTTTTGGACTTTTTAGGCTTATGTTTTCTTCATAGATTTTATTCAAAGTACTGTAGCCTGTGTGAAACCTTGAAAGCTCTTCATGTGTAGGGGCAATGAGTTACATCCAAATTTTGAATGTTTTTAAAGAAGAGGATAAACTAATTGAACAATCCCAAATGTTTTAAATCTTAAATCTCAAATGTTTCTGTAGAACAAAATTGTCCTTATCTCAGTAAATGATGGCATTATCTGTCTGACAGTTGTTCAAGTAAGAAACGTAGAGGTCATTTTCAACTTTGTCTTTCGTTCTTCACAGCTAATTTATCAACAAACATTGTTGATTCTGCCTCACTATATGTCCCGTATCTACTTCTTCTTTTTTCAACTTCCAGCATGTTAGTTCTAGCATGGTCATCTCTTGCCTGGATAACTTCGTGTTTTCCTAATAGGTCTTTCTTTTGCCACTATTGTTTTTTGTTTTTTTGTTTTTTTAATCATTCATTCTCCCCACAGCTGACAGGATGATTTTTTTATTTTTAAATTAAACATTTTATTTTGAGCTAACTATAGATTGACATGCAGATGTAAGAAATAGTACAGATCCCATGTACTCTTAACCCAATGTCCCCCGATGGTAACATTTTGCATTATTGTAGTACAATATCACAGCCAGGATATTGACATTGATAGGTCAAGACACAGATGTTTCCATCACCACAAGGAGCCTTCTGTTGCCCTTTTATAACCACACCTACTTCCCTTCCACACTACCCTCTCTTTAACCCTCTCCTTAACCCCTAGCAACCACCAATCTGTTCTCCATTTCTATGATTTTTGTCTTTGCAAGAATGTTATATGGTTAGAATCATACCATATGTATGTGGAACTTCTAGCATTATTTTGAAAAAGGGTATTGGTAATGGATATCCTTGAATTGTTCCCAGTCCTGGGGAGAAAGCATTCAGTCTTTCACCATCAAGTATAGTCATGTGCTTAGCAAAGCTCAGTCAGCGATGGACCACATATATGATGGTGGCCCCTTTAGATGATAGCTGAAAAATTTTTAATCCCTAGTGACATTGTAGTCATTGTAATGCCATAGTGCAATCACTCACTTTGTTTTTAAAATAAATTTAGTGTAGCCCAAGTATATAATGTTTGTAAAGTCTACAATAAGCATCATGTCTTAGGCCTTCACATTCACTCACTGCTTACCTACTGACTCACCCAGAGAAACTTCTAGTCCTGCAGACTCCATTCAGGGTAAGTGCCCTATACAAGTGTACCATTTTAAAAATCTTTTATACCATATTTTTACCATACCTTTTCCATGTTTAGACATGCAAATATTTACAATTGCCTTTCAGTATTCAGTACAGTGACATCCTGTACAGGTTTGTAGCCTAGGGGCAATAGGCTATATCATATAGCCGAGTTGTGTAGTAGACTGTGCCATCTAGGTTTGTGCAAGTATACTCTGTAATGTTACACAGTGATGAAATTACCTATTGACACCTTTCTCAGAATGAATCTCTGTCATTAAGTGATGCCTGACCGTATAATGTTAGCTATTGGTGTTCTGTAAATGTTTATCACGTTTAGGAAGTTTCCCTCTCTTCCCATTTTTCTGAGTTTTTGTATGAATAGGTGTTAAAATTTGTCATGTGCTTCTTCTTCATTGATTGACCTAATTGTGATTTTCTTCTTTAGTGTGTTAATAGAGTAGATTATATTGATTGATTTTCAAATGTTGAAAGCAGGCTTGGGAATGGTGTATAATTATTTTAAAGTATTGTTGAATTCTATTAGCTAATCTTTCGTTAAGACTTTTTGTGTAACTATTCATGAGGGATATTGGTCTGTACTCTTTTGTACTTTCTTTGATTTTGGTATCAGTGTTATACTAGCTTAATAAAATGATGTGTTCCTTTCTCTTCTGTTTTTTGGAAGAGAGTATGTGGAATTGGTGTTAATTCTTCTTGAAACGTTTAGTAGAATTCTCCAGTAACACTATCTGGACCTGGAGATTTCTTTTTGGGGGAAGTGTTTAACATATTAAATTGTCTTAATAGTGATAGGATTGTTCAAATGATCTGTTTCATATTGAGTGAGCTGTGGTAGCTTATGTTTTTAAGGAATAGTCAAATTTATGTGTGTATGGTTATTTCGTTATTATGCTCTTGATGTCTGCAGGATCCATATAGCTATCCCGTTTTGTTTCTGATACTAGTAGCCTGTGTCTTCTCTCTCTTTGTCTTTGTCAGTCTTGCTAGGGGACCTATCAATTTCATTGATCTTTTCAAAGGACCAGTTCTTTATTTCACTGATTTTTATCTATTGTTTTTCTGATTTAAATTTCCTTGATTTCTACTCTTTATTATTTCCTCTCTTCTGCTTTTTTTTCTTTTTTTTAGGTTTTTTTTTTTTTTACTTTGCTTTTTTTAGGTTTTTGAGTTGGGAGCTTATCTGAGACATTTTCTCATTCCTAATTATAAGCTTTTAGTAGTGTAAATTTCTCTCTCAGCACTGCTTTAGCTATGTCCCACAAATTTTGATAGGTTGTACATATTTTCATTTTTGTTAAGTTCAACATATTCTTTGACTTATGTTGAAACACCTTTTCAGCGCATGAATAATATAGAAATATGTTGTTTAGCTTTCAAATATTTGAAGATTTTTCTGTTGTCTTTCTTTTACTAATTTCTAGTTTGATTCCATTGTGGTTGGAGAACACACTTTGTATGATTTCAATTTTTAAAAATGTATTAGGGCTATTTTATGGCCATAGATATACTTTATCTTGATATATATCTTGTGGGCATTTGAAAATAATGTATATTCTCCTGTTGCTGGGCGGTATGTTCTATAAATGTCAATTAGATATTGTTGGTTGATGGTGTTATGGAATTCTTCTCTTTCCTTGTAGATTTTCTGTCTAGTTTTATCAGTTGCTGAAAGAGGGGTGGTTGACATCTCCAACTATAACTGTGGATTTATCTAATTCTGCTTTCAATTCTAAGTTTTCGCATCACACATTTTGTTGTTTGATGCATATACATTTAGGATTACTATATCTTCTTATTTGATTGACCCTTTTATCACTATATATGCCTCTCTGTGTATCTGGTAATTTTCTTTGTTCTGAAGTCTATTGATATGGTTTGACTCTGTGTCCTTACCCAAATCTCATGTCGAATTGTAATCCCCAGTGTTGGAAGAGGGGCCTGGTGGGAGGTGATTGAATCATGAAGGTGGTTTGTAATGGTTTAGCACCATCTCCCATGTGCTGTCTTATGATAGAGTTCTCATGAGATCTGGTTGTTTGAAAGTGTGTAGCACCTCCCCCTTTACTCTGTCTCCCACTGACTGTGTAAAGATGTGCCTGCCTCCCCATCACCTTCGGCCATGATTGTAAGTTTCCTGAGACCTTCCCAGAAGCAGAAGCCTGTACAGCCTGCAGAACTGTGAACCAATTGAACCTCTTTCTTTATAAGTTATCCAGTCTTGGGTAGTTCTTTATAGCAGTGTGAGAATGGACTAATACATCTATTTTATCTGATATTAAGATAACCATGACTTCTTTTTTTTTTTTTTTTTTTTTTGAGACAGAGTCTCGCTTTGTCACCCAGGCTGGAGTGCAGTGGTGTGATCTCGGTTCACTGCAACCTCCACATCCCAGGTTCAAAGAATTCTCATGCCTCAGCCTCCCAAGTAGCTGGGATTACAGGCACATGCTACCATGCCTGGCTAATTTTTGTATTTTTGTAGAGATGGGGTTTCACCATGTTAGCCAGGCTGGCCTTGAACTCCTGACCTTAAGTGAGGCCCTCCTTGGCCTCCCAAAGTGCTGGGATTATAGGTGTGAGCCATTGTGCCCGGCCTCATGAGTTCTTTATGTTTGCATGATACAGCTTTTTCCATCCTTTTACTTTCAACCTGTATATAACATTATATTTGAAGTGAGTCTCTTGGAGATAGCGTGTAGTTGGATCACATTTCTTGATCCCCTCTGTTAATCTCTTTCTTTTAATTGCTGTATTTGGACCATTTGCATTTAATGTGATTATTGATATGTTAGGGCTTAAGTCTGCTATTTTATTTTTTGTTTTCTGTTTATTCTCTCAGCTTTTTATTTATTTTTCCTGATTTCCTGTGGGTTACTTGAACATTTTCCTAAGAATTCCATTGTTGTTTTTTAATGAACCTCCTATATTGCTTTCTTAGTGGTTGCTCTAGGCAATCTATTAAACACATATAACTTATCACAGTCTGCTGGTGCCATTGCTTTACCAGTTCTTGGAATAGAAACTTTTTCTCCCTTTATGTCCCTTTACTCTTTCCAGTTTTTTAGTTGTTGTAACTATTTCCTCTATCTGCATTTAGAACCACATTAGACAGTGTTACAATTTTTTGCTTCATTTATTAAACATAATTTAGAAAACTTGAGGAAAAAAATTATATTTTCTGATAATTTTACCATTTCTATTATCTTTCTTTTTCTTTCTGATATCCCAGTATTCCTCCTTTTATAATTTTCTTTCTTAGAGACTTTTTGAAAAATCCTTTCTTTTAGAGTAGGTCTGCTTCTCCTTCATTCCTGAAGAATATTTTCACTGGATATTCAATTCTGGCTTGAAAGCTTTCTTTCAGCACGTGAAAAATGTTGTGTCACTTCTTCCTCACCTGTATGATTTCTAGTGAGAAATCTACTTTCATTCTAGTTTCTTATCCCTAATTGGTAAGATGTCATTTCTGTCGTGCTTACTATTTTCAAAAGTTTTTTTCTTTGTATTAGTTTTTATTGTATTGAGTTTTAGTTGGTGTTTTGTGATACCACTATGATAGAAGATGCTTTGTTAGTGTCAATTGAGGATAGATGTTCAGGTTCCCCATCTGGCCTCTGTTGATATGGAAGAGGAGCTGGGTAGCGGTGGCAGTTCTAGCTCTCTGCTAGGCCTCTACTGATGCCTGTTACCATCCTTTCTTCAAAGTTAAACTATAAACTAAATTCCTCTCATGGTTAGCTTGGCCTATGCCCAGGAATGAGTGAGGATAGCTAGCCTGTGAGGCTAGAAGCAAGATCGAGTCAGTCATGCTAGACTTCTCTTGCTGTCATAATCTTTGCAAAGGTGGTTTCATCTCTACTTTCAGAGTCTTCTCATGTTTGTTGTATATAATGCCCAGAGTTTTAAATGGTACCTTAGTGGGACAAATAGGGAAAAGTATATCTACTCCATTTTCACAGATGTAGAAGTCCAGAACGATATTTTCAAAAAGTAAAATGTTGCTCTCCTGTTTGAAACCCTTCAGTGGCTTTGATTATACTGAGAGTGAAGGCTCATCTGTGGCCCACAGGGCACAACCTTGTCATAACTTCTTTTCTGTCCTTTGCCTCATGCTTTTCTCCTGTTTTCTCACTTTGCTTCAGGTACATTGGCCTTTTTAAAATTAACATTCTCAACAAAAATACATTAAGACTCTATTATGTTTCAGTTACTGGTCTAGGCCTCAGGATGTAGGCACAAAGTTCCTGCTCTCTAGAGCTTACGTAGTTTCTGTTTCTAGAACACCAAGCTCGTTTATGCTTCAGGGCTTGCACTTTCTGATATACTGTTTGCCCAGCTCTCTCCCGCTTACTAAGGTCTCAATTCAAATATCTCCTCAGACAGACCTGCCCTTCCCACCTGCAGCAGGGTTTTCGCCCTTGGCTTATATGTTGGAATCACCAGGGGAGCGTTAACAGATCCCAAAGCCCAGTTTTACCCCAGACTAAATTAAATCAAGCGTCTGAGTGTGGCCCAGGCATCAGTGTTTTTAAAGCTTTAAAGGGGGTTCCAGTGGACAGCCATGGTACTTAAGAGCCACTTAAGGTTATCTAGTAGTACTGCCGCTCCTTTTCTTTATCTCTTCTTATCACTACCTGAAATTCATTTCTTCATTTGTTAACTCCTTAGTTTTCCTCTATTTTCTAGACCTTATCTAGTAGATAAAGTGAGTTTAAACTCCTTAAATGGAACACTTAGTTGCTTATTTGCAATAATTGTGTTTCTGCTTTAGATTCTGGAGACTGAGATTTATATGAGAGCAAGGACTTCATGTGAATTGATCTCTGTGAGCTCTTGGTTTAAAAGTACCCCTCAAGGGCTCTGAGTTTTCTGTTTTCGAACCCAACCTTATGGGCCTGAACCTGGGCCTGGCCTAGGTAGGAATAGCCTCTCAGTGAGTGCTGTCCTGGCCAGAATTCTTCTTCCTCCTCTGAGAGCCTTTTGCCTGGCCAAGCCCTGACACCTCTGTCTGAAGTCTCCATGGTGTTGCCTCCCTGGTGCCGGTAACACCTATGCTCTGAGGAGCTGGCTCTTGAGATACGGTTAGAACTGGGAGTAGGGGACCCTTTTATCTTGGTTTGCCCTGGATTTTCTTAGTTTCATCCTTGAAAGTCCTACATCCTACTAACTTTCCCAGTCCTGGACAAACCAGGATGGTTGGTCACCCTAGGAGAGTCTGAGAGTCACCTCAGTACCTTTTCTGGTTGGATGTCAGGAGGGAAGAGGTTGAGGGGACATTTAAGTGGTTCACGATCAGTGTTGGGCTGCCCAGGTTTGATTCTTCAAAGCCTTGTACTGTTGAGGCCTTGTTAGAACGTGTGCTCTGTAAGGTAGCAAACCCAGGAAAAGTATGGGCACTTATAGGGCCTGGATCTATGTAGCCTATAGGTTCTTGCCCCAAATTCTCACCTGATCTATTTTTTTTTTTCAGTAGGCGGTGGGGGCAGACGGGGTTGGGGGCTCCCATTAGGTCCTCGGAACAGATTGAAAGAAGATTTCTTGATCTCTTTTCAGGGGTCCTCTTGGCTGATCCTGTGACTGTGGTGAGAACCATGGAACACTGTCTAACCGTGGTTTGGATTCTGGGGTAGATGAATAGCTAAACTGATAGCTATATAATGTAGATTGAGGATAAATACATATTTTACAGCAGGATTTCCAGATGTGTGGTTGGAAACTACCTTTTCAAGACCGTCTGGGAGCATATTAAATACAGATTCCTAGGCCAAACCCCCTTAGATTATGAATCAGCATGTTTGAGGTGGGGACCAGGAAACTATATTTTTACAAGCACCCCATGTAATATTCATGAATCCGGACATTTGAGGACCACTGTTCTTGTGGTGATGTCCGGAGGATATCAGGGGAATTTTGTATCTGATTTTAGTTTTTGTTGAAAGGGGCATGGAGAAAACTATTTGGGACTTTGAAGAGTTTTATTTTATATTATTCTACTAATTGTGTGGCATTAAGGTTTGGGTGAGATTTAGAACGCTAGTAGCAATCCTCTTGACACTTTATAAAGCCTGTTCTTTCTACCTTTAGTAGTAGAGAGAGAACTTGGGTGGAAAGTGACAAATAATATTGTCGTAGCAGTTTAACAGATTTTTCTCTAAGCTTTATAGGCCTCCCCTAGGACTGAAGAGGAAATTAAATGAGGGAAGTGAGTCAAAATCACATAGAAAAGAAGATAGCACTTGTTGCCTGCATTCTGAAAGTGGGATAAATTCCCACGAGATCTTTAAGCTATATTTTGTTGAAGTCAGCATTTTTCTCTGTTAAGTGCACCTGCTGCCATCAAATGTCTAGTATTCTAAAATAATATCTATTCTAGAGAGAGATTTATTGTATTATAAACCCAGATGACATCTTAGCTGGGAATGTGGCTTTCTTTCCTACCTCAGGCATAGCTATGCCTGTGTAATCTCTTACACTGGCAGAGAGTACTATTGATCTGTCAATCAACTGGCATGTTCAACCTCCAGATGTGGGCTCACTTGCAAAATGCAATTCTGGGAGTAGCTGTTTGAGTTATTGTAACTGGGACTGATCTGGGCCTCTTTTGAAGGGTATGCTGCAGTCGATAGCAATTTTCATTGTCTTGGTGTATGGGGTGTGAGTGTCTGGATAATAGGTCTGCAGGATAGTAAAAATAATGATTTTTTCTTGATTATAAGTTACCTTTGAAATACATATGATTGAGGCCATTTTGTACTATCTTTTGTGCCCTACTTGGAGGACATCAGCCTCTTCACATTCTTCTCCCCACTACAAGTATTTCTAGGACTTGCATGGGACATTACACACATGCTCTCAAAAGTCTAGATTCCCACATGACAGCCACTCTTATTTCCTCTTCTGCTTCAACCAGCAGGCTATCATACCATGTCTACTGGCCACCATGACTCTTCCCTCCTGCCCAGTACTCATGCACAAAGCACAAAAGAAAGCTCCCCCCACCACTTTTTTTTTTTTAATAGTGTGAATCCAGTGCTGCTTTTAGTGTTGTTGGTGACAGCCTCTTCTCTTTGAGTATGATTCCAAGAAGTTGCTGAGCTGGGGATGAAACCCACAGGGTGATGGCTTTCTGTATTCAGAATCTGAAGTCTGTCCTAGGCAAGTCCTGTCATGCCTGGCTTTCCTTCCTCCAGAGCAAGTTCTCCCTCAGCCCCTTGTACAGACTTTTGGTGGGCCTACCTCACTGTATTAGTCCATTCAGGCTGCTATAACAAAATACCATAAACTAGGTGGCTTGTAAACAACAGAAATTTATTTCTCATAGTTCTAGAGGCACGGAAGTCTAAGATCAGTGTCTGATCTTAGAGGCAGATTCAGTGTCTGATGAGAGCCCATGTCCTGCTTCATAGATGGCCAGAATGTCTTTTCACTGTGTCTCTTTATGGTGGAAAGGGGAAGGGACCCCTTTTGGGCTTCTTTTTATAAGAGTACTAATCCCATTCATGAGGACTCTGCCCAAATGACCTAATCACCTCTCAAAGGCCCCACCTCCAAATACCTTCACACTGGGTTCTGTGTTTTGGCTCTGTGTCCCCACCCAAATCTCATGTGGAATTATAATCCCAGTGTTGGAGGAGGGGCCTGTTGGGAGGTGATTGGATCATGGGGTGGTTTCTAATGGTTTAGCACCATCCGCCTAATGCTGTCTTGTGACAGAGTTCTCCCAAGATCTGGTTGTCTGAAAGAGTGTGCAGCACTCCCCACTTCACTCTCTCTTCCTCTTGCTCCTACCCTGTAAAATATGCTGGCTTCCCCTTTGCCTTCTGTCGTGCTTGTAAGTTTCCTGAGGCCTCTCCAGCCATGCCTCCTATACAGCCTGTGGAACTGTGTGCCAATTAAACCTCTTTTCTTTATAAATTACCCAGTCTCAGGTAGTTCTTGATAGCAATGTGAGAATGGACTAATAAACTGGGGATTAGCTTTCAACATATGAATTTTTGGGAGAGGGGGACACAGACGTTCAGACTATAGCACTCATCATTAGTGAGATGAGCTCAAAAGGGGCCCCCTCAGTGGGTTCAGTGTAGTCTCCAACTGGGATCCCTACTGAGAGCTTTAATCTTAATGTATTAAGTTGCAAAGCTACCATGTGTGTAGGATTATAACTACTGACTATATGTTGGAGACAAAAAAGCCATTGTAATATGTCTGCCAAAGTTTATAAGTAAGCCACATTTGGTCATGTAGCCTCGTAAACCTATCATTTTGTCAAAATGATCAGAAGTTATATTAGTTTCCTGGGCTGCTGTATCAAAGTACCATAAACTGGGTGGCTTAACACAACAGAAATTTATTATCTCACAGTTCTGTAGGCGAGAAGTCTGAAATCAATGTTGGCAGGACCACGCTGTCCCTGAAACCTGTGGGGGAACCCTTCCTTGCCCATTCCTCACTTCTGGTGGTTTGCTGGCAATCTCTGGCATTCCTCAGCTTATAGATGCATCACTCTAGTCCTGTCTTTACAAGACCTTCTTCCTGTGGGTCTTCCTGTCATCTTCCCTGTGTGTGTCTGTCTCTGCGGACAAATCTCCCCTTTTTTATAAGGACACCAGTCATATTGGATTAGGGCCCACCATAATTCTCTCATTATTACTTGATTTGCTCTACAAAGACCGTATTTCCAAGCCACATTCTGAGATACTGAGGACTTCAATGTATTTTTTGGGGTGGGGTGGGGTGGGGACACAATTCAACTTATAACAGAAGTGTATGTGAAATGCTCAGCATAGAGCCTCACACCTAGACATCATCAATATGTATTGGTCGTTATTATGACCATTGTCAAGCCTTAATGGGCAAGGGACAGCTAGCTAGCAGGATTCATCCTTAATAATTGCAGCCATATTCACAATCTAGTTATAAGTGTTAAATGATCAACTACAGTTCCTTTCAGGGCTAAGTGGTAGTTGGGTAAAAATGAGGTTTTAAGGACAGCTGCATGAGGACCCAGGGCAGCAGAGAGCTGGGGAAACAACAGGTAATTTTAAGCCAGAGGATCTGGAGTCAAGTTCAGGTTCCATTAATTACTATGTGATCATGTGCAAATCATATGGCTTTCTTTTTCTGTTTCCTCAGGGGGCAACTAGTAATACCTGCCTCAAATTCAGATCAACAAAAATGTATTACCACACATTAAATGATAGGATACATGTAAAATACTTGGTAAATATTAAAATGGATTGCCCTTCCAACTTCCTCATGGGCTATTTTTTTAAATTTTTTTCTGTGGTTTTATTTCTGTAATATTTTAAGTCAGATTCCTTATTTAAAATCTGAAATGGTTAGATCTGTATTTAAGGTTACAATCGACTTGGTTCTTACATTGACAATGTCAAATATGTCTATCTTACTACCCTTCTTTTTTATTATTGTTATACTTCAAGTTCTAGGGTACATGTGCACAACGTGCAGGTTTGTTACATATGTATACATGTGCCATATTGGTGTGCTGCACCCATTAACTCGTCATTTACATTAGGTATATCTCCTAATGCTATCCCTCCCCGCTACCCCCACCCCATGACAGGCTCTGGTGTGTGATGTTCCCCACCCTGTGTCCAAGTGTTCTCATTGTTCAATTCCCGCCTATGAGTGAGAACATGCGGTGTTTGGTTTTCTGTCCTTGCAATAGTTTGCTCAGAATGATGGTTTCCAGCTTCATCCATGTCCCTACAAAGGACATGAACTCATCCTTTTTTATGGCTGCATAGAATTCCATGGTGTATATGTATCACATTTTCTTAATCTAGTCTATCATTGATGGACATTTGGGTTGGTTCCAGGTCTTTGGCATTGTGAATAGTGCCACAATAAACATACGTGTGCATGTGTCTTTACAGCAGCATGATTTATAATCCTTTGGGTATATACCCAGTCATGGGATTACTGGTTCAAATGGTATTTCTAGTTCCAGATCCTTGAGGAATTGCCACACTGTCTTCCACGATGGTTGAACTAATTTACTCTCCCACCAGTAGTGTGAAAGCATTCCTATTTCTCCACATCCTCTCCAGCATCTGTTGTTTCCTGACTTTTTAATGATCGCCATTCTAACTGGAGTGAGATAGTATCTCATTGTGGTTTTGATTTGCATTTCTCTAATGACGACCAGTGATGGTGAGCTTTTTTTCATATGTTTGTTGGCCACATAAATGTCTTCTTTTGAAAAGTGTCTGTTCATATCCTTCACCCACTTTTTGATGGGGTTGTTTGATTTTTTCTTGTAAATTTGTTTGAGTTCTTTGTAGATTCTGGATATTAGCCCTTTGTCAGATGGGTAGATTATAAAAATTTTCTCCCATTCTGTAGGTTGCCTGTTCGCTCTGATGGTGGTTTCTTTTGCTGTGCAGAAGCTCTTTAGTTTAATTAGATCCCATTTGTCAATTTTGGCTTTTGTTGCCATTGCTTTTGGTGTTTTAGTCATGAAGTCCTTGCCCATGCCTATGTCCTGAATGGTATTGCCTAGGTTTTCTTCTAGGGTTTTTATGGTTTTGGGTCTAACATTTAAGCCTTTAATCCATCTTGAATTAATTTTTGTATAAGGTGTGAGGAAGGGATTCAGTTTCAGCTTTCTACATATGGCTAGCCAATTTTCACAGCACCATTTATTAAATAGGGAATCCTTTCCCCATTTCTTGTTTTTGACAGGTTTGTCGAAGATCAGATGGTTGTAGATGTGTGGTATTATTTCTGAGGTCTCTGTTCTGTTCTATATCTCTGTTTTGGTACCAGTACCAAGCTGTTTTGGTTACTGTAACCTAGTAGTATAGTTTGAAGTCAGGTAGCGTGATGCCTCCAGCTTTGTTCTTTTGGCTTAGGATTGTCTTGGCAATATGGGCTCTTTTTTGGTTCCATATGAACTTTAAAGTAGTTTTTTCCAATTCTGTGAAGAAAGTCATTGGTAGCTTGATGAGGATGGCACTGAATCTATAAATTACCTTGGGCAGTATGGCCGTTTTCACAATATTGATTCTTCACAATGCTTGTGATTTTTGCATGTTGATTTTGTATCCTGAGACTTTGCTGAAGTTGCTTATCAGCTTAAGGAGATTTTGGGCTGAGATGTTGGGGTTTTCTAAATATACAATCATGTCATCTGCAAACAGGGACAATTTGACTTCCTCTTTTCCTGATAGAATACCCTTTATTTCTTTCTCCTGCCTGATTGCCCTGGCCAGAACTTCCAACACTATGTTGAATAGGAGTGGTGAGAGAGGGCATCCCCGTTTTGTGCCAGTTTTTGAAGGGAATGCTTCCAGTTTTTGCCCATTCAGTTTGATACTGGCTGTGGGTTTGTCATAAATAGCTCTTATTATTTTGAGATATGTTCCATCAATACCTAGTTTATTCAGAGTTTTTAGCATGAAGGGCTGTTGAATTTTGTCAAAGGCCTTTTCTGCATCTATTGAGATAATCATGTGGTTTTTGTCTTTGGTTCTGTTTATATGCTGGGTTATGTTTATTGATTTGAATATATTGAACCCTTATGGGCTATTAATGTAAAACTTCACGTTTTATTAACAATAATTGCTTCTTTAGCTGAAGAAAAACTGTTTTCTTTCTTTAGACTAATTAAGAATCAGTAAGTCATCTTAGAATTTAAAACTTTGAAAATCTTATTTTTTCTTCTTTTAGTCTACAATAGTAAGATGAAGGCTGAGCAGCAAAATACAATGGAATGTTTTAAGTTTTATCTACATTTGATTTAAGCAAATGGGGCATTTATTTTGAGGGAGCATCAGAAGATGAAGTGGAAAAGGTCAGATTACTTAGAGATTCATTTTTTAGCTTTGTAGATTTAATTCTTTAGAGTATCCTACATTTAAATTGTTGCTTTATTGAAAAACCCAGCATATTTGTCCATATATAAAAATATTCAGAATGCAGAAACTTAATGCATCTATGACAACCTAATTTTGTTATAAGTCATTAGTCACTCAATGAGCAAGCACCTTTTTAAAATTATTACAGCAGCTGGTACCTTTTGACTTTTTTTTTTTTTTTTTTTTAATTAATGGAGTTGGGGTGTTGGTATGTTGCCAGGCTGGTCTTGAACTACTGGCCTCAAACTATCCTCCTCCCTCAGCCACCCAAGTGCTGGGATTACAGACATGAGCCACCATGATTGGCCAGAACAAGCGCATATTAATCACCTACCATGAGCCAAGCACTATGTTGTACTCTGGTGATGAAAAGACAAAGATAAATACTGTTCTTATCCTTGAAGAGTTAATGAGCTTTTGGAGGAGTTAGTCTTATGATCTTATGAGGGCCTTACCTCATAAGGTTGTAGTTGAGATTAAATGAGTTAATGTATGTAAGATGCCTGGCTTGTAATTATTGCGCAATAAATGTTAGCTGCTACTACTACTACTGTTACCACTACTAGTATCACCACTACTGTGCTAAGTGCTGTGTTAATTAATGTAAACAAAGTATAATGGAGAAACAGAAGATTAAATTTGCATGGGATCTGTGGAATCAAAGAGGTCTTCATGGAGAAGGTGACATTGGAAATGGATCCTTAAAGCTTAAATAGGATTTACCACGTATGTACAAGAGGCAAGGGAATTCCTACACAAAAGAAAGCTATCAGGTAAAGACATAAGGGAGTTGGAGTAAATGGCACACTCACAGAGTGAGAGGTGATCCAGGAAGCTAGAACCCAACCTGCAATCATGGTAGGCAGTGGACAGAGAGAATCTTAGGACTGCTGGTCAGGCACTTATAGTACTGTGCAAAGGAATTGAGATTTTATCCTGTGAGTAGAGAACAGGCATTGGAGGATTTTTATTAGAGGACTAAAAAAGATGAGTTCTGGTCTTTAAAAGATGACTGGCGAAAATGGAAAAGCTTAGAAGAGATTCAAGACCAGACTCCCATTAGGCAGTGGATATTGTGAAAGTCCTTCCCTAGACTGATAACTCAGCTTTTTCTTGTTATCAGTTTGAATAGACTTCAACATTTTTTAAAGAATTGACTTTACCTCTTCGGCACCTTCAGTTAATTACCCTCTGTGTATGATGACTTCTGGTATTAGTCAGATGTCCCCATATATAGGATCAGAAAAATATCTAGAACACATTGATGTAGTTGAATGTAACACTGCATTATTGTTATTTGCCATGAATCCAGTTGCTCACTGACAAACATTTAGTAAGCATCTCCATGTGCCAAGTACTGTTTTTGACTCAAAGAACAAGGACATTTCCAGAACTAATTTTGTTGGTTAACAAACTAAAGGGGACCCAGAGTAAAGGGTTTTCCCTTTCTCCTTCTCTTAGAACAAATTTATGTGAACTTTATAGCCCTGTCCCCCTAGAAGTCTCTCTCAGTCTCTTTATAAATTTTATAAAAAAGAAGTGCCTTCTGAAGAGTCTGCCTAAATTAAGGAGGTGGGTGTTTGTGTTGGTCCATTTATGTTGCTATAAAGGAATACCTGAGACTGGGTAATTTATAAAGAAAAGAGATTATTTGGCTCATGGTTCTGCAGGCTGTACAAGAAGCATGGTGCCAACATCTGCTTCTGGGGAGGGTGGCAGGAAGCTTCCACTCATGCAGGAAGACAAAGAAGGAGCAGGCATGTCACATGGTGAGAGAGGAAGCAGGAGAGAGAGGCAGAGGTGCTAGGCTCTTTTAAGCAACCAGATATCATATGAACTCAGGGGAAGGTACCAAGCCATTTATGAGAGATCTGCCCCCATGACCCAAACACCTCCTACAAGGTCCCACTTCCAACAATGGGAATCACATTTCAGCATGAGATTTGGAGAAGACAGACTGACAAACAATATCAGTGTTGATGACAGTGGCCAAGACCCTGGTATGTTTTCCAGTATCCTTTCCACTCTTTCCAGAACAATAGAAACACTCTTTTTATATTTACTTATATATTTGTTTGTTTGTTTTGAGACAGGTCTCACTCTGTTGCCCAGGCTAGAGTGCAGTGGCACGATCTTGGCTCACTGCCACCTCTGCCTCCCAGGTTTAAGCAATTCTTGTGCCTCAGCCTCCTGAGTAGCTGGGATTACAGGCATGTGCCACCATGCCTGGATAATTTTTGTATTTTTATTAGAGACTGGGTTTTGCCATGTTGACCAGGCTATTATCGAACTCCTGGCCTCAAGTGATCTGCCCTCCTGGGCCTCCCAGAATGCTGGGGATTACAGGCATGAGCCACCATGTCAGGCCTGAAACTCTGTTTTTAGATGGACACATTGTTTTCCAGAATAAAGACAGGCTCCATGGCAACCAGTATGGTCACATGACTGATGCAAAGTGTCACATAAGAGTTTCCTGCAGTTTTCCTTAAAGACAGGTGATACTCACTGCCCTTTCTCCAGCTTCTTCATCCCTTTTCCACCCTAATTCCTGAAATACAGATATTTTGCTGGAGCTCTAGCTTCCACCTTAGACTCTGAGAATGGGGGCCCAGTATTCGGGATGGTGGAATAATGAGCTATAAAGATGCTGAGAATTTTTTGGGGCAGAGCTCCTATAATCAGTCCTGGACTATCTCTTGGATTTTTATATGAGACAGAAAAACTTCTTTGTCTTCCTTAAGCTGTTATTTTATATTTAGCAAAATTGAATCTTTTGCTTTTTGTTTTTTAATAAAATTTTTAATTTTTATTTTTTGTGAGTACATAGTAGGTATATATATTTATGGGGTACAAGATATTTTGGCCGGGCACAGTGGCTCATTCCTGTAATCCCAGAACCTTGGGAGGCCGAGCCGGTGGATCATCTGAGGTCAGGAGTTCGAGACCAGCCTGACCAACATGGAGAAACCCCATCTCTACTAAAAAAATACAAAAATTAACCGGGCATGGTGGCACATGCCTGTAATCCCAGCTACTCGGGAGGCTGAAGCAGGAGAATTGCTTGAACCCAGGAGGCAGAGGTTGTGGTGAGCTGAGATTGCACCATTGCACTCTAGCCTGGGCAACAAGAGCGAAACTCTGTCTCAAAATAAAAAAAAAGATATTTTGATATAGGCATACAATGTGTAATAGTCACATTAGGGTAAGAGGTATACATTACCTCAAGCCGGTATCCTTTGTGTTACAAACATTCCAATATTACTGTTTTTGTTTTTTAAAATGTACAATAAATTATTGACTATAATCACCCATTGTCTATCAGTTACTAGATCTTATTCATTCTATTTTTGACCCCATTAATTATCCCCACTTTTCCTCAGCCCACCACTGCCCTAACCAGCCTCTGCTAACCATCATTCTACTCTCTATCTCCATGCGTTCAATTGTTTTAGTTTTTAGCTCCCACAAAAAAGTGAGAACATGTGAAGTTTGTTTTTCTGTGCTTGGATTACTTCACTTAACATAATGACTTCCAGTCCCATACATGTTGTTGCAAATGATAGGATCTCCTTCTTTTTTAATGGCTAAATAGTATTCCATTGTGTATATGTATCACATTTTCTTTATCATTCATCTGTTAGTGGACACTTAGGTTGCTTCCAAATCTTTACCCAAACCTAATCTTAAGTGGTATAATGACTCTAGGGAGATTTCATAACCCTTCTTGGAAGCTTATTATAGGGCTTGCTCATCCTTAAAATATTCCTTTTTAGTTTTAAAAAAGTATCTCTGATGTAATCTGTTCTGTTTTCTCTTTTCCAACTCTCTGAAAATGGAAAATAATTGATTGGCTTCTTTCTCATAATAAATCTTCATGGAATATAATATTTTTAATTCACATTAATTTTATAGCTTTTGTCAATCAGTGGGTTTAAAACTTTTTAAATTGGAAATATTCAGAGCTGGATTCTTTTTCTTCGTAAGAGATTTGTCTGTGCTAGGTTTGGGTTCTAATTTTGCCTGTGATTTGTTATTAGGGACTACAACAAGCTTGCTCTTAGCAAAATGAATAAACTACTGAACTGTGAAAGGAGGAAACATAGAATGCACTTATAATATCTGCGGAGAATTAATAGAAAATGGACTTTCTCTCTGTGTGTACATGTGTGTGAGAAAGAAAAAGAATGTCATCAAAGCAGAACACTTCATGTGTTTAATTGCTGCCCTGTTTCATGGCTTCCTGGGGAGCAGGAGGCACATCTCAATAGGGGAGCAATGTCGGCTTCCTCTAGTGCATGAAATTGGGGCCACTGTCTGAGGTGCCAGACTCATTTCTGCGCCAGCTGTCTTTATTCTTTGACTTAATTGGGAGACCGCAATCCCAGCAAAACAGTCACTAAAAGCAACCTTTAAGGGAAGTGTAATTAAATAAATATTAGGACTTTCCTCAGTTTTGTGCTCATATCTTCAGTAATGTACTGACTCATTTTTTAGGAATAACAGCTTTATTGACATGTAATTCACTTACCATACAAATCACTGCTGTTTGTTGTATGATTCACTGGTTTTTAGCATATTTACAAAGTTGTGTAACCATTACTAAAATCATTTTCAGATGTTTTCATAACTCCAGAAAGATACTGTCTTCTCATTAGTATCCACATGTCCCCCCAAGTTCCCTTCGCCCTCAGCCCTAAGCAATCATGAATCTACTCTCTGTTTCTAAGGATTTGTCTATCCTGGACATATACAAATGGAATTGTACAATATGTGGCCTTTTGTTACTGACTTCTTTATTTAGCATGATGTTTTTGAGGTTCATCCATGTTGTAGTATGTATCAGCACATCATTCTTTTTTATTCCTTTTAATATTTCATTGTATGATTATACCATATTTTCTTTGTCCATTCATCTCTTGATGAACATTTGAGTTGTTTCTGCTCTTTGGCTATTATGAAGAGGGCTGCTATGAACATTTTTGTACAAGTTTCTATGTGGACATGTTTTCCTTTTTCTTGGATATGTATACTTGGGAGTGGAATTGCCGTATGTGTGGGAGGCAGCAGAATAATGCTCCCAACCCCACTCTCTCCCAAAGATGTTCATTCCCTAGTCCTTGGAACCCATGAATATGTTAAGTCTCATGGTAAATGGACATGAAGTTAAGTGTGCAGATGAAATTAAGCTGCTAATCAACTCACCTTAAAATACAGAGATTATTCTAGATCATCTGAGTGTGCCCTTAGTGTAATCCAAAGTGTCCTTAAAAGATAGAAGATGGAGGCAGAAAGTGCCAGAGTCATGCACTGTGATTAATACTTGACCAGCCATTTTGGCTTTGAAGATGGAAGGAACCACAAGTCAAGGAACAGGGACACCCTCTAAAACAAGTTTGCCCAACCTGTGGCCCCTGAGCTGCACGTAGCCAAGGATGGCTTTGAATGTAGCCCAACACAAATTTGTAAACTTTCTTAAGACATTATAAGATTTGTGTGTGTGTGTGTGTGTGTGTGTGTGTGTGTGTTTAGCTCATCAGCTATCATTAGCGTTAGCATGTTTTATGTGTGGCCCAAGACAATTTTTCTTCCAGTCTGGCCCAGGGAAGTGAAAATATTGGACACCCTTGCTCTAGAAGCTGGAAGAAACAAGAAAATGGATTTTCCCCTAGAACCCCCGGAAGGAACATAGACCTGCTGAGACCTTGATTATAGCCTTTGGAGAATCACTTTGGACTTTTGACCACCAGAACTGTAATATAATAATTTTGTGTTGTTTTAATCAGCAAGTTTGCGGTAATTTGTTACAGCAGCAATTGGAAACAAATATACTGAATCACATGGGAACTCTATGTTTAACCTTTTGAGGAACTGTCAGAATGTTTCCTAAAGCGGCTGCCCCATTTTGCATTCCCACCAGCAGTCTATGAGGGTTCCAATTTCTCTACATGCTCACCAGCACTTGTTATTATCTGTCTTTTTGATTATAGCTATCCTAGTAGGTGTGAAGTGGTTTATCATTGTGGTTTTGATTTGCATTTATCTAATGGCTAATGATGCTGAGCTTCTTTTCATGTGCTTATTGGCCATTTGTATGTCTTCTTTGGAGAAATGTCTGTTCAGATCCTTTGCCCCCTTCATTGCACTGGAACATGGTGTGTGTGTGTGTGTGTGTGTGTGTGTGTGTGCATGCACATGTGTGTGATATTAGAGGGAGCAGGACCAATTCTGGGACAGTTCATGAAGAGCCTTGTATACCATGCACCAGGGATTTGGGATAAAATACTGAGAGTGATAAGGGAAGTCAATGACGGATATAAAGTCAGGCTTCCTGATCAATTCTGTATTTTAGGAAACATTCTGAGGAGCCAGTGGAGGATACGGAGGGCTGATGGAAGGAGGAGACAGAGGACTAGTGGCTGAGAGATATTGGGCCACTGGAGGGATGCAATCAAGAAATTACGAGGTTTGAAACCAGGGCTGTGGTGGTAGGGCAGAGAAGAGTTTACAGATTGAAGGATTTTAGGGGAGATAATCAAATCTACAGTATTTTGTTGGATGTGAGGGTTTAAGAGCAAAAGTAGCTTGAGAAAATCCTAGATATCTGGTTTGGGCCATTGAGTGGAAGGAGGTACATTTTATGGACATAGAGAGCCCTGGAGCAGGAACATTTGGGGGCAGGTAGGAAACCAACAATGGATTTAGTTTTAACCATGTTGACTTTGAGGTGTCTGTGAGGCATCCATGGGGAAATGGGTTGTTTGACATGAGTTTGAAATTAAGGAGAGAGGTCTGGGCTGGACAGACACATGTAGGCATCAATACCAGGTCAATTTAGCTGAAGCTGTGATGTGGCTGAGATTACCTGGGGAGACTGTGTAGTGTGAGAAGAAAAGAAAGTTAGGGATAGGAACATCTTTTGAGGAAACAGACACGAAAGAGGAACCAATGTAGGAGATGCAGAGAGGTTGGCAGAAGATTCTTTATCTGCTGAGGTTTGGCAGTCATAGAAACCAAGGCAACTCCAAATTTCCATTGTTTGCTCAAGTACCTAAAAACCAAGTTAACACATGCTTCAGTGGTCTCCAAAAGGTTCCCCCGTTCCAACCTTAAGCTAAAAAGAACTGTTTCCATTTTTAATGACTCTAAATTAGCTTAATCAATTTAAAACGTTCAAAGATAATGCTCTTTGATCTTGAAGTGCTTGAAAACTAAACATGGAATGTAGTGGAGGCTTTTGCTTATACTGACATTGACTCTGGGGCAAAGCAGAAGTCCACTTTTGTGTGAGAGTCTCTGTTTATATTCTCTTGGATGAGGCCTTCTAGCAGTTGTTATTGACTTATTTCCTTCATCCTTTCATATTCTAACATTTCTTAAATTGGGTTATGTTTTACAATCAAGTATTATTTAAATCAATGAGATATTTTAGAATTAAGAAAATAGAGCATTAAAGTTGAAATCTCATGTCATTTGTGAACATTTTTGCTTTTTCTATTTTGCATAGCTGCAGCTATTAACATTTAGCACACAGAGTAGAGTCACTTTAATTGGCAACTCATCTGCTGACTCTCACTTTTTTCTTCAAAGTGATTCTAGCCTCTGGCCTCACTAAACTCCTTGCTATTGCCATATCCATGCTGTGCAACTTGCCTGCATGCCCAGGGTGCTCCCTCTTCCAGTCCTGTCTCTCTCTTTTGTCTGCCTGGTCTTCCAGCCAAGACTCAGATCAAGTGTATCCTCTTGTGGTGTTCCACCTCCCACTCCAGCCCATTGGGTCCTCCTTCCTCTTCCCATATATTCCTCCATCATTTGTTTAGTAAATACTTATCTATCTATATGTCAAACTCGTTTGTCAACTCCTTGAGATTTTGTCTTGTTTATTTTTGTAAACCTGGTACTTAGCTCAGAGCCTTGCAGTCTAATAAATTAATAAATGTTTGTTGAATAAGTAAACTATTTTTGTTATTCTCTTATACACAGCTCATTGATTGTTCAGTATCAAAGAGTAGTAGTTTGTAACTCTTAATTAAGTCAGAAAAATGAACAAATGCTGATAATATGTTCTTAGCACTACCTTAGGATTTTCTTCATACTAGTTGTCTTATGATGCAGAATACACACGGTGATTTGAATTCTGTGAATTAGTCACAGATTTATTTAGCTAACTGGTTGGGAATGTGTATATATATATTTATATAAATTAAATTATATAATTATAACAGTACTGGTATTAAGAATATACAAAGTTATTTGAGTTGTTCTAGACAGAGAAGATAAAATATACTTTCCAATTAACACATATCACCCATCCTTGTGTGAACCTCGCAGCTTTAGGTAGTAGAACAACTTAGAGAAAAAAACTGTTGTACTCATGCCAACTCAGAGGCAGAGGCTGTCCTGTTTGGGACAGGCTTCCTCCAATTTCCCAGCTTGGAAAGGAGAGACAGGGACTGAGGAATGGGTGAATGTTGGCCTTGAGGTTGCGATTTAAAATCTTCAGATTGGAACTGTAAAGACAGATAACCAGGCGTTCAGGTGGGTGGGAACAATACCAATAAAGTGAAATCAATAAACATAAGTGTTTATAACAGAGAAAGTAGTCAAAAACAAATTAGATCATATAGATATGGTTTAGCTGTTTCTACTTTAATTTTAAACCATAGTCTGTTAAGCAACTAATGGTCTCAAGTCCTTTCTGGATGTGTCCCCAAGCCCACCCTTTGTTCCTGAGATGACTCACTTTTCCCTGTAGATCCTGCAACCTCACTCTACAGGGCTTTCCTAGATTTGACCTCAGAGCATTGTGAGCTCCTTGTGTCCTGCGCACACATTGCCCCCATGGAACTTTGGCATTCTTTGTGACCTCATGGCTTTCTTACTCTCACCAAGTTCTTTCCCTGATCCATTCTGATGCCCGAGTCCAAGTGGCTTTTCCAGCGACACATCTTTGGTCTTTGTTCTCAGTGTTGGGGGTTGCGTTGTGAGGTGTTGTCTCTTCATGAGAAGGCAGTGTGACGTAGTGATCACATCCCAGGCTCTGGAGTTCAACTGCTTCTGTCTGAATGCCAGCTCCACTGCTTCTTATTTCTAGAACTTTGGGTAATTAACCTTTCAGTGCCTCAATTTCCTTATTTTTAAAATGGGATAGAATAGTACCTAACTCATTGAGTTCTTGCAAATATCACATGATACGCATACTTAGACAATAAGTATTCACTAAATTCTGGCTAGTAGTATCATTCTTTCTAATGTTAGCACACTAAATCTACTTACATTCCAGCTACTCCAGCATGGACATACCGTTCCACATACACTGTGACGGGGAGGACAGTTTTGCTGTACTGTAAACTCATCCAAGCCAAAGAGCCTCTGCCCTGAAGTTCACACTGTGGTGAAAGCAGTAGTTTGTTTCCAGGGCTTTGCCTGTGAGGTGTGCCAATGTCTCCTGAAACTCTTATTGATTCTCTTGGTGCTTTATAACAACGGCAGGTTTTTTTATTTTATTGGAGCAGAGGAAAATCACACTTTTCTGATTACTTGTCCTGCTCCCTGAGTGAATCAAAAGAAACCACGTCTGGCACCTTTGATCTCTGCTGGTAAAGCTGCTCTCTCAGCCAGTGATGCTGATTCTTTGACCCCTTGGCAATCCCTGTTGGCGGCCCCTCCAGCTGGCAGAGGGCCAACTCAGTGCTTGTGCTAATCCCCAAAGAACCAGGAAGGAAACCTGAGCAGCATCCTAAGTAGCACTGGCCTCAGGCAGCAGTCAATGTATGTGCCCCATCAGCCCCTCCACGCAGTGTCTTTTCCTCTCTTTTGGTTCTCCTTCCTAGACAACATGTTAGTGTCAACGAGATGCATGTCAGTCAGGCCATGAGCCGGAGGCCTTTCCTCCTGCCTTTCCCACACAGACACCTACCTGTCCTAGTTAAGATGGTTCTGTCAGCTTGCTGTCGGGGCTGGAAAGCAACCACAGCATTTTCTCTCCCACCTCTGGGTATTAAGGGCTGAAAAACAACTTCAGGAATATTTGTATTTTAACAACAGACTTTTAGAAATAGAAAAATTAATCCCTAAAGATGACATTTTCACCACCAGGCTAGCTAGGGGTGGAAAGTTGTCTATTTCATAAACAAATTAAGTCACACATTTATTATACCATCTCCCAATACCACTTCAGTTGAGATAATCCATGTTGACAGCCTAGGATGTAGCCTTCCACATATTTCTCTGTGTACCCATAGGGACATGCCACAATTTATCCTAATGATGGACATTCAGATTGTTTTCATTTGAGAGTCACTGTCAACAACCCTTCAACAAACACATTTGAACACACAACTTTATACATTGATTCTTTTATTTGTAGGATAGTTTTACAAAAGTAGGATTGTGCAAGGTACATGCATTTAATATTAGATTGGTGCAAAAGTGATTGTGTTTTTTTCCATTAAAAGTAATGACAAAAACCACAATTGCACCAATCTAATAGATACTGCCAACCTACCTTTCAGATATCTGTAGCAATCTACCTGTCCACTGTAAAATAAAAATAAAATTCTAAGCTCCCCAACTGACTGAATGGACCTTCTTTGGCCAAGGGGACCCCAGAGTAACCTTGAAAACTGAGTTCTTGGCCACAGTGGGATAGAAGAAGATGGGGCATGCTTCCTTATGCCCTCTCCTTCATTAACTTCTATTAGACTTTCTTCTCTAAGGGTTCAACAGAAACTAACTCTTTCAAAAGACTCCACACTGATATCAACTAACAACCTCATGCCGCCCCTCCTTTTTTGCCTGATAAGAGACCACTGACCATGGAGTGGCTCTGGCCAGTCTGGAGAGGGCACAGTAAAGCCCTACATGTACTCTGCTTCACCTTTTGACAGCAGAGGGCTGAAAACTCCACCCTTAGATCATGCTAATGCTGCTATTTTTGTCACATGAGACCCATGAAAGGGCATGAAGCTCAACTGCATGTGCGTACATTTCTCCTTTCATATATATTCATGCTCCTCCTATAGCTTGTTGAATATGTATATTTGAGCACATTGTTTAGCATAAATTCCTGTTCCTTTTTTCCCCTCCCTTGAAGTATCTGTTTTTAGCATAGCCTCCAGCCTGTCAAAATGGCACCCTGAAGGCTTCAACCCTTTGTGAGAAATAAAGCTCCCCTTTGCAAATGTATGAACCTCGTCATTCTTCAGTGGACACCACCCAAAACATATAAGGATGCTTATATCTTCATACCTTTTAATACTTGATCATATTATTATTATTGTTATTCTGCCAAGCAGTGGTGGAAAGTTTTTTGCATTTTTCCCCATTTCATTAGGATACACTGTGTCAGTGGTCAGGGTTCTTCCTTGGAGGCTGACTCTGATGGCATCTTTGGGACTGTTTTCAGGCCCCCTCTGGCTTCTGTTTACTCCAGGCAAGAGCTGAAGAAGCAGCTTCAATGAGCAGGTTGGATTTTAATCATAGGAGCTGATGTGTGCTGTATGAATTTAAAATAATCAAAAAGATGGGTTTCAAGCAAATGGCATTTGAAAAGGTTACATTAATGTAGAGGAAAGAATAGCTAATGTGTGTTCACAGTTGCTAGGGGCATTGTGGCTTTGCCCAGCTCTGCAATGGTCACCTTGCTGTGCCCTGCACACTGCACAACATGCAGGAGCCCCCTGTAGGTGGGGAGGACCTTCTACTCAGCTATCCATATTTCTCAGTGGTCCCCCTTTCCTGAGGTTTTCTGTGACTTTTAAGCACCCCTGGGGTCCTGTCTTTACTCCAGTTGGAAATCTCTCAACCTTGTTCCAGAAGTGGACCCCTTTTCAGTGTGCTTTGCTGAGTTGTGAATGGGTTTTTCTAGAAGTGACTTTCCATTTCTACTTCTAGCCTTCACTGTCAATTCCCTCATCTGCTGCCCTGCTCCAGCTTGCCCAGATGGCATGTCTCTCGGATAAGAATTTCAGCACAATCCTGGGGAGTTATTTGTTGTGGATTGAAGCTTTCCTCTGAGGCATAAGCTTGCTTTTGTTTCCCTCTCCTGGCACACTGTCCTTCTCATCCTGCATGCTATGAAATAGGCATCCCAGAGCAGTGCGTGCTCACACCCTCTTAGGGGTTCTTCCCCCATAACGGCAGTGAATGTGATGTGAGAGACAGGGCTCTGAGGTAAGAGGATCTGCTTGACTCACTTAGACCTGTTGCTGCACTTATGGTGGACTCAGAGAACCATCCAACCCTGAACCAGCTGGATTACTTTTCAGAAATGTTATAGTAATGCATTTGGAAAAGCATATGCCATAAAAATGATGCCTCATCCATGAAGCACTGGGTACTGGGCACAGGACTACTCCTTCTGGGTCTCCACCAAGCTTCTCATCCACTGATTGGCAAAAATCAGTGAGATGTGATAGCACCTGCTGCAGGCAGGAATTTTTGGGGAAAAGGCTCTACAAATATTGCTGGCGGAAATGAGAAATCAATATCACAGATATAAAAACACCAGAAAATAAGCATATTTATATACAATTTTTTTTGTTTATAATGGCAAAAACCCATGAACAAGGCGAGTGCCCATTTGTAGGACAAAGGCTGAATAAATTGTAATATATTCACACTGTGGAATAGGGAGATTTTTCCCATTATGTAATGCATATATATAAAATAAAATTATATTTTTACAAAATAATAATACCATATGTCTGTAAATACAATGTAAATGTTTATATATGATGAAATAATGATAATGGAGAAAGGTATATTCACATTATATATATAAGAAGATGGTATCCACAAAGAACAGCATGTGTAAATGATAGGCCACTTACATAAAATTAAGTATATAAGTGTATATATTCACAGAGACATGTATGAAAAAGTGAAGACCAGAATATTTACCATGCTTTTCTTAAGATGGTGGGATTTCAGGTAATTTTTCTTTCTTCCTATACTTCTCTAAACCTTTTTTCTTTTTTTGAAACAGACTCTTACTCTGTTGCCCAGACTGGAGTGCAGTGATCGTGGCTCACTGAGGCCCTGGCCTCCTGGTCTCAAGTGATCCTCGTATCTCAGCCTCCCAAGTAGCTGGGACTATAGGCATGTGCCACCAAGCCTGGATAATTTTTCTTTATTTTTTATAGGGACAGGGTCTCCCTGTGTTGCCTAGGCTGGTCTCAAATTCCTGGACTCAAGTAGTCCTCCCACTTTGGCCTCCCAAAGTGCTGGGATTACAGGCATGAGCCACCACATCCAGCCTGAACCATTGTAACAGTAAACATGTATTAGTTTAAAAAAAAATCAGGAAGAAACTAAAACTGTTTTCATTGTGAAAAAGCAGAGGGGTAGAGGGATAAAATGTTGAGCTTGTGGATATGTAGCTCAGCATCTTGTTTCTGGGTTCCCCTCAAACTTGGAATCCAACTAGGATCCTACATAACTAGTAAGCATGGAGCTAGTGGAAATATGCTTCCCAATGTTCATTTGCTTTTTCATTTTTTTCCAGTTAACAAATACATATTTAGTGTTCATGGTTACCAGATACTGTTCTAGGCATTGGGGCTATAGTGGTAAAAATATCTGATGAGATCCCTACCTTCATAAAACTTACAGTTTAGTGGAGATTGGCAGAGATAGTTGACTAATCCTCAATATAATAATTGCTACAAACAAGAAATAATCAGTATGATGAGAACTGAAGCCAGGCAGGCCTGATGTGCATTGGTGGTTCTGGTGGTGAGGGAGGGTTTCTTGGAAGAAGACCTAAAAAGTGAGGTAAACTTAGTGAGGATGAGGTAGAGGGCAGAAGGAACGGTTGTTTGGGGGTCTGGGAAGCCTCCTTTGTTACTCAGTTTGCATTACTATAAAATACTACCTCAGACTAGGTAATTTAAAAAGAAAAGAGGTTTATTTGGCTCACAGTTCTGCAGGCTATACATGAAGCATTGTGCCAGCATCTGCTTCTGGCCTCAGGAAGCTTGCAGTCATGGCAGAAGGCGAAGGGGAGCCAGACAGCATGTCACATGGCGAGACACAGAGCAAGAGGGAGAGAAGGAAGTGCCAGGCTCTTTTAAACAACCAATTCTTGTGTGAACCACCAGAGTGAGAACTCATTCATTACCATGGGGATGGCACCGGGCCATTCATAAGGGATCCACCCCCATGACTCAAACATCTCCTACTAGGCCCCACTTCTAACAATGGAGGCCACATTTCAACATGAGATTTGGAGAGGACATGCATCCAAACCATATCAGCCACCCAGGCAGAGGAGAACTTTGAAGTTTTAGGGATTCAAGTGAAGGCCCATGGGGCTGCTACTCTCCCTTGTCCGTAGGATAGCAGTACTCTAGGGGGCACCATTCACATTCAAAGTCATAGACTTGTCATCTATTGTAAGGAGCAGGAAGGGACAGCTTTCCTAATTCTCACAGTCTAGCGGTGGGCAGGCTAGACTTTTGGTTTTTCCCTTTACAAACAATGGGAAGGCAATGGAAGTTTCAAGAAGGGGAGTGATGTTCCTAACTGCTGTTAAAATTGTTGGTCTGGTTGTGGTGTGGAGAATGTGTTAGATGGGCTGGAGGAGCAGTGTGGGGAGACCAGCGAGGAGCTGCAGCAGTGGAGGTGAGGGTGACAGGCCAGAGTGGTGCTAGTGGGGATGGAGAGAAGCAGCTGCATTATGCATTTATTCTGTAGGTAGAGTTGACAGGACTAAATATTGCATTGGATGTGGGGCCAAGTGATAAGAAGGTGGCAAGGATTCCCATGTTTCTAACATGAGCAACCAGGGGGATGGAGGTATCATTTTCTGAGATGGATAATATTGGAGGAGGAAGAGTTTTGGGAAAGGTCAAATGCTTAGGTTGGACATGTTAAGTCCAAGATGATTGTGAGAGTCCAAAGTAAAGAAGTCAAGTGGGCATATGGATATCTGGTTGGCTTATGGATATTTGGGTCTATAGCTCAGATAAGAGGTAAAGTGGAACAATACACATGAAAGTTATTAAAATTTCACCTAAAATAGTCTAGAGAAGAGGATAGCATGAGAAGGGTCAAGACTGGGGCCTGAAGAAGGAAGAGAAGCCAGCAAAAAATACTGAGAAATAGCCAAAGCAGTAGCAGGGAAACCAGAAGAGCGTACTCTGGACATAAGTGTTGCTGGAAGTTTCTAATGTCCAACTGGGAACAGACCAAGGCCTTCGAATGATCTGGTTAAGGTCATCCCATAGGCTAAAGGTAAATGCTACCATCCTTGAGTCCTCATTGCCATCCCATAGGCCTAGCCCTCAGTGTTAGTGACTGATGTGCCTTGACTGTGGCTTTTATGGTGTTTCCAACAGCTACTTATCAGGGAAAAATCACGGTTGGACAGTCAAGGAGCTACATTTTCTGATTTCATTAATTTTACTGATGGAAAGAAGTTAAGCTGATAAAATTATTTTAAGAACTATTAATTGTTTAGGTTTTGGTGTTCTTTATATTTCTTAGAAAGTCAGAGAATAAAAAGGAGATTTACTTTGAAGAGTTAAAAGAGCTTAAAGTTTACATGATTTTTTAAAATTTGTTTTCTTAAAGGAAGGGTAAGTAAAATCTGACACTGAGAAAACATTATTTTGTGGTTGCTCAGTAACTACTGTGATGCCTTTTATGACTTAGAAATAAGTCTCACTAATTTATAGTTTCATGATGATCAGCAAAATAAAGCTCACAAATAATAATGCTTTGTGATATTATAGTTATTTAACACCTGTAATGAGTGAGGCAGTGTTTGGCACTTTTTATATATCTCATTTAATACGACAGCTCTAAAAGGTAAATTTTATCATTTTCATTCTGAAGATGAAAGAAGTAAGAGTCTATGCAAAGTGTCTAAGTAGTAGACCTCAACACATAGCAGCTTAAAGCAACAGTTATTATCTCATAATTTCTGTAGATCAGGAATTTAGGAACAGCTTAGCTGGGTATTTCTGGGTCAAGGTGTCTCATAAGGTTGCATCAAGATGTTGGCCAGAGCTGTGGCCACCTGAAGGCATGAGTGGGGCTGGAGGATCCACTTCCAAGTTGGTGCATTCACATGGCTGTTGGCAGGAGGCCCCAGTTCCTTACCACATGAGCCTCTTCATAGGACTGCTTGGGTTTCCTCAAGACGTGTCATTTGGCTTTCCCCAGAGCAAGTGATTCAAAAGAGATGAGGACAGAAGTAGCAATGCCTTTTGTGACCTAGCCTTGGAAATCTCACAGACATTTCTGTCATGTCCTATTGTTTACACATATCGACTTCATTGACTATGGGAGAGGCCCACACAGGGATGTGAAGATCATTGACCATCTTAGAGGCTGATGAAGAGGGGCTTACAATATTTGCTTTTGCCAGAACTCTTAACAGTTAGCAAAAATAGCTTTTCTTTCTGTTACATAAGACTTACATAATCTTATCTGGAAACAAGGAAGGTGTAGATAACTTTTCCAGGTTCCTTCCATCCATATGAGTATATAAAATCTATTTGGTGTTGTAGATTACCTTCTTACCCCTATTACAAAATTTCAGAGTTCTTTACTGGAAAAATAATTTAAAGAGTTGCAGCATGTCACTGATCTTTGCATATATGCTCACTTTTGTTTCCTTACTTAGGGTAATATTAAAATTTATTGGCTAATATTTATCATCCAGTGATCAGTCTTTTGTTGTGGTATTTGCATACTTAAGCCTTTATAAGAATAACACCAAGGGCAAGACTAATGGAAACTGTGGCTTAATGAAAATGAACAGATTTATATTTTATATTATTTGCTTCATCCACATTGAGTCAGTGACATTGATTGCACTGTGAAAGCCAATATTTTACAAACTGAGAAAGTAGAAAATCGATCTTTCCCAGGATAGAAAATTCTTTCCCTTGCATTTTGTTTTATAATGAGAAAATAAGAGGTCACATCTCCTCATTGATCTTACTGCATTAAACAGGCTAATAGCATTTTCAAAATTGCATTATTTTGAACCAGCAGGAAAATTACATGGTAAATAACTCAATGTTATTCAAATCAACTAATATTAGAGTAAAAATGCAGGAATTGGAAACTGATTATTCATGAAATGCTAAAATGTTAGGCGAATTCTCTGCGTATCTGTGTCACTGTGGCCATCACCATCATGAATCTTGGATGCTTAGAAAATGTTACAAAGCAAAGAAACCTTTTGTCCAGTTTTCAGCAACGTGACTAATGAAGATTCAGGCACAGAAAGTCTCCGTTGCTTAAAGTCACTGGGAAATGCTTATACAAAATAGCGCTTAGCATGGGGAGAGAAATGGAACTGAAATAAGTCTCCCTGTTGTTTTGCTCTCTATTTCTGCCCTCTTCTCTTCCACTCTCTCCATGTTTACTTGAGGGAGGGCTGAAGAAGAAAAGAGAGAAAAGCAAGTATTAGGATTTGCTTTCCAAAAGGTGTTGTTTCTGCCCACCCACATGCACTTCATTACAGACAAGTACTTCCAAAATCATGTTACATCTGCAAAGCCCTTACATACACTTTGCCAGTTTAGTTCTTACCTCAAAAGGAATCATAGATACTCTGCTAGAATTATATATATTACTACAGATATTATTCTGGGTCTAGAATCATAGATATTCTGGGTCTAGGCCAGAGTGTCTTAGTTATCAAGTTCCTTCCATGCTACCATTGTGCCAATCTGTTATTTTGTTTACTTTGCCCCTCTCCCTCCTTCCTACAGAGCTCTAGGCTCCCAGCATTCTGTTTGAGCATTTATTCCATTCTCTTATTGAGCTGGCTGGCTCTCATGGCCTGTGAGCTATAACTCATCCTTTCAGGTCAGAGCAAGGTTAAGTGTTCTATTCTTGACCTTGCTGTGACCTTCGATGATCCATCACTTCCTTCCAGAGCCTTCCCTGTCTTGGCCAGCTATCTCCTGCCTCGTCCTGGATCTGGCTACCCCCAGCTCTTGCCCTATCTGCTATTCTGGCTCTCCCAGCTCCTCACTGCGCAAACACTCCTCTCCTGCTGGCCTTCTCCTTCCTTGCAGGGACAGGAGAAAGTGGTGAAGGACACACAGGAGGTCTGCTCTAGAGCAATTTAACCTCCTCAGTAGTGGGAGAGTGTCCCAAATCTGTTAGAAGAATTGGAATGCCATTTCTAGCTCCTTACCCTCAGGCCTCTCCTTTTTCTCCTGCCTTGCCTACTAAATTCAGCTATAGAAAAATGAATGATATTTTCAGCTTTTAATTAATGTCATTGTCAGATTGTGTCAGATCATAAGGAGTAAGAAGCTTTCATTTCCAAAATCTTATTTCTCCAGTTCACATCAGCTATGCTAGGTCCCAGTGGACTGAAGCACGATCAGGCTCACTTTCCTTTCTTAGTCCTCTAATTATCGTACCCTTGGGGTCTTTGGAAATATTTCCAACATATTTTTTCCTTTCAGACTGCATAATTATAGTTACTGGGACAGAGGGAGTAGAATAGAGTGCATGAGTATTCCCTGTACGTTCACTAGACTAATTACAGTGTAGCATGATGTATCATTGTTGAATACATCTCTCTAAGCAGCTCTGACACTGTGTGTTGGCAATGGGAAGATAGTAAACATTCAGCTTGTTGGTTGAAGGTAGTTCTCATCAGTAGGTATAGTTATAAAAGTGAGTACACAGGAAAAAATGATGATGCTGTTAAGTTATATTAAACTTCAGGTTTTAATTTATTCATCTATTTAGGTCTTTATGAAGCAACCCCTAGATATAAAACCATGTCTGGTGCTAATGAGGGTTGACAGAGTTTTCAGATAAGGTTCTTTTCAGGCTCCTTAATCTTACAATATGCAAGGGGAGAAATAACCCATGAAGCCTAAGTGCAATGTGAATGGTGCAGAAGATATGGACCCTGCCTTTTGCATGAGTAATTTAATATAGGCAAGGGCCTGTTGGTAAGATAGCCTGTGTAGTAGATATTTAAGACAGTGAGCTGTTGCACGTCCACTCCATCAAGCGTGGCTTGTTTGGATGCTGGTCCAAAGGGAGCATGCTTAACAATGGGTAGAGTTAGGTAAAACTTTTCCTTCTTTTCTCTGGAAGTTTTCTCCATATACCTATAGAAAGGGAAGTAGGGAAGTGGAACCTGTTGCTATTAAAGGGTTTCAACACTGTCACAGCTAAGTAGGGCTGATGATTTCAAGGCTCTTGCTATAGCTTTTCAGAGAATAATGTGCTTCTCAAGGAGGTTAATAGACCTAATATGAGCAACCAGAGAGAAAGCATCTTGTGAAGCCGTGAAAGTTTTCCAGTTGATTTATATGGAAAAAATTCAAGTCACTGAAAATATAAGGAGGAGAGTTATCAATTCAGATTCTGACTGTGTTTTTCTTCTTACTTTATGGCTCCGTATCTATGTTGCTGTGTGTTGAGAGACGTGAATGACTAATTTCAGGGGCTTTGTGAATTCCATGAGAGAGCCCCAAGGATGGGGCAGACTTGACTGTGGTCGCTGAAATAGTTTTGTTTTGATCGTGCTGTACAGTTTGCCTTACCCTTTGGGATACCATTATTGCTAAAAGATATGCGCATTTGTTGTAGACTCACCTAAAATCCATTGTGTGGCCTCACAGGAGCTGACTGGATGAAGCTATTGTTGGAGTCTCTTTATATATTCTTATATATTACAGAAGTGAATCTTGCTAATATTTTATCTGCATTATTCTTTGGGAACAAGTATTCTGAGAAGAAACATCCATAGGGGATATATATTTCTTAAGATGCTTTTCATTCAAAGTAATTATTTAATATTCACCATGAATTTTAATGAACTTACTACATAGCTTCTTCCTGTTAATTCAACTCCTGCTTAGTTTGAACTTTCTGCATCATTTCAGAAAAAATCCTCTGGAATCAAATTAATTGTAGCTAAAATAACATGATTTTCTCATGCCAATAGCAATCAGCTTAAACTGAGTTGGGCAGGTATTAGTTTAATCATAAGTTACAGCAAACTGACACTTCTTTAGTGAGGAAGAGGCTCAAACTTTTAGACTGGCAGGAAGAGCAAATTGTACTGAACACTGCCAGGCATAGCCCTATGGCTGCAAGCTGGTTTTCCCCTACATTCTTTGGCCATAATTCTTCTGATACCAGTAGCAAAAATCCTCAAATCAAAAAACTTCTTATCACTCTGTCAACACTGACTCTCTGGTCACTTGGAAAATGTATCTGCATAGATTAAAGAACAATATTGTTAAAAAATCAAAGTAAGATAGAATCCTTTTTAGAGCTATTTAGAACTTTTTAGAACTATTTGCTTTGGAAGTGTGAACTATGAAACTCAGTTGTTTAATGTTGGTTCCCCACCCGCCGTCATACTCCCTGCTCCACAGAGCTTAACAGTGCCTTTTTTTGAACTCTCCAGGTATCATTTGACTTCTCTACGCTGAGGAGTTCTGTATTCCTATCTTGTCTTTCCCTCGCTCTCTCTCTTGCTCTCTCTCTTACTCTTTCTAATTCTCTTTGGAGGTTTTGCTTGGGCAGCAGCTGTAAGGACTCAGAGAAAAACATGAATTTGACCTTTAGATTTCCAGGATTATCCCATTCCATCACGATGCTGCAACGTTAGTTAGTAGGTGTGCGGGTAGCCAGGGGTTATATCTTAAAGGGTGTTGTATGATGTTGAGAAGTTTAAACTTGTTTTATTTTAACGGCAGTAGGGAACCATTGAATCCCTTTAGTGAAATCAATCAAGTTACTTTTGTACCTCTGCTATTCTTCAATATGGATTTAAGTGTCAGTCTCACAAATAATGAATATTCTCTGGCAATATTTATGTATTTATTTACAAATAATGAATACATAACCAACTCTTTTCAAAAATAAGTGTCATAGTGAAACTACATTTGAATTATACCTAAACAAATAGAGCAGTGCCCTCAGATATTCAGGAATGCTTTCACTGCTTTCTAGTGATGGTGGCAAAAAATGGAATAGTTTTTTTCCGTCTTGATTAAAATTTTTAGTTGCTCATCCTGTGAGCCTAAATGCACAAGGGCGCTTGCTGGCTACCTACTGGGAACATGTCTTGGATTGATTAATGTTTTTCAAAGCTTTTTTTTTTTTTTTGAGACAGAATCCTGCTCTGTTACCAAGGCTGGAGTCCAGTGTTGTGATCATAGCTCACTGTAGCCTCCAACTCCTAGACTCAGGTGATCCTACTGCCTCTGCCTCCTAAGAGGCTGGGACTACAGGTGCATGCCACCACACCAGGCTAAGCTTTCTTATTTTTAATTTTTATTTTTGGTAGAAATGAGGTCTTGCTATGTTGACCAGGTGGGTCTTGAACTCCTGGCCTCAAGCAATCCTCCTGCCTTGGCTTCCCAAAATGCTGGGATTACAGGTGTGAGCCACCACACCTGGCTGGTTGTTGTCTTTTATTAAACAAGTAACCAAGCATAGTTAGAATCATTGTTTTATTATTTGTAACATATCCTTGGTCAGATAACATTTTAGAAAACTCTTTCCATAATGATGAAATAATCTCATGGTTGTTTCAAGATGTCTAGCTAATTGGATTTAAAACACTATCAGCCAGTTATCATTACTTTGAGATTTTTACTTTTTCTTAATGAAACAATGCCAAGGTCATTGATATCTTTTTTGATTTTCATAACCTTGTGTGGTTTTTAATTCATATTGGCATTCTATTAAGGCATGTCATGTTTGTGTGCTACTGCAGGAATTCTGTTAGACATTTTATTTTGTTATTGCTTTTTAAAAATATTTTTCATTGACAAAAATGGTATATATCTGTGTTGTACAACATGTATTTTGAAATAGGTGTATAATGTGGAGTGGCTAAATCAAGCTAATTGACATGTGCATTATCTCGTATTTTTATTTGTGCTGAGAACACTTAAAATCTACATTTTAAAGCAATTGTAAATATATAATATATTGCTTACTGTAGTCACCATATTGTACAGTAGACCTCTTGAACTTATTTCTCCTAACAGAAAGTTTGTGTCCTTTGACCAGTATCTCTCCAACGCTTCGTCCTACTGGCAGCCCATTCTACACTCTGCTTCTATGATTCTGGATGTTTTAGATTCCACCTGTAAATGTGATCATGTGGTCTTTGTCTTTCTGTGCCTAGCTTATTTCATGTAATATAATCTCCTCCAGGTTCATCTGTGTTATTGCAAATGACAGGATTTCCTCCTTTTCTTAAGGCTGCAGTATTCTGTTGTGTATATATGCCATTCGTCCATTTATCCATTCATCCTTTGACAGACACAGGTTGATTCCACATCTTGGTGATCGGGAATAATGCTGCAATGGACATGGGAGTGTAGATATCTCTTTTAGATACTGATTTCATTTCCTTTGGATATATACCCAGTAGTGGGATTGCTGAATCATGGGATAGTTCTCTTGTTACTTTTTTGAGGAACCTCCCTGGTGTTTGTCATAATGGCTGTATTAATTTACATTTTCTGTGTGGTATATTGAACGTTTTATAGTAGACTTGATAGATTCTATAAGCAGGACCTATCTGGAGAAGGGATATCCTTAATCTGAGATGTTTCATGTTTGCTTTGAGTCAAGGTTGAACATTCTTGGAAAAGCAGGCCTCACAGTGGTTCCTGCCCTCTCTGCTAGAGAGAAAGAAAGGCTTTTGTGAAGTCACTGAATCCAGATGACAGCAAGGAGGAGAGAGACAACTTGTGTCTCTACAGGCCTGAAGAAGAGCACTGAGTTTGCCACAGTTGCCCAAACTTCATGGTCCCGGGGCACCCGTTCTGACCACATGAGACAATCTGATGTGATTCTGCCAGAGGAGCACCACTCAAGGGGCCTTCACAGGGCAAACCTGGGTGATTCTCCCATGGGAGACCTCAGTGTTCCATTTGGAAACTGGGGCCAGTCAGTCCTACCATGTCACATTCCTGGCTGCTTCCCAAGGCCCTCTGTCTCCCTTCTGAGCTGTCCCCTTCTGTCTCCTCTACACACAGCTCCATGTTTCTTTTCCTCTGGCCAAACCTCTCTCTTTTTCTGTCTTTCAGACCTTTTCTTGGTTCCCTCTGAAACCATGTAAATAATAGTAACAGTAACATATAACACTTAAACAGCACATACTATTCACAAGAAGCAGTTCTAAGCACTGTACATATATTACTGTATTGACTAATTTAGCCCTCACAATGCCTCTTGCACATAGACTTTGTTATTATGTTCACATTATAGATGATGACACTGAAGCACAAAGAAGGTAATTTACCCATAACCACATAGCTGGTAAGTGACAGAGCTGGGTATTGAGTCTGGGAGTTGGGTTTCAGGATCTATGTCCTTAGTTATTAAAATATTCTGCATCTCCCTAGGATAAAAATTTCGCTACAAACTTAACCTTTCTCAGAATGATCTGTCAGCCATATTGTCTTTTATTGGCTCACAAAAGTGCAACCAAGTACTAATGTGTGCTTGGCCAGCCACTTGGAACACTTCTATAGCCAGGCAATATAACCTACCACAGAAAAACAACCCCCACAGACTATGAGCTCATAATTGAATATTAGGAACCATCTGAGAAAAACTAGAAAGGAGAGCAAGCTGACCCAACAGGTGGCAAAATTAATTCTTCTAGAAGTAGATACAACAGAATAATCTGAAAGAAACCATAAGCATTTAAAAAATGATTACAGATTAACGAAGGAATGGAAGCCATAGTAAACTAACTGAATACTAGGAATAAAGAATAGGCCATTTGAAGTAGACGCAAATACAAATTTTAAATAAAAGAGGGGATGATATGATTACTTCCAGATGAATTGAGAATGGATTAAAAATTGAAGGTAAACCTGAGAAATATCACCCAGTTTTCAGAAGAGGGTGAATTGATGGAAAATAAGAATGAGTGGTTAAGAGATATAATCAATAGAATGAGGTCTGACATAAGTCTAATAAGAAATCCAGAAAAAGAGAATGAAGAGAAAGAGGCAGGATAAAATTCAAAGAGGCAATGGATGAAAATTTTCTAGAAATAGAAAGACATAAATCCTAGGATAGAGGTAACATGCACAGTTGCAAACATTTTAGTGAGGCTGCAGAACTTTTAGCACTTGGGGAAACCAACTTTCTCACATGCCATGGTTGCAAACATTTTAGTGAGGCTGCAGAACTTTTAGTGAGCATTTGGGGACACCAACTTTCTCACATGCCATTTGTGGAGAGTCCTTTGGTAATATATATTAAAAATGTGCAAGCTGTTTAACCCAGAAATTCTGCTTCTAGTAATTTATCCTCAGTAAATATTCAGTTCAATTCCCAAAGATTATATATATATATAAGGATGTTGATGTCAGCATTGTATAATAATGAAATATTGGAAACAGTTTATAAAACCCATCAATATAAAATAGATAAAATGAATTAGGGCATGACCATGAAGGCACTGTTGCCTTTATGTAGCTATTAAAATGATGATAAAAGACATCAAACCGTAGTCCTAACCAAGGTGTGTGCGTACACACACACACCCCTAGACACATCATATTTAACTACCTAGACACATCATATTTAAACTGCTATAAACCAAAGAAAGAAAATCTTGAAGGAAGGTAGAGAAAAGAAAAGACACATTATACGCAGAGAAGCAAAGGTAAGAGTCAGTAAACTTACTATCAGAAATTGTGTAATCCAGAAGACAATGGAGTGATATCTTTCAACTGCTGGGTGAAGAAACCCTCTCAACTCAGAGTATTATCCTCAGCAAAAATACTCTTTCAAAAATGAAGAAAAAAGAAAGACATTTTTCAGACAACCAAAAAGAGGGAATTCATTACTAGCAGACCTGTACTGCAAGAAATGCTCAGGGACATTCCTTAGGTGGAAAGAATGTGATACCAGACAGAAACTTGTGTCTACACAAAGAAATAAAGATCTCCAGAAATGATTGAAATGGAGGTAACTATAAAAGATTTTTTCTTATTTTTAATTACTCTAAACGTTAAATGACTACTGAAAGAAGAAATTGTAGCAATATATATTGAATTACAGTTTATATAAAAGTAAAATGTATGACAACAAAAATGTAAATATTCTAAATATACCAATTAAAAGACAGAGATTGTCAGATCAGTTTAAAAAGCTGAGAAGAGGCCCAGGCATGGTGGCTCATGCCTGTAATTCAAGCATTTTGGGAGGCTGAGGCAGGCAGATCACTTAAGCCCAGGAGTTCGAGACAAGCCTGGGCAACATAGTGAGACCCTGTCTCTACAAAAATTAGCCAAGCATGGTAGTATGCACCAGTAGTCCCAGCTACTTGGGAGGCTGAGGCAGGAGGAGCACTTGAGCCTGCGGGGAGCGGAGGTTGCAGTCAGCTGGGATCATGCCACTGCACTCCAGACTGGGCAACAGAGCAAGACCCTGTCTCAAAAAAAAAAAAAATAAAGCTTAGAAGAGAGGAATTAGGAATATACTTGTATTAGTCAGGGTTCTCTAGTGGGACAGAACTAATAGGATAGATGTATATATGAAGGGGAGTTTATTAGAAGAATTGACTCACACGATCACAAAGTGAAGTCCCACAGTAGGCCGTCTGCAAGCTGAGGAGCCAGGAAGCCAGTTCAAGTCCCAAAACCTCAAAAGTAGGGAAGCCAATAGTGCAGCCTTCAGTGTGTAGCCAAAGGTCCAAAAGCCCCTGGCAGATCACTGGTGTAAGTCCAAGAGTCCAAAAGCTGAAGAACGTGGATTCTGATATTTAAGGGCAGGAAGCATCCAGCACGGGAGAAAGATGGAGGCCAGAAGACTTAGCCTTAGCCAGTCTAGTCTTTCCACGTTTTTCTGCTGCTTTTATTCTTGCCGTGCTGGCAGCTGATTAGATTGTGGCCACCTAGATTGAAGGTGGGTCTGCCTTTCCCAGTCCACTGACTCAAATGTTAATCTCTGTTGGCAACACCCTCACAGGCACACCCAAAACCAACACTTTGCATCCTTCAATCCAGTCCAGTTGACATTTAGTATTAACCATTACAATACTGTTATAAGATTCTTATATTACATGTGAAGCAGTATAATAGTATTTGAATGTAGATTATAATTCATGATGTATGTTGTAAATATAGGCAACCACGAAAAAAAGTAAAAGAAGTATAAATAATCAGCCAACAGTGGAGATAAAATGGAATTATAAAAAATATTCAGTCACACTGTGAGCATCCTAAATCTGAAAATACAAAACTGAAATGCTCCAAAATCTGATTTTTTTTTTTTTTTTTGAGACGGAGTCTCGCTCTGTCACCCAGGCTGGAGTGCAATGGCGCAATCTCGGCTCACTGCAAGCTCCGCCTCCCAGGTTCACGCCATTCTCCTGCCTCAGCCTGCTGAGTAGCTGGGACTACAGGCACCCACTACTACGCCCGGCTAATTTTTTGTATTTTTAGTAGAGACGGGGTTTCACCATGTTCGCCAGGATGGTCTTGATCTCCTGACCTCGTGATCTGCCCGCCTTGGCCTCCCAAAGTGCTGGGATTACAGGTGTGAGCCACCACACCCCGAATCTGGAACTTTTTGAGCACCAACATGATGCTCAAATGAAATGCTCATTGAAGCATTTTGGATTTTGGATTTTTGGATTTGAGGTGCTCAACTGGTAAATATGATGCAAATATTCCAAAATCTGAAAAAGTTTGAAATTTGAAACACTTCTGATTCCATGCATTTTAGATAAGGGATACTCAACCTATAATCCTAAATCAGAAAGAGAAAAAGGAAAAAAGAACAGATGGGATCAATAGGAAACAACTGGCAGGATGGCAGATTTTAATACAACCATATCAATAATTATATTAAATGTAAATGTTCTAGCTGGGTAGAGTGGCGTGCATCTGTAGTCTCGGCCACTTGGAAGACTGAGCTAGGAAGATTACTTGCACCCAGGAGCTTGAGAGCAGCCTGGGCAATATAGTGAGATCCTGTCTCTAAAAAAAAAATTAAAATTAAAATTAAAAACACAAATATTCTAAATATACCAATTAAAAGATGGAGATTGTCAGATCAGTTAAAAAAAGCAAGAGCCAACTATATGCTGTCTATAAGAAAGCTACTTTATATATAAATGCATAGTTAGGTTAAAAGTCATTCCTGTTGTTACCTGGCATATTAGTTAAAAGCCTTTCCTAATATGCCCTTCACACAATTCTTTAAACCCAAGAGACTCTTCTTGGTTACATTTTGGACTGCAAACTGAAGCAAATAAGGCATTTAAAAATCCAGCAACACAAAGTAGTGGTTGGCTGGTTGTTTCTTCTATTATGGGGTTACTGTTACTTGTTTAAACTTTCCTCTTGCATCACAAGGTGTATACTAAGTGTAAAAGTTCCTTTGTAGGCTTTCTGACCCTTGTCGATCCACTTTGGCCTCCCTCTTGGCACAGTCTGTCATAGGCTTTTCCTTGTAATTTTATATCACCTCCACTTTGCATTAGCTTTTCTCAAGTTCTAGTTTTTAGAATGTTCTGGGTGGCATGTTATCTTTCTGTACAAGCATGGCCATGGATATTTTACTGCTTTAAGTCTCTGGGGAAGCTGGTAGTTTTCAAAGAGGTAATGTGTCTGTTTTCCCAGAAGGATTCTCAGATGCACACGATTTCCCAATGCTCTTTTGGAATATCTTTTTCATTTTAGTTACTAGTCTCTTTAACAGGCCAGAATTGTTGCTCTCAAAGATGCAAAGCCAATAAACCGGTTTAAAAGGACAACCAAAGCTAAAATTTTGCAGAGGCAAAATTTAGTTGGAAAAAGGTTCTTCATTATCAATCAAGCACTGTCTGTCAGAGTTGTGGTTAATTCACATGGCTTTGTCTTCCACATCCACTATCTTTGACTATTAAGTATATTACAGAACGAGAAGTCTTAATTTGTATTTTTTTTAACTTTTATTTAAGTTCAGGGCCACATGTGCAGGATGTGCAGGTCTGTTCCATAGGTAAACATGTGCCATGGGGGTTTGTTGTACAGATTATTTCATCACTCAGGTCTTTTTTTTTTTTTTTTGAGACGGAGTCTCACTCTGTCACCCAGGCTGGAGTGGCACGATCTCAGCTCACTGCAAGCTCCGCCTCCTGGGTTCACGCCGTTCTCCTGCCTCAGCCTCCCGAGCAGCTGGTACTATAGGCGCCCGCAACCACGCTGGGCTAATTTTTTGTATATTTAGTAGAGACGGGGTTTCACCATGTTAGCCAGGATGGTCTCGATCTCCTGACCTCGTGATCCGCCCGCCTCAGCCTCCCAAAGTGCTGGGATTACAGGCATGAGCCACCGCGCCCGGCCATCACTCAGGTCTTAAGCCTAGTATCCGTTAGTTATTTTTCTTGAGGAATGACATAGTTACAGCAGTCCCAGGGAGGGCAGACTTGTACCAATGTCACCACTCTCTACCTCTTATTTCCTTTTTGGTTGTATGGGCTGTATGTCCTAATTGTGTTGCTGTGTCCACAGCAATGGCGTTGAGTATTGTCATGGAATTAAACATTAGAAAGTATAATGGGAATACATAGGGAATTGGAATGGTTCCAGAGCTTAGATCATTTCTAGGGTAGATTAGGTGACTTAGAATGTGACCTCTAAAATAAAAAGTATATAGAGGTTGAAAATTTTGTTACTTAAATATATAATGAGTTATCCTTACTTGGTATGCCTTGTAAAACGAAGGAGAATCTGAAGTGCTAATGAGGTTAAATAATCATATAGTTATCTTGCTTTGTTGCTGTGTGGGCATGCACATGTACATGCACACGCACACACACACACACACATTTATTTTTAAATGTGTAACCAAATGGGTATTGGGTATGGGTGCTTGTATCCTGACATGTTCATCCAATTCAGGTTCTTAGAACCAAATGAGTCAGTTTTAAATGAGGAGAGAGCGAGAGCAGAGGTTTAGAGAATGGAAAGAACATAGGACTATTTAGCCTCAGGTTCTTAATAGCAGAAGAGATTAGGCTCTGCATGCTGTCTAGAGGCATATAAATAGATGGAAATAAAATGTGATTATAGCAGTCTCGGGTTTTAAAGAAATAACAGCATGAAAACAACTTTCCTCATTCATGAGCATGTAAATGCTAATAAAACCCCTCAGCAGGCTGCCCTTCACACCTGAGGACTGGTTCCCTGTGAGAGTCTGAGCATGGGGCTGTGGACTCTGTCTAAAAGTGGTTTAAAAGAAACTGTAGTCTGGGGGCCAACTGTACCAACGTGCCTGTTACAGTTGCAGGTTCCCAGTTTCATACTTATGCACTGTGATTCAGTATATCTGGTACAGTCATTCCGACGTATGGTGAGATTTGGGAACTGCTTGCTGACTTAGAATATCTTTACATGACATACATACTACAAAAGGGGTTCTCTTACCACAGGGACTTTTGATTACCGTGTGTCTGCTTATTTTACAAATTCATTTCTTCAACAAATATTTATCAAATGCCTACTCTGTGCCAGATACTGAGCTAGGCATGGAGTTACAACAGTGAACAAGATTGATACAGTTTTTCTTCATGAAATGGAGAGATAACAAGTCAACAAATGAATAATTGTGATGAGAACTATGAAGGATGCAATGGGATATGATAATGGAGCATAATGGAGGCAGGAGCAGTTAGTGTTTAAAATAAAATAATGGTTAGAGAAGGCTTTTTTGACAAGGCAGCATTTAAACTAAGACTGGGATTTAAAGTAATCAGACATATGAACAACATCCCAAGCAGTATAAGAAAATGTATACAAAGGCACTGAGGCAGGATTAGCCCTGATGTGTTTCAGGAATGGCACAAAGACTAGAGTGGCTGGAGCCCAGCAAGCCAGGGGAAGGAAGGTATGAGATTAGGCAGCAGGCATCGGAGTAGGTAAACCCTTGAGGAACATGGTGGGGATTGAGAGGGGTATCAGAAGTTTATCTGGAAAAAGGATTCTGGAGTTGAGGGGAAAACCCTACTTTAGGACATGAATTTGGGAGTCATCAGCATTTTGATGGAAAATTACCAGAATGGGTAGTCTAACGTAGGGAGAGGCTATTGAGAGAGGATAGAGGGGGCGGAGCTGTACCATGCTCTTCTGTAAAACCTGGTAAGAGTAGACTTGCAGCAGCCAAGGACTGGCGGAAGCGGGAGGGTGGAAGGAAAACCAGGAGATTGTAGGCCTGTGGAAGCCACAGAGGACAATGCTCAAAGAGAGATGATTGGTTGCATCATTGCTGCTGAAGTCTAGAACAGTGCTGTCCAGTGTGGTGGCCACTAGCTGCATGTGGCTATTGAAAGGTGACTAGTGCAAACTGAGATGTGCTGTAAGTGTAAAATAAAATGCACATTGCATTTTGAAGACTTAGTACAAAAACAACAATGAAAAATATTAATAATTTTAAAGTAATCATTACATGTTGAAATATTTGGGATCTGTTGGGTTGAATAAAAAATATTATTAAAATCTCACCTGCTTCTCTTTACTTTTTTAAAACATGGCTACCATAAATTTAAGATGACATGTGCGGTTTGCACTGTATTTCTGTTGCAGAGTTTGGCAACATGGAGGTCACTAGAAAACTTGATAAGAGCAGACTGCCTGGGATTAAGTAATAACTAGCAAATTGTTTATACACTGATGAGACTAAGCCATCGTTATAATACTATTTTGCCCAAAATTAAATAGAGAAACTCACCACTAAAATTTTTTCTAGACTTATTGATATGTGATTTAATAATTTCACATAAATTGACTGTAATGTATCATATATGTTAAATTTTAATATTAGGATTTACATTAAATCTTTTGAAATCAACTCTCAAATGTGTTTTTTACATTTTTTAACCTGTACTTTTTTCCTTTTTTTAGTTCTTAAATTTTTATTTAAATTATTTTATTTTCTTTCATATCTGACCAGGAAACTTCATGGTGTTATGGTCAACTTGCCGCACAACCGTGTTCAAATCTGTCACCAACAGGTTCATTAAAAACCTGGCCTGCTCGGGGATTTGTGCCAGCCTGGTCTGTGTGCCCTTCGACATCATCCTCAGCACCAGTCCTCACTGTTGCTGGTGGATCTACACCATGCTCTTCTGCAAGGTCGTCAAATTTTTGCACAAAGTATTCTGCTCTGTGACCATCCTCAGCTTCCCTGCTATTGCTTTGGACAGGTAAGATCAGGTAGCCAGGAGCTAACTTTTTTTTTTAAGTTGTATTAAAAAATTAGCATCATGAAGCAAATGATGAGTAGTCAATGTTCCGTATACTGCTTTTTAGTCAGCTTGTGATCAACAGAAAGGGAATAAATGTGCAAAACAGATGCCTCACAAAGGACAGGTGGATTTAGCAACAGCCATGGAAAATAAAACCATTGAGAGAAGACCTGGGGATGGGAGTTCCATGGTGAGGATGCTGGGGCAGAGCTGCTAGATCATGGTGTCAGTTCAGCTTGGTTGCAGTTGGTGGTATTTGTGTTGCAATTTGCAGTAGATTTTTCATCTGATTGATAACTCTGCAATTAGGGCTTTTTGATGCAGTATGGAACATCTCTGAAAGAACAAGGGAATGATTCAGTGGTTATTTAACAAGCGATTAGATGGTCCACTTGGATCTGGCTAGGTAACACCAGAATTCCTCTGGAGGATTTATTTCCAAGGCTTCATATTGCAGTGGTGATTGCTTTCTCTTCCTATCCTCTTTAAAAAGATGTTCATTTGGAAGTGAACCTTACATCTTAGTTACTGCCATTCTACATAATTTTATCAATTTTATCAAAGTTGCATAAAGATCTCATAATCAGCAAATTCCTGCCTTTCTCCTTTCTAGCTAGTGCTTCATGAATACAGTTTAGATAATATTTTCTAGAGAATTGAATTAAGTAAGCAAACAAGAATTGAAAAGTATTTTATGTCCATGAGTACTTTTGATTTCAAGATTAACATAGAGGAAACGTTGCTGAAGGGAAAGTGCAGGCTATTCTGATTTTATGCCCTATGTTAAAATTTAACTACATTTTAGATTAATTTGAAAATTTAGAACTCTTTGTCCATTCAAAACATAATACCTTAATGACCTGTGAGGGTATTGATTGTAGAACCCATCTATAGAGTCATTTCAGCCTCTCAGGCCAGGGACCCTGATTTCTTCAGCTGCCTGGTGCTGTCTGCATGGAGGGACACAGAGTCACACGAAGCCCCCAGCATACTGGGAGAAGTCATTGCCATTGTGGTTAAGAGAATGGATGTTGGAATAGAAGCCTGGCTTTGAGTCCTGCCTACATAGCTTTCTAGCTGAGTGGCTTTGGGTAAAGCTGCTTAAACTTTCTGAGCCTCAGATTCCAGAGCAGTAGAAATAATTAAGTGAATTATTTATGGCCTGTGTTAGGATGGGCTGCACCAATATTTGCCTCTCTTTCTCAGGCTTCCCTTCTGATGGCACATTCTTCCTTAGATATATTTCTGCAATCATGTTACCATCAGATCTTGCTGGGAGCAGCTCCAGCTCCTTAGAAGGGACTGGAATCTCACCATCCATGGAGCCAAACAAGGCAGGTGACAAGTCAAGCAATAACCAGGTTGCAATTGTGGCACGTGGAGAGTGTGTCCACATTCTCGTTCATGGGGATCAGCCGCTCAGCAGTTGCAGCTAATAATTGCTTTGTAGGAATCTAGACTCGGTGGGCAGGACTTTTTTATTCTTTCAGAAGAGGAATAAAAAAATTTAGAATTCCATAATTTAAAAATGTTGGCAATTATTTTTTTTTTTCAAAAAGTATTATGTGGGTCATGTGAATCCCTTCAGCAAGATGAATGTGTGCCCTGAGATGCCAATTTGCCACGCCTGCTTTATGGTGACGTTGCATGTCTCTTCCATTGCTTTTTGAATATCTGGAAAGTGCCATTGCACAGGACTGGAATATAAGAGTGAAGTCAGAGTCCTTTCTCAAGAGTACTTCCGGTGGGTACACTAATGCATTTTATGTCGAACCATTTTGTGTTCAGTGTCCTTCTGAATGCCCCTGGTAGTACCTGCTGTGGTAAAGTCTTAAGTCTTCAGTTTGATATTCTGGACTGAGATATAATTTACATATTATAAAATTCACCTATTGGAAGTATACAAGTCAATGAATTTTAATATATTTATAGAATTGTACAGCCATCATCACAATATAATTTTAAAACATTTCTATTACCTCACAAAGAAACTTGTGCCCATTTACTTACAGTCACTCCTTGTGCCCATCCCCAGACCATAAACAACTATGAATCTACTCTCTTTTTCTATATGTTTGCTTTATTGGACATTACATGTAGGTGGAATCATACAGTGTGTGTTCTTTTGTGTCTGGCTTCTTTCACTCAGCATGTTTTCAAAGTTCATGTTATAGAATGTATCAGTACTTCATTCATTTTTCATGGCCAAATAATATATTCATTTAATTTTAGGAGTATACTAAATTTGTTTCTCCATTTACTAGTTGGTGGATATTTAGGTTGTTTCTACTTTTTGGATATTGTGAGTAATGCTGCTATGAATCCTGAAAGTTTTTTTTTTTTTTTAAATAAGACTCAACAAGGAGAATACATTATTCTGAACAGTTTGCTGTTATACCTGGAAGCAATGCAATAATCCCTGTGGGTTACTTCTGGGGCCTTGGTCTTAAACAAAGAAATACGAAAACAGTAAGAAATTCTCATTTTCTTTCCAGCAGAAAAGCTATTGTAAATTTATCATAATTTTAAAAAGTAAAACAAGTCCTTTTAGTAGGAAAACAGGGCTGGTGAATTCCTATTTTGTTATTCACAGATGCAAATTACTTACAAGCATCCACATGTACACCTGAAGAAGAGAAGACAGTCTTTTCTCTCACTTCCTTCATAGCTATTCATTTCATGGTACTAAGTCAGCAAGTTCATCGGGAGGTCATCTACACTTCTTGCATCACTGTTTAGAGGTGTACACACTAAGAACATTATTTATAGTGAGCCTGTGTGCTTATGTTGCAATCTGTTTCCCAACATGTAACGGGATTGGAAATTAATGGAAGCCTGGGTTTGTTACATGTCAGTGAGCAAATGGCAGTCAGAGCCAGTGAACTCCTAAGCATCTATTCATGTGTACAGGTGGGGCCATCACATATTTACTGAGTTGTCATTACAAAACTATCTACATTCAGAGAAAAAAAAATGTGAAAGCATGCATCACTTATGCACTTCTTTCTCTTTTTCCCTCCTCCCAGAAAGAAATCTAGAACATATCTTACCATGCTCCCTCCTTCCCTGATTGTCCATGGTCGCTATTGTGTTTGCATCCCATCTCTTTCAGCCTGGAATGTTCCCCTTCAGCTGGTCCCCCTGCCAGACTCCACTGCAGTGTCTCCCTCTCTTGCTATTTTCCCAGGTGGCTTTAGGCGCTACCTGTACCTCCTTTGTGCCTGCCTCTAGTAGAGCTGTCATCTCCTTGTTCGTAATTATTAGTGTGTGTATCTTTGTCCCCGTTGGGTTTAGAGACATTCCTGTGTCTTTTCATTCTTATAACCCAGTGCCAGGCACAGGACCTGGTGCATAGGTGGTGCTCAGAAGTACCTGTTACAGGAGGCTGGGCACGGTGGCTCACGTCTGTAATCCAACCACTTTGGGAGGCCGAGGCGGGTGGATCAGCTGAGGTTAGGAGTTCGAGACCAGCCTGGGCCAACATGGCGAAACTCCGTCTCTACTAAAAATACAAAAATTAGCCAGGCGTGGTAGTGCATGCCTGTAATCCCAGCTGCTCGAGAGACTGAGGCAGGAGAATGGCTTGAACCCAGAAGGCGAAGGTTGCAGTGAGCCTAGATCATGCCACTATACTCCAGCCTGGGCGACAGAGTGAGACTCTATCTCAAAAAAAAAAAAAAAAAAAAAAAAAAGAAGTACTTGTTATCTGAAAGCTTATGTGCTTACTTGCCCTATGAGTGAATGGGTGTCACTAAGGTTGTAAGGTCAACCCCAGCATTAACTGACTGCACAGATATGGCCAAGCAAATGTGAAGAAACTGACCATATCTCTGAGAGCTAGTGGCAGCCCTTTTACTACAGATGTGGTTCTAGGGTGCAAAGAGTTATTCAGTTCCCTCAAATCACTGGTGATATTGAAACGGCATGCTTTTGGAATTCTGTTTAGGTGCTTACAGAATGATCAAGTTAAATATTGGAAGGAAAAACAATGTCTCATCTGATTTTAACAAAAATCTAATTGTGCAGGCATTTTAGACCTATTAATTGCCCTTAGGGTTACTGAGTGATTATCATGGGAGCAATGACTGTTGAGCAGGCATAACTTTTGTCAGCTGAATTGATTTTTGTGGAAGGACCTTGTCGGAGTCCATTCTTCATACTGGTTCTTCTGCCCTGAACAACTTTAATTGTTAATGATATCTGGACTGTGGCATAAGTCTGCTTTAGATATGTGTGTAGACAAACTTATTTCTGTTGGTAGCTTTGAAAATTGCCCTAAAGCTTCTTTAGCCCATATAAAATTGTTTACCAATTACCCTTTACCCTCAAATTGAAAAGTAGATATCTTTATAGCAGATGGAGAAATCTTTTATATGGAGGGTACTGTTTGCGATTTCATCCTGGTAGCAATAATTATAAAGCTAGCTATGAATTGAAATTATTTACTTGTTTTCCTGTAAAGCCTCATGAGGACAGGTTTGCTGCTCCTTTGGAAAGGTTTTTATTTTTTGGTCTAGTGACGCTTCTTATTGTACTTGCAAAGTCCTCAAAACTTAGGTCTGGCTTCCTGGATTCCCCCAGTGCTTTTCTGTCTTAGGCCGAATAGAAGAACTTGACCTTTCTTCCCTCTCATCTACTTTTGGTGATTTAGGTTCCCCTAATTTAAAAAGTATCTTCTGTGGAATTAATTTTGTTTGTGTATCTTGCAGGTACTACTCAGTCCTCTATCCACTGGAGAGGAAAATATCTGATGCCAAGTCCCGTGAACTGGTGATGTACATCTGGGCCCATGCAGTGGTGGCCAGTGTCCCTGTGTTTGCAGTAACCAATGTGGCTGACATCTATGCCACGTCCACCTGCACGGAAGTCTGGAGCAACTCCTTGGGCCACCTGGTGTACGTTCTGGTGTATAACATCACCACGGTCATTGTGCCTGTGGTGGTGGTGTTCCTCTTCTTGATACTGATCCGACGGGCCCTGAGTGCCAGCCAGAAGAAGAAGGTCATCATAGCAGCGCTCCGGACCCCACAGAACACCATCTCTATTCCCTATGCCTCCCAGCGGGAGGCCGAGCTGCACGCCACCCTGCTCTCCATGGTGATGGTCTTCATCTTGTGTAGCGTGCCCTATGCCACCCTGGTCGTCTACCAGACTGTGCTCAATGTCCCTGACACTTCCGTCTTCTTGCTGCTCACTGCTGTTTGGCTGCCCAAAGTCTCCCTGCTGGCAAACCCTGTTCTCTTTCTTACTGTGAACAAATCTGTCCGCAAGTGCTTGATAGGGACCCTGGTGCAACTACACCACCGGTACAGTCGCCGTAATGTGGTCAGTACAGGGAGTGGCATGGCTGAGGCCAGCCTGGAACCCAGCATACGCTCGGGTAGCCAGCTCCTGGAGATGTTCCACATTGGGCAGCAGCAGATCTTTAAGCCCACAGAGGATGAGGAAGAGAGTGAGGCCAAGTACATTGGCTCAGCTGACTTCCAGGCCAAGGAGATATTTAGCACCTGCCTGGAGGGAGAGCAGGGGCCACAGTTTGCGCCCTCTGCCCCACCCCTGAGCACAGTGGACTCTGTATCCCAGGTGGCACCGGCAGCCCCTGTGGAACCTGAAACATTCCCTGATAAGTATTCCCTGCAGTTTGGCTTTGGGCCTTTTGAGTTGCCTCCTCAGTGGCTCTCAGAGACCCGAAACAGCAAGAAGCGGCTGCTTCCCCCCTTGGGCAACACCCCAGAAGAGCTGATCCAGACAAAGGTGCCCAAGGTAGGCAGGGTGGAGCGGAAGATGAGCAGAAACAATAAAGTGAGCATTTTTCCAAAGGTGGATTCCTAGCAAGGATTGTAAATTCTTGGAAGCAACGGGGAGCTTCCATATTCCCACCAGAGTGTGGGAATGCTGTGGCCATGTGATTGTATGATCTCCTTGCAACTCAGTGTGAGTTGATTCCTCCAATATGGGCCAGATGCTTTTGAATGATAGGGAAATCTACATAAAATCCAGTGTCCTCTTTATTGAGGGAGTATATGTATCCATCTCAGTGATCCATGTCCTTAGTGAAGTCCACATTATTCTCTGTGGGGACAAGAGCTGGGCAGTTTTGAATGGGTCTTGAGGTGGGTACCCCATGTGCACTTTCTGAGGATGCCTCACTTCCCTGGGCTCTGCAGAGAACACACAGAGAGAAGACTTTCAGAGCTCACAGGAGCAGGGAGCAGGAGCACTCTAAGGGAATTCCAAGATCATGATGGAGCATGGTGGCTCCAGAGAAAATGCCTGTTTGATGAACTTAAACATGTCAAACATTTTCTGTTGAGAAGGTAGGGATTTGGTGTCTTACACTGTTTCTCTGGAAGCCCCAGTCATATGACTCACTGTTTCTCCTGATACCCTTCGTCCCTTTCATTGGGATGTAGGTAAGGAATGACGATTCCTCACCTATGGTACACATGGCGATAGATGTGCCCGGGAGTAAGGGAGATATTTTGTCCTTGATAATTCTGATTTTCCCTTGGCATCACCAACGCCTCAGAGAGATACACCTGCACCCTCCAGTCAGGGTCAGTGTTGGCTGGAAAACACTGAAAAGTCTTCGCTCTGTCTTTCACCTTAAATTGTGTTTTCTCAACAAATGAGAGAGAAGCTTACGGGGGAGATGCCTGAGAGATGCCTATGGCGCTGTAGTTTTTTTTTCTTCCCTATGATCTCACATGAAAGGTGCTATGTAACAACCAGTATGAGTCAAATATATTGAAAAAATCATCTTATGCAAACTTTAGGAATTAAAAGGTATTTTTAAAATGGAGAGTTAGTGTAAGCTGGGTCCTTTGGAAACATCAAACTGAAAAGGCCTGATTTGGAAAGGTGACTCTGCCCAAAAGGTTGGCAAGAATCTGACAAAGATGGTTTCCTTCCGAGGAAGACTCCGGAACTCAGGTGTGGCCAGTCTCCTTTTCAGTCTGTTTGTACAGCTGCGGTTCTCTCTTAATTTTGGACACAGAGGAGGAACAGAACAGGGAGAAATAATCATTGTAGAGTGCCAAGGCAACATCTGACCCAGATGAGCTCTTCACTTCCTCCTTCCCTGTCGTTGTAGAGCCAGACTGGGTAGAAGAGGGAGGGCAGTGTCCTCAACTCATCAGCCTCACAAGCAATTTGGGACCCCTCTGGGGTGGATTTCACCAGGTTGAATTAGAACCGCAGATAATACTTCCCTGTTAGTGAGGACAAACCAAGCGCCAGCTCTGCCCTTTTCTCTAGAGTGTTGTGTTCTTGCTCTTGGTACTTACAGGAGCTAGTCTGGTGCCTTGAGCAAGCTTGAAGGGAAGTGGGTGTCCTCACCAGCAAACTTCCACATCTCAACTCGTGCCCTCTTTTGGCCACACTGGCCCCGTCTCTTGGAGGGAGCCCAGACCCTGTAGGGAGTTTTGTTTTCCTTTCTTCTCTTGGGTGTGGTGTCTTGTGTTTCTGAATGTGAACCCAAAGACCCTACCCCTGGAGAGGAAGCACCTTCCTCTTTGTGTTGGTCTCCTCATAGCACTGTTTGCTCACAGCAGAAACGGGGCTGCCACAGCCTCCTGCGGCTCTGCTGCCTTCTGGGCCCTGCGTGCATGGCATCTATAGCTCCTTGCCCTGATAGTCAATGCTGTGGCCCTTCAAGCTTGTCTTTCAAAGCTTTCACAATCATTACAACTTTTATCAAGGGGAATAATAATCTCTAGGAAAATTATGTCCACTTTAGGAGAATCTGTCAAGTGTAGCCACTTTGGTGTTGTTCTGATAATATACTGTATATGTACAACTTAATAAATTTTGATGAGGCAGAATCTGGTTGGGTATGTTTCTTATATATGTTTGAAGCAGATGGCTGACTACTAACAGGTCATTGCCAGGTGTATTTCTATACTCTTTGAAGAATAACATTTTAATAAAAAATTGAAAAGCAGTTTCTGAACTCAAGAAAAGTTTTATGAGCTATATTTTCTCCCCCTTTTCTCTCCCTCAAGTGATATACTGTTGGAACCTGTCTCTTCCTACATGGTCTCTGATGAAAGATATTCATTTTTTTTTTCTCATGAATGCAGATGTGGCATTTCAGTAGCATTTTCTTGTGTTGTTGCAACTAAAAGAAAATAAATTCCCTAAGGAGGAACTGCAACAGTTGAAAAAATATCACCAAGATGGGTTCCAGATTGAATTGGCGATAGACACCCAAATCTCTAGGCGGAGCTACACAAGGGAAGCCTGGAGTGCAGCCGTCATCATCCCTCCTGCGGGAGGTCAGGAGCACAGCAGTTAGGGCCATGAGCTTTGAGGTCAGATTGCCTGTGTTTAAATCCTGGCCCCACACTGACTAGCCTTGTGACCTTGGGAGGATGAAGTAACCTCCATGTACCTCAGTTCTCTCTCTGTAAAATGGGAGGATAATAATTGTGTCAGAAGCTTCTGTTGCCCCTTCTCACATATTTCACCTATGACTTTAGCTGTGTCTGCAGTGGGCTGTTGCTGGCGGCATCTACTCGCTTCCCTGCAAGCAGAGCTCCCTGTGTCTGGGAATAATCCTTGGCCTGTGGGGCATGGGAACCACTGGATAAATACCCCTGCTTCCTGTCCTGCTGGACAATTGTGGGAGGCCTCTGTCCAGTTCTCAAGAGGTCACTGACACAGAGTTAAGTCCCTGTGGCCCACCATGGCACTTCAATAATGCAGCCTTATATTGACTCTACTTTCTCCTTCTCTGACTCACTTTCTGCAGTCCTCATTCATGCCTCAAGGATCACCTCCCAAACATACTACCTGCACAAAGCCCTCATCTCAAGCTCTGTTTTCAGGGAGTCCAAGTGAGGCATAGAGCACCTGTTAGGATTAAATGAGATAATCTGTTTAACACAATGCCTGGCACAGAGTACAGCTATATCAGTGTTAGCACTTATACGTTACATAAAAAAATAAAGTGGCTAGGCAGCTTATGCGGAATATTCTTAGAAAACTGTAGGTCTTTTCCCCAGTTATTCTAACAGTAATTAATTTTCATAATGATGATACTTTGGGGTAATACATAATGCCAAGGGACTATTAGATTCCCTGAAGAAAAAATAACTCTGTAAGCCAGAGTATTTCTTAATTAGACAATTCTCAGTTGAAAAAAATAGGATGTTAAAAGAAGGTTCACCTTGGCCACTAACGTGTAGGCCATATCTGAATATGAATGCACTCAATGACCGTATCGAAGTAAGAACAGAGTAGAGTACATAGAGTATCTAAGGACAGATATGCAAATCCAAAGTGGCCCCATCTGTAGGAAAGAAACTGCAAGTTAGTTGGTGGGCTAAATGAACATCTGGAGCTCAAGCACCAGTCTGATTCATCTGAGGAGGAAAGCCACTGCTGCATCCCAGCTGGGTACTGCTGAGCTCTTGGCAGACCTGCCCGAGGTGAGGTGGCTCTGTGCATATGGAGCTGCTGCTACAGGTTGGATCAGAGATGCACAAGGAAAAAAGCTTATTACGGGCGGAATTGTGGTGGAGGGAAAGGGTTAATGCTTTCATAGTGTAGTGTACCAACGTCTCAACATACAGTGTCAATAATACCATAACATAGTGATGCACTTTCCCCAAATAGTTGTAAATATTTAGCAGATTTGTATCCCAACTAGTGTGCCACATTAGAGCTCTGTAACCAAAAGAGAAATGAGTCATGGTAAATAACCTGGGAATCTGTGAATAAAATAGGAATTGAAATAAGTATCAATGCCCAGGGCAGCATCAAAAGCCTTTTTGTGCAAGACGTATAAAATAAATGGAAATGAGCTTAGATTCTCCATACATGAGGTTTCAGAAGATAAAACAGCTCCCTTTTTCTTAGCCTCAGTTTCAACCCATGTTTTCCCCCATTTGTGCCAAAGGTATCAGTTGATCAGTAGAATAAAGGTTGGAAACCTGTATAGAAATGAAACTGTGATCTCCAGCATTGTTTATGCGAACCTCTATAGCACTTCATGTCCTGGGGATTCAGGGGCTTCTTATTGCCAGATTGAAATGAGTGAATGGTGAATGAATACATAAGAGATACAGCACCTGGAGCAGGGGTGCGGTCTCTGTCGTGTATGAGTGATGAAAGATTTGCTTTCAGTGGAGTTATTGCTGGCTCTTATTGATTTCCTTGGAATGACTCCTGCAGAGTTAAAAGGCATCAAACGCAAGGCCTTTGATCCATCTCCTTCAAATACCCAAGCCTCCTTTTAATGCACTAGGAGTGTAAGTTCCAAAGTTGGAGGGGAAGTTCAATACTGAGAAACGCAGTTCCAGGCATGTGTGTTGGGCTTGAAGAATAATTATTCATCAGCTATGTTGATCAGAACTTAGTGATGAAATCTTTCTGCCTCCCTTAAATTTCTCTTTATATGTGTATTCATTGCAGTCCATATACAAAATGTAATACACACACAAAGGAGTTACTAGAATAAACACGTGGTATACATTCTAAGGCAACAGGTGAGAAAATAGAACACACGGCATGATGCTCTTGCTATATTAACCATATTACCTGTGCATCTAACTTCTCTTCTCTCTTTGCCTGGCCCCTCTCATTCACATGCATTGCCTCAGGGGAGGGGACGAGGCTTTCATTGCCTCAAGGGAAAGCAGATATCCTTTGAATCTCTTCCTAGATTTGGGTCTCAAAACCTAGGTGTTAGGAGAACAGAGGGGACTCTTGGGGTTAGGCCAGTGAAGTTTTGGTCGTAATTGTCAAGGAGTGGGGCATGCTCCAGGCATCTACTGGGTAAAGGCCAGGAATGCTGTTAAATACCCTCTAATGCACAGGACAGCCCTCACAACAAAGAATTATCTGGTCCAAAATATCAGTAGTGCTAAGGTTGAGACACGCTGGGTTAGCCAAAAGTTTGAGGTGGTTTGAGGAGGGGGGGACCATCTCCCCAACCCTTACCTCTGTCCTCCATGCAAACCCAGGTTATTTATGGAGAAAACAGAAGAAATTTAAAGAGAGTTGTGTAGGTCATGAGACATCTGCTCGGTGGAAAAATGCAAGCCTGGCTGCTTTTCCTCAGCTGGATATCTGCTTCAGGGATGGGCTTGCTGATCGGCCCTCTGAATTTGGAGGTGTGAGAAAGGAATTGGAGAGAGATGACAGAGTAAACAGAGAGGGCATCCTGCACACCCATCATGTGGCATGGTGAGAATGGGTGATTTTCTCAATGTCAAGGAGACACCACAGAAACTCGACTTGAAAACTGGCCCCTGGCCAGACTTGGAGGAGGCTGTGGGTGGATGCTGAGAGGGGTTGAAAGTGGTCAGGCCGGCACTGTGTCTGGCACCAGAGATGTGTACACTGAGGGCCACATGCCACACCTCTGGAGATTCCCCACCAAGTACCAATGAGAGAACAATGGCTGCACCAATCAAGGAGAAGATGTTTCCTCCTTTTGCCCATCCTTCCTCCTAACTCCATGGAGGCAGAAGGGGGACCCGCGAGAGGAAACATCAAGCTATAGGAGGAGAGGATTCTCATCCACTCATGGTGAGTTCCTTGGGCTACAGATCAAGCCTGAGTTGGGGGAGAGGAAGAGCATTACATTAGGCATCATCGTGAACTTTAAAACTGGACCAGACTCTTCAATATCTGAAAGTAACCGTAGAGTACTAGGATCTCCCTGGGCTACAGTTAAGGAACAAGAAAGGAAGCTTCCTTGGATTAGTTACCAATTCTAAGTTCAGACTCTACAGTAAATCATGACGACAGTTAGGGGAGCCAGCCTTGGAATAAAGGTGACAAAGAGGACAGCACAGTACAGACAGGGCAACATGTACCTGATGATGTCACTCAGCTGCTAAGTCACATGTCTCTACCTTTGAACTTCCAGTTAATGTGAGACAATAAATTTCATGTTGTACACACAAGTTTGAGTCAAAGTTTTACAATTTTCTGCAGAAAGCACCCTCATCATACTTGATATGTGAGCTAATTTATTATTTGCAAAGAAGAACGCATCAGAAATTGCTCCTGTTTGGGGATACAATCTCAATAAAATAAAGTAATCTTCTAAAAAAATTCACTGTTTTCCTGCCTGGGATTTACCTTTTTATGCTGTATCTGAAGTTTTATATTGACTTAATGAAGAAAACCCCACAAAGGAACCATGTGTGGTTCCTGATAAGAAATGACTGATTGATTATACGTGTCTAATTCTATTTCTTCCTGAAATGCCACTAAAACCACATTTAAGGGGTTAAAAAGAAATGTCATAAATCCAGAAGGATGCAAGGAATAGGAGAGAAGACAAAGTGCTCTCTGGTTCCAGGTGAGTCTACAACAGCAACAAATTTTAGAAGCTGGAAAGCAGATGGAAGGTGGTAACTGACTGGGCAGCAGACTTAAGAACTTCCCTGGAGCTTTTTTTCCTCTCTTTTTTTCTTTTCTTTTCTTTTGTGTCCTTTGGATCTTCATTTTTAAGGGAAAGAAACATTTTCTACTATCTCGCTGAGGATATTAAGGATAATTCTTCTCTATGGGTTTGTCTTAGTTTCCAGTTTTTTTGCAAGAGGTTTATTTTATTTTTTTGCCTGACAGTAATAATTCTTAGCTAAGGTATTGGCTTCTCTAGGTGACTTTGATATGAAAGCTCAGGTTGGGGAGGTTGATGGCTGTTTGAGAAGTAATTAGAGCCCTGGCTAGATCTGCTGTTGGTGCCACACTGCTGGGCCAGCTGCCTCTCCTTAGTCCAGCTTCCCCACTACCCTGCACTTCCATATCTTCTCCCCACACTCCATTCCCAATGCCCTTCCAGTCAGGACTTTACCTTCCTAAGGATTGGAAGTATTGCACAAGAGAGCAATATCCTCCCCTACCATGACAGGGGGCCAAATCAAATTATGCTCAAAATGTGTGACGCGAAACAGAGTAGAATGTGAGTTATTCAGAAATATGGGGATGTGTGATGACTGCCAGAAGAGGCGGCTAAAATTATCGCAGGTCCTTTTCTCTGGGACTGTTATTGTTTGTTTTGTTTTAAGACTTTTAGTTATATTTTAAAACAGTCTACGTGTATTATTTTGATAAGAATACACATTAATGTTAAAAGTCTTCTGAATTTTGCAAGGCTCCATCAGACTAAACAAAAGAAAAAAGAAGAAACAATATACATCATTAGAGGAAATTTAGAAAATGAGGCAATTTAGGCTGTCAGGGTCAGAGAAACTGATGGCTTTTGCTGATATACTCAAATCATGTCAGATGTACTCAGATAATACCTTTGGCTTGGCTGTATGAACTAGGCAATCATGGGCTACAATGAATTCTACTTTTCTCCCCATATCTTCTCTATAGCCAAGAAGAAAGATTTCTTCTTTCTTCTTCTGTGTATTTTTACAGTGCTTTTAAGGATTATTGCTACTTTGTTATATAGATTTAATTTAAGTAATGCTGGTTTGCTTTAGAAATTAATTTAGAACCCACAAAATATTTTGGATTAATATGTCTAAGATATTGAGTTTAATGAGTCAAAGCATCCTAGGATTTGTTTATGTATTTATAATTTATGTTCTCATCTACTTTTAAAAAATCTAAAGTGTATGCAATACAGGTACCTTTGCATCAACCAAAGGTCAGTAGAATATTACTTAGAAGTTCTTAATTCATTTTAATTTATAATACTCTGTCTTAAAGTTTATTCCCTTGGTAATATTTGGCTTCTTATTGTCTGCTTTATATTTAGATATGATGTTTCACCGGAGGATATTAAAGCACAGTCCACGGGCTTTCTGTAGGAAATGATACAATCTCTTTTTTGCAGATGGGGAAACTAGAGACACAGATGGCCACGTCATTAGCCCTAAGAGACGAAGCAAGTTAGAGACAGAGCTAAAAACAGTAGAGAAGGCATTAAAGCCCAATTCTTCCACAGCACCCTCTAAAGTACTGATGATCATTATCATCTATCATTATCATAACTATTTTTTGAATACCCACTTGGCACATATCATTAAAATGTACTGGGGACTAGATGAAAATCCTTGATGCTTGGCAGCTGTTTTGCTCAATGTTATTTTCCAAATTTACTTCTTCTCCCTCATGATTTCCCCTGTTTTGCTGTAGAGGCATTCAGTTTAAAATAAATGTTAAGATACTCTTGAAGGAATGCCAAGACTGAGGTCGCTCTGCGGAGAGCACTCAGAGGCATCTTCTTATGTCCTGTGTCCTCCATGTTAATATCTTCGCTTTTTTTTTTTTTTTCTGAGACTTTTAAACATGAGCAGACAGCCAAGGATGACCAGTCCTCTGAGGAAAGTATCTAACATACAGGCAGATGCCAAAACAAACATACAAGAAAAAAAATTGGGGGGAAAAACAGGATATACAAAAAGAAGATAACTTAAAAAAAACAACAACCCATTCTTAATCTCCTCAGGGAGATATAAGAAGATGTTATATGGCCTTAAAAGGACATTCAAAGGGTCCTTCAGAGGGCCTCACTCTGTCACCAAGGCTGGAGTGCAGTGGCACCATCATAGTTCACTGCAACCTCAAACTTCTGGGCTCAAGGGATAATTTTAAAGAACTTTTTTGTAGAGACAGGGTCTTGCTGTGTTGCTCAGGCTGGTCTTGAACTCCTGGGCTCAAGCGATCCTCCCACCTCCCCCTCCCAAAGTGCTGGATTATAGGAGTGAGCCACTGTGCCTGGCCCTCCTTGTTAATTCTGCACTGAGTTTACTTAACTTTAAAAGTTTCTGCCATCGAATCACTTTCACCCATTGCCCACATTCCTGAGAGTCACTTGATACTCTTCCCTGTAAGGACATGAAACATTAACAAGATTCATTCATTCATAGCAGTAAATATTATTGCATTTAATACATGCTATTGTAATGGAATATAAAGTGTTCAAGATATGGTCCCTGCTCTCCAGTGCTTTCTTTTGATGAATGACAAGTCTTTCTTAAATTCAAAAGATTTCTTTCACCATAAAATTCTCATTTACTTTATATAGTGATAACATTTTGAATTCGGAAAATTTTAGCCTAGTCATATGCCACCCCTGTAATTTAATATAAAGAAATTGAGGTCCAGGAAATTAAGTGCTTTGTCCAAGACTATGGATCAGAACTTATGATTCTTTTTAAATTTTTTATTTTTTTAACTTTTAAGTTCAGAGGTACATGTGCAAGATGCGCAGTTTGTTACGTAGGTAAATGTGTATCACAGGGGTTGGTTGTACGGAGTATTTCATCACCCAGGTATTAAGCCTCGTAACATTGGTTATATTTTCTGCTTTTCTCCCTCTCCCACCCTCCACCCTCCGATAGGCCCCAGTGTGTGTCTTTCCCCTCTGTGTGTCCGTGTGTTCTCATCATTTAGCTCCCACTTACAAGTGAGAACATGTGGTATTTGGTTTTCTTCAGAACTCATGATTTTTTTTTTTTTTTTTTTTTTTTGAGACGGAGTCTCGCTCTGTCGCCCAGGCTGGACTGCAGTGGCGCGATCTCGGCTCACTGCAAGCTCCGCCTCCCGTGTTCACGCCATTCTCCTGCCTCAGCCTCCCGAGTAGCTGGGACTACAGGCGCCCGCCACCACGCCCGGCTAATTTTTTTGTATTTTTAGTAGAGACGGGGTTTCACCGTGTTAGCCAGGATGGTCTCGATCTCCTGACCTCGTGATCTGCCCGCCTTGGCCTCCCAAAGTGCTGGGATTACAGGCGTGAGCCACCGCGCCCGGCCTGAATTAATAATTTTTAAAAATGCCTACTCCATAAGCAAATTATGGAGGACAGAAACCACTGCTTTTAAATGTCTTTTTCATGATGAAATATAAGTAATTCAGTAGATAGTAGGTTGAGAAATAAAGAAATATTTCCTTAATTAAGGCCTTCCATTTCTTCCCCTGCTAACTATTGTGAAGGGGTAACTATTGCATAGTTAGTACCTAGAAATCCCCCTGACTTCCAACACTTTTTATCTCAAAGGAATGGAGGTGAGGAGTTGGAGAAGATTCATGTGACCATCTTGTTCCTATCCCTGTCAGAATCTCTGAGCAATTAGGCATGATTAGAGAAATGCTGAAAAGTTCACTTGCCCAGAAATAGTTCGCTAGAGGTTTTTTGGTTTTTTTTCTTTTTTTTTTTGAGACGGAGTGTTGCTCTGTCGCCCAGGCTGGAGTGTAGTGGCGCAATCTCCGCTCACTGCAACCTCCGCCTCCCGGGTTCACGCCATTCTCCTGCCTCAGCCTCCTGAGTAGCTGGGACTACAGGCGCCCACCACCACGCCCGCTAATTTTTTGTATTTTTTAGTAGAGACGGGGTTTCACCGTGTTAGCCAGGATGGTCTAGATCTCCTGACCTCGTGATCCGCCCGCCTCTGCCTCCCAAAGTGCTGGGATTACAGGCGTGAGCCACCGTGCCCGGCCCTCGCTAGAGGATTTAACTCAGAAAAAATGACCAATGAATGATAGAAAATTGAATGCATGGATGCAAGTGTCCACCCGAATGCAAAATTCTCACAAATTTGGGTCCAGGTAATGATCTCTAGATTCATTTAAAAAATTGTTGGCAATTTTCACCAAAATACCATCATCTGTAGCAAGCTATACAAGATAGATGAGCATTTAATGCACACCAGATATGAATTGAACCTGATAATTCATCTGCTTTTCTTTCATTCTCCAGCATGGATTGGATGGTTGCTGTTATTTGACATGAAAATACTCATTTTATTAACAAGTGCAATGAAAAATTCAGTATAGTGTCTCAAGAACATATTAATTTCTCTATTTCAACAAAATAAGGAACAGTGCTAGAGAGTTATCTTCCCATTGTTTGACAGATAGGCTGGTAAACTGAAGTCTGCAGAGGTGAAGAGGCTTGCCGTTCCATAACAGAGGTGGGATACATATGCAACTCTCATAAAACCTAAACAAATTCTGTTCTATTGCATCGTTCTATAAAAATAGGGCACTTCTCTTGTGGTTTTGCTTGCTTAATTCTTTGTTCGACAATTGCAGGGACAAGACAGATGGTTGTTACCATTACCCAGATGTTTCTAAACAAGTAATTCTTGCTGCCATGCACGTTGAGCAGATGCCTTTTACATTGTTATGAATGTTGGGTTGAGAAGCAGGTCATTTCCAAAGAGAGCAGAGACTGCTTAAATCAGAAAATCACAGGGTCTCAGAGCTGGAAGTAGTGGTAGAAACCTTTATCTACCTCTTATTTACTAGACAAAGAAACTGAGGTGGAAAGAGGTTAAGAGACTAGGCCCAGGCCACACTGTTCTTGGCAAAGACAGGACAGAAAATCCAGAGATGTGTATTTTAAAATGTGTGTCAGTGATGAATTACAAAAATATAAAACATCACAAATTTTGAACAAAATTAAAGCACTAATTTTAGTTTGCCTATTATGGCAAAATAAGGGGAAAATAAGCCAGCTTCTATTAAGAAAGGAGTTTGGATGATCAAATTTTAAAAATGTAAACAAGAAAACCAAGTCTTCAAAATGATGACTAGTTCCTAGTGTAATAAACACTGTATGTTCAGATAGAAACATTACTTTGGATTCCAGCTAAGAAAAAGATTGTGTAAGAAATAAAGTGAGAAGCTAAGAATGCCAGGATGAGACTTAAACATTGTGGCAGCCTGACCCATGACTGATGAACAAACCCCTGGGGTGGTTTACTTCTTATTTCTTTATGTCTGAGATGTTAACTCTGAGAAAAATCATTTCCTTACCTTGCTGCTTAACACCCTAAATATTTGATTTGAATGTTTCTAATATGGCATCTTAATTATTTTAGCTTCCTTTATTTTTTGTTAAAATATGTACAAAGGTTTACATAATAATGAAGGCTTACATAACTATATACTAAAGCTTCATTTTAGTATTGTAGGAAAACGGCCTGTTGCATAGCAAGATGACCAATGTGTTCCTGTAGCATAGATAAACTCTCATAGAGATGCTTATCTAACCACCCCAGGGGTCATGAGTTTTGCAAGAAGGCCTGAGGCATGACTGGCTGCACATCTTTCCCTAAAATCTTGCTATATAAAAGATGCTTTCTGGAGGGCAGTTGCGGGGATCCACTGTCTCTCTGGCCGCCAGAGACATGGCTTCTGTTTGTAAGCCCTTATTGAATGTTTCTTTCTGAGAAACTGGACTTGTCAGCTTCTTTCATTGGCCTCTCAGCTTCCTTGGCCTTTGGGGGTAGGTTTGCATAGACCTGCTTACCTCAACCAAGTACACAGATCAGGAGATCCAATTTAAAACAACAAACTAACAAACCCCTATGGGATCAGAGAGACCAAGCTCAATACTGAAGTTAGGTTTTGGACTCAGAGACAAGCTTACCTGTAGGTTGAAAGCATGAAGCATGAAACCCAATGCATGGGCAATGTTCAGAATCTGTTGGTTTCAGCCCAGGATTGATAGTTGCAGTGCAATTTCAGCCATTATGCGCAAGCAGTGTCACATCCATTCAGCTGACAGGGGCGAGACACTAATCTCAGTGGGCATCCAGCAACTGAAACTGCAGCTGGCCTTGGGAAGTTTCTGCCAACTCTTTAAATCTTTACAGGTACAGAGTTGCTGCGGGTGACCAAACTTTGTAGCCAGTAAGATCATGAGAAAGTTAAGCAGTCTGTTACTTTGAGGGAATTTCCTTAGAAAAGAAGAGAAACCGATTTTTTTCTCCTTTCTGGTGAGAATGACTCACTTGGCAGAGCTGATTGCTTTAGGGCCCACTTGACATGACACCTTCCCCCTGCAAATGACTCTGGATATTATAACATACCTTCGTTTTCATTGATTTACTTTACTATCTTTAAAAACAACCCTCTAGGCCAGAAACATGTAGCTGCACTGCTATGTGTGTGTGTGTGTGTGTATGTGTGCACTGATTTTTACACAATTTCACAATGTCCTGGAAGTTTGTGGCCCCCTAGGTTGACATTCGGATCGCTCGAGCCAGTTGAATAGTTATATGACAATACATGATCTAACTTCTTTAACTGAAAACAAACCTAAAGTCATCACTGTTTTTGGACCAATAGGCATTGAGAAGTTGTAAGCTTGATCTTTTAAAAAATGGAGACATCCACTGACCAGCAGCTAATTCTGTGCAGCACTCCACAGCAGACAGGGAGAGGAGGGAAAGAGTTCTACAGGGAGAGCATTTTTCAGTCTCTAGCCTGCTGTTTACAAAGGAAGTGCTGGATGTCACTGTTCACAGCCTCCGTGTAGAACAGCTGCAGGGGGCTCCATGGTGCCTCCAGGAGCAATGTCCTCACCACTATTTACCCTCTAAAACATTAACTTGAAGTCAGTGGTTCATCTGTACCACAAGCACCAAGGGACTTGTTAAAAATGCAGATTCCTGGTCTGCATTCCAGACCCACTGAATCATGTAATAGGGACTAGAATCAATATTTTAAATAACACCTGAACTGATCCTTCTCAACAACAAAATCTGACAACCCATTTGAATCGGGTTTATTTCACAGCTTTTAAGTTCTAAAAAATGTACTAAAATAAGGTACTAAGCACATATGAAACATATACTTAACATGTATTTTACTTTCAATAATAATAGCATTAAGCCTGGGCAACATAGGGAGACCTCACCTCTACAAAAAAAAAAAAAAAAATTCAACCGGGCATGGTGTTGCATGCCTGTAGTCCCAGCTACTCATGAGGCTGAGGTGGGAGGTTGCTTGAACCTGGGAAGTTGAGGCTGCAGTGAGCCATGATCATTGTGCTACTGCACTCCAGCCTGGGTGAAAGAGCATGACTTTATCTCAAAAAAAAAAAAAAAAAAGAAAAAGAAAAAAGTGTTACCTGTTCCAGAATCTGATTGTTGTTTTTTTCAGGCTTTATTTACTTCCCTGTTCATGACCCTTGCTGGCATGGATGGCATTGTGGCCAAGCAGGATTGGGAGATGCTGGAGGGAGTACAGTTGGTATAAAAGGGGTACATGGAATAAAACATGTATTTCTTCTTAAGTCTACTGATTTAATGTAAATACAGATGTATGAGAATTTTCAGAGTCTCAAAGTCACCATGGTTTTTTGATATTATTTATAGGTACTAACATTTTAAAAAATGCAGTTTTTTTGAGATCAAATTTTCACTTTTCCTATTTGGGTGGCTATTTAAAGATGCATCCAGGCACAATTCAGACATACAAGATACTTCAGTTCAGTGGTTTCTTGAATTACACCTAAAATCCAAAGGAACGTGTTTCTGAAAGTGGCTGCCAATTTTTTTTTTTAAGAGGACAATCAGCACCATCTAGTGGACACAAATATCTCCTCTTCTAGAATTCGGACCCCTGAGGAGATGGAGGGCAGGCTTTGGAACCTAGGTTGGAATCCCGGTGCCAGTTAGTTCCCCAACGACCTTGGGACAATTACTTACCCTTTAGGTGCTCTGCTTCTCAACTCTAAATCCAGGTAATACTAGTGCCGACTCATAGAATGTTATGAATGAAGTGAAATGATGCTTGGAAGGCAAGTCTGAAACACTTTGTAAATGCAGTTTTTCAATAACACTAAGCATAGATTCACAGGACATGGGAACTATCCAGTGGTAAACACTATTATCTGCTCTCCAGTAGGAATGGCTATTATACACAAAATCCAGTGTGTAGAATCTACGATATGAGGCTTAATGAGATCCCTCTCCTACCATATTGTTACATTCGGTTGAAGTTTATGGTGAGGAAAGGGCAACCGGGGCAACAAGGCTGAAATGGTAGTTGGTGCCCAGATGGCAAACAATGCTCTTGCTCGCTTTCATTCATTCAAATCTGACTCCACTCGGAAGGAGGATGTCAAGAGTAGGGAGAGACTGCAAACAAAAACAAAAGCTAACTCCGAAACTAACACTGCCACTGCCATATGTCACCAACCTGGAATGAGACCAGGGAAATTTTAGCTTCAAATATCTTGACTCTAGAAGAAATTTTTATGAATGACTTTGAAGGGCACAACACTTTCCAGGATGTGTTTGCGATTTTTGAAAATGGAACTGCAGAAAACACAGTATAGACATTTGGTGCTCTCGGACTTATATCCCCGTGCTGTTTTGAGGGTGTCACCTGCAATAGCTGACACAGAAGTATCTGGGGAAATTAAAAACAAATACACAACAAATGCAATTTATTAAAGCTGGCCCTTAAGGCACACACAGCCTCTCGGCAGTTTACAAAATGGAAGCAGCAGGAGGTAAATAAACACGTGAGAGTGACACAGAGACAAAACAATTCAAAATGAGATAAATAGTTTTATGCAAATATAGTCAATAGGGACTTAGTCTGGAAAGGTTACAAACAGTGAAGAGACACAAAGTTTACGTGGAACCCGAATTTTATTTTCACTTGCTTTATATGCATCTTATGTTGCATTTTAAAAACAACAGTTAAAAAAATGAAAACAGCAGTAATCATAGGTCCGCTTTTTCTTAGTTCAGCCCCTTCCCCCCCCGAGAAATTGGGAAGGTATTGTTTTCTTAGTGGACACTATTAGTCACCAAATTAAAAACTGGAAAGAATGGCCTTCGTTTATGGTGTATGAGAACCGTGCAGGCACTTGGCAATGATCTCGTCTTGCCGCTAGGTAAACAGCGGTCGGTGGACGGGGAGCATTGGCATCATCTAGGAGCCTGTTAGTCTCAGGTCTCACCTGATACTGAATCAACATTTTTTTTTTTGAATCAGCATTTTTAACAAGATTCCTCGGTGATTTGTCTGCACATTAAAGTTGAGAAGGCCTAGATTCATTTGATCTCAGGTACACCCCTGGTTGTGTAGTTTATGAAGTCTCCCCAGGTGATTCTAATGCTCTGTGCAGTTAAGCACTGCAAAACTAGTCCAACTTCATTTTTCAAATGAAGAAACTGTGGCCCACAAAAGCTTATGTATTTACCTAAGATAACCTAGCTGTTTAATATCAAAATCCAAATAATGTCATCTCTCTTCTTCATAAAAAAATAAAGCAGGGTTGAGGGGACAGAGGGTAGGGAGTGTGGAGATGGGGATAATTATTTTATACAGGGTGGTTGGGAAAGGCCCTCCTGAGGAAGCGGACGCCTGAGGAAAGAGAGGAGCAAACCAGGTGGATAGCTGGGAAACTGTATTTCAGGCTGGTGTGTGTGTGTGTGTATTTGGACTGGAGGAACAACAAGTGTTTCCAAATTCCTGACAGATACTGATCTTTGGGATGCAGAAACAGGAAATCAGAATTACCAGCTGTTCTCAAAATCTTATTCTTAAAATATTCTCTACCTTCTTCATATTCTTTACTCATTATTACAAGTATCTGAAGCCTTTGTTTAAAAAATGAGAACTATTAAATTTAGAAGTGTTTACAAGAAGTGGGGTTTATAGCAAATATTCAAATGCTGGAAAACACAGAGAACATTATTGAGGAGTATTCAAATAATAGATCTCCTAGCAGGGTTAACTGTACTACCCAGAATCATGGGTTGGAAACTGTCAATTTAAGGATTTACTTTGAATCCAAAACCCGTTACTTTTTTGAACACTGCTCATAGAATTTGTATAAAGTATACAATGAGTATCAACCTATTTATATTTTATTTGCAAGAATGACTCACTGCCAGCGGCACACAGGGCCAGGAACATAGGCTTTCATGGCACCAACTACAAACAAGACTGACTGATGAGATTGTGGCCATGTCTCTCCCAAGTGCTCCTGACCTGGTTCCTGAAAATGTTCACCTCAACCTCGAACTCAGCATTTCCTGTGCTGGTTTTCAACTTGACATTGGTGAATTTCTTCAGTAACATCTCTAGGTCGGCTGCTAAGTTTTAATTCTCATAGGAGGATTAGGATACTTTCTCCCATTTTCTTCAGTTTGCAACTTTTTTTCTTTTGAGATTTGGAAAGCCACATAAATTCCCTGAGAAATGCTGGGAAGAAATCCCTGCACAGAAACACTAACAATGAGGACAGTGAGGCTGGAACCAGGTTTACCAGGGGAAAGCAGTAGGTAGGAGTGGAGGTCAGAGAGCCAACAGAAAGCCTTATCATTTAGAGATGATGTCAGTATGAACCTGAATGGAAGCACTGAAGTTGTGACGAATGTTTGGATTCTGAATATATTTTGAATGTTGAGCTGATAGGACAAATAGATTGTAGAGTGAGAGAGGAAGAAGAATTGAGGATGACTCCAAGGTTTTTGGTCTAGGCATGGCAGGCTGAAATTACCATTTGCTGAGATGGATAGAAAGTGGGTGGGGGACTCTGGAGAAGTTGTTTTTTCCCGTGTTAAGTTTGAGATGCTTACACATCTAAGTGGATATGCCAAATAGGCAGTTAGGTAAAGGAGTCTGGAGTTCAGGGAAGTCTGGGCTGGTGATAAGATGCAGGATTCAGGAGCATAGGGATGGCATTTATAGCCAGGTTTTTATACCCAGCACTCGCCTAGACTGCAGCTGTGTTCTTTCGGCAACTCAGCCTACGACTATTTGCTTCGCTGAAAAAAAACCACATCGTACCTAGTTAAAACAATGAGGACAAAGGGGCCATGAATGTGAAAATGCCCTGTAAACGGTAATGTGCTGTTCAGACTGGAAAGCAGGAGAAATGATGGCAATGGAGGTGAGGAAAATCAGTTTGTGGACGTAGGGAAATAATTTTCGTGCACTGAGAATTAGAGAAACTACGAAATGAAAGAAGGTGCAAAAAGCAATTATAACTCTTTTTGGACTGTAGCCGAATCTGTGCAAAACTCATATTTTTAAAATTTCCATAGCACCCCAAATTTACTAGAGCTTCACATACATGGTCTTTTTGAGCTGCACAAGTCTTGTAAGAAGGGAATTATTATTGTTCCCATTTTACGGAGGAGGAAACTGTGCTCGGAGAGGATAACTGACCTGTAAGGCATCACAGCAATATGAGGGACAGAGATACACAAGCATCCAGACGTCCGCGTTCCGAATCCAACCTAAAGACGAAAAATCGCTCCCAACCCCCACCGTCGGCAGCGAAGACGGAAGGACACACGCCGGCCGTCCCAGCTCGCAGGGCTCCAACAGCCGCCGGCCCCGGTCCCATTTCCGGATGGTACAGCCCTTTCCGCTATCGCGAGACCGGAAGCATCGCGCATCTGGTTGCCAGGGAAACAGCGGTCCCACAGGCAGGAGGGATCTGGACCGGCGGCTTCTTCCACTACCAGAGAGGCTGAGGTGGCGGGAGAGACCCCTCTCCTCTGGGGGTAAGTGGCTGGCGCGGCGAGTGTCTGCGGCGCGCTTCTGCGGCCATCTGCGCCCTGACTGACGGCGGCCAGTTCCTCGAGGAGGCCCGGCGGGAAGGTGAGGGGCCGCGCAGATGAGGGCGGAGCTCGGTCGCGGGGCGGTGCGCCGAGGAGTGGGCGGGGCGGAGCTGCGTCGGGCCGCTTGGCATGTAGATGGACTGTCAGGGAGAGCGGACAGGGCCAATGAGAGGGCGGGGGCGGGCTCATTGGGGGCGGGGCCCCAGCGGCTTCTGCCTCCGCGGAGGCTATTTCTCCAGGAATCACCTAACATTAGGACCTGTAACCAAGGCTTCTACTTTCCCGAGATTTGGATCTTCCCACCAAGATCTAGAACTGATCACCAGCCATTTAAACTAGACCGTAAACGGCAAAGGATGCAAATAGGCATTTCACAGGAAAAATAAAAAGATGCAAACAGCAAACAATTGATTAGAGACTCAACTTTTCTCGTGAAGAAATGTAAACCAAATTCACAGATACCTTTTACACCTATGAGACTGGAGAAGATGAAACAGCTTTGACATAACCAGATGGGCCCCAGCCCAGTGTAGGGGAAGTAGTGTAATTTGGTGCAGCCTTTTTGGAGTACAATTTGGCGAACTACCAAAATTTGAAACATAAGTGTTCTTTGACTCAGCAATTCTAATATATTTTATGGATGTATGAGCATAACTAAAGAAAGATTGGCACAAATATATTAACTTAAAATTGAGGTATAACTTACTTATGGTAAGCCTCACCCATTTAATCTACAGTTCTGTGAGTTTTGACAAATGTATACAGTTATGTAATTACCAACCACCACAATCAGCATACGGAAGTTTCATCATGAACCCCAAATTCCCTAGTGCTCTTTGTATTTAATCCCTCCCCTAACGCCATCCCTGGCAACAACTTCCTAGTTTTTTGTTCCTGTAATTTTGCCTATTCCAGAATGTCATATTGATGGAAGCAAACACCCTGTGGCCTTTTGAATCAGGCTTCTTTCAGCTTAGCATCATGCAGTTGCTATTCATTCATGTTCTGTGTATCAGTTGTTCCTTTATGTTGCTGAGTAATAGTCCATTGTATGGATCTACGGTAGTATATTTATCCATTTCCTACTTGAGGCATATTTGGATGAGTTCTTTCCAGTTGTTGGCTATTATTGATGAAGCTGGTATAAATATTCATGTACAGGTTTTTTTTTGTGTGTGTGAATATGTTTTCATTTCTTGGGTAAATATGAATGAGATTGTGGAGTCATATGGTAAATATATGTTTAACTTTATAAGAAACTGCTAAGCAGTTTTGAAAAGTGATGATTTTGCATTGTCATTGGCAATATGAGTGTTACAGTTGCTCTCCAACTTTGTCAGCACTTGGTATTGTCAGTTTTCTAAAAAATTAATTTTTGTCATTTGAATAGGTGTGTAGTGGTATCTCATTGTGATTTTTATTTTATTTTTTTGAGGGGTAATGATGTTGAACATCTTTTCATGTGCTCTTTTGCCATCCGTACATCATCTGGGGTGATGTGTGTGTCCAAATCCTTTGTTTTCTTGTTATTGAGTCTTGATACTTGTTTATATATTCTGGATATGAGTCCTTTGTCAGATATGTGTTTTGCAAATATTTGCTCCTAGTCTTTGGGTTTTGTTTTCCTTGTCTTAACATCTTTTGAAGACTACAAGTTTTAAATTTTGATGCCTTCCAATTTATCCATATTTTCTTTTATGAATCATGCCTTTGATGTTGTATCTAAGAAATTTTTGCCTAACCCACAGTCACATGTATTTTTTAGAAATTTTATAGTTTTGGCCAGGCACGGTGGCTCACCCCTGTAATCCCAGCACTTTGACAGGCTGAGGCAGGCAGATCACTTGAGGTCAGGGGTTCGAGACCAGCCTGGCCAACATAGTGAAACCTGTCTTTACTACAAATACAATAACAATAACAACGACAAAAAGAAAATTTTATAGTGTGAAGTTTTACTTTAGGTCTGTGATACATTTTGAGCAAGTTTTAGAATTGCTTTTAATAGCAAATATTCTATATACCACCTAAGTGAACTGATGAAAAAAGTGCTGCATCTATGGGATATTATGCTGTTGTTTGAAAGCATGACGTATATCTATAAATGGTGATATAGAAAAATAGATAAAATAAATTTTTTTTTCTTTTTTTGACACGGAGTCTCGCTCTGTTGCCCAGGCCGGAGTGGTGCAATCTCGGCTCACTGCAAGCTCCGCCTCCCGGGTTCAGGCCATTCTCCTGCCTTAGCCTCCCGAGTAGCTGGGACTACAGGCGCCCATCACCACTCCCGGCTAATTTTTTTGTATTTTTAGTAGAGACGGGGTTTCACCGTGTTAGCCAGGGTGTTCTTGATCCTCCTGACCTCGTGATCTGCCCGCCTCGGCCTCCCAAAGTGCTGGGATTACAGGCGTGAGCCACCGCGCCTGGCCAAAATTGATTGTTAATTGTGAAAAAGCAAGTTGCAAAGCACCATGCCATTTGTATGTGTGTCTGCGTTGGGGAGGAGTCGATGGGTATAAAAGATAGAAGGTTTGCATATGCCTAAAAAAATGAGACCTGCAAGTCTCTATTAACACTAATTCTTGGGATAAGCCGAATTTTGACTTAAAACATTTTGATATTCACCTGTATTATTTGATGTTTTTTCTGCATGGGCAAGTATTCCTTACAGATACACAAATATATAAAGTAAAAAAACTGACCATACATAAATAATTTTTAGACATAAAAATAATGAAACTAAATCAGTCCCACTTTTTAAAGTCTTGCTACTCATAATGACTAAACAGAGGAGGATTCATTTTCTTTTGATTCTTTTATTCACCTCAAAATACCAAATTATAGCAGCCATATGTCCCCATTTTGGCTTTAAATCATCTATGTTGATTGCATTTCTCAGAAGCCTCTATGAAAAACTTTAATCTTGTTTGAAATGAATGTTATATAAGTTGGCACTTGTTACAGTTTAGAATCTGGTCATATATCTAATCTATTTAATCAAGTATCATGAAGTAAATATGATTCTATTTTGAAGTGTTTTAATGTCATAAGAAAATGCTCATTATGTACTGGTGAAAAACACATTAGTCCAATTTTGTTGAAAAAGACAGAGCAAAAATGGGAAAGATGTACCAATAGCGTATAGCTCAGGGTGGTGGGATGTTGGGTGATTTTTATTTCTTTTCAAATACCTTTTAGTACATTCTAGAGATCTTTCTATAATAAATGAATTCTTTAGTTATAAATACAAGATATAGTTAATAGAAAAACAGAAAATACAGATAAGCAAGGGGACAAGAACATCCAGAAACCCACCAATCCAGAACCCACTACTCTTACTTCCTTGATGTGTCATCATCTTTCAGGTCCCTTTGTGTATATTCCTTTAATAAGAGAAGTTGGACTTTTTAAAGCAGGATTATTGGCAACTTGTATGTCTTTCTCTATTTTTTTTGATATGTGCATTTCTGTTTAAAATCTTTACCCAGTTTTCTATTAGAATTTTCTTTTCTTACTGATTGGTAAGAGCTCTATAAATATGTGAATATATTAACCTTTTGTATATCATCTTTGTTGCATTTATTTCCCCAGTTTCTCAGGTTCCTTTTAATTTCACTTAGAGTTCTTTTTCATGTTTGAGATTCAAGAGCATTAACTATTACGTAGCCACATCTGTTAGTCTTTTCCTTTTTGATTTATATTCTTAGTATCACGCTTACTAAGTCATTAATTCCATAATTATGAAATTTATCTTTACATTTATGTTTATAAATTTATCTTTATGTTCCTTCCAGTCTGTTAGAGATTTCATATTTTTTATTACTTATAAAATTAGTTTTTACTTTTATTAAAGTATTATGTTTAACTGTTGTTTGGCTTTATCAATTTCTGGACAGTCTCTTTGATTTCCTGTGGTAACAGATTACATTTCTGATACTACTCGCTTCCTTTTGTGCACTCCTCACGAACACTCAATATAATTAAGGCATAATATTTGGTTAAATCAACATTCAATGCTTACGTAATTATAACTATTTACATATTGATTGCTTTTTTCTTGTACAATGCTTTATTTTTCTTGTGGAATTTCTTTGTGGCAGTTGCAATTTCTTCTCAAATGCTTAAATACATCTATAAGATCCAATTTTAATACCCTTTACCAATACCTTTTTCTAGATGGCCAAATTCATAAGATAGTCTGTTATTGAGTCCCCACCTACCTCAGGAACTGCATTTTATTTAATTTATTATTTTCAGGAGTGAACCTAATAGAACAGACCTATTTCTAGAGCAAAATGAAAGATTTGTGGAGCTCTTTAGCTGATCCAGGTCATTGTTGGTTGCCTGTGCCTGTGCCTTTATTGACATGTATTATGCGGTTCTGCGCATGCTTCCATCTCATTGCTCCCTCTGCAAGCTGTAATAAGTCTCCCTTGACAGGCTGCTTAGGGCGTTTACAAGACATTTGGCCTTTTGGTGACTTATGCTTTTTGGTTTTGATGTGAGGGGCCAGGGTGATCCATCATCCCACAATAATAATGTCAGTGCTTTCCTGAGTGAGCCCAAACTCTTTTGCAGAGTTTGAATAATGTTGAGATCAATGCTTTTTTCATCTGCTGAGATGGGAAGAGCTGACCTCCTGATCTCTTAAACATAAGCTTTGGCACCTTGAATGGTTGGAAGCCAAGCCGTAACATCGCTCTGTGTACCTAGGTGAAGCCTCAGGTTGTTTATATTTGTGCTTTCTCCTGTGTCCACAGCTTCTCTGGACCCTGCCTCTGCTGTTCAAAAAAGCAAAAGAAAGATGAGTCATTTTGTAGGGTAAGAAAAGGACATTGTTGGGTAGAGGCAATTGCCTTTTTCATTCTGTTATGGTTGAATGTATAATTGATAGGAATTTAGGAAAGGATTTGTTGGAAGACACCCATTCACATGTAAATCCGAGTATGAGAGGGCAAAAGCTGGAATTACCCTCTTTCTTCCATTTGACTCAGCATGCGTGTTGCCCCAGTGTCACAGGACAGATCTGGAATGGTCTTAGTCAGCCACACAGTTTGGAAGGATCAATGTGCCTGCATCGCTCACTGTGTCTCTGTAGCTTATGCCACCCTGCCTAGTATTTCTTGCTTCCGGAAATAGCACTAGTTATAGAGCAGCCAGGGTGGTGAGAAGCCTGTGGATATATCACATGAAGAATAGTTAAATAGATTGGTAATGTGTAGCCAGATAATGAAAATCTGTCCTTTAATAAAGGAAGTAGGTTTTGTTCTCTTGCTTCAGAGGGCAGAAATAGAATTATGGGTTTTAGAAGGGGAGGGTTGATAAAATGAGAGCAGTGCCTGGAGATAGGTACTCCATGAAAATGCAGCCCCACGGGGGAGAGGAGAAATCAGAGCTGAGAGGGAAGAAGGCTGAACTAGAGTGGACAAGGCTAGAAAAAAGAAGGCAAAACCGAAAGAAAGTAGCAGGGGGACTTTGGGAGACCGAGGTGGGCGGATCACCTGAGGTCAGGAGTTTGACACCAACCTGGCCAACATGGCGAAACCCCGTCTCTACTAAAAAAAAAAAATACTATAATTAGCTGGGCGTGGTGGCGGGCTCCTGTAATCCCAGCTACTTGGGAGGCTGAGGCAGGGAGAATTGCTTGAACCTGGGAGGCAGAGGTTGCAGGGAGCCAAGATCGCGACACTGCACTCCAGCCTGGGTGACAGAGTGAGACTCATTTTCAAAAAAAAAGAGAAAGTAGCAGGAGGGCCTTAGCAAATCATTAAGATGAAGTGGATCTTGCTTGAGAGACGGGTGCCCCTGAGTGTTCCCTCGGGGAAGACCAGGGACATGTAAATGTTTTTTCCTGGAGGCCCAGGAAGCAACCAAGATGGCATTCACTTCTGTGTTCTCTTCTAGCCATATTCAGTATCTAACATCCTGGGCAGTATATTTTATGCATACTGTGGCATAAGATTGAACAATCCATGTACACAAGATGTCTTTTGGTGAAGCTGGGGAACCCTTAAGTGTGACTTCAGTAGCAACATAATCTTTAAAACAAAGCCTCTGAGTAATTGGATATTAATACTAACTAATGAAAGATTTAAATATCCGAGTCGCTTGGTATTAAATATTTTATTTGTTGTTTCAGGATTTCAATGGATATTATAAAGGGAAACCTAGATGGAATTTCAAAACCAGCTTCAAATTCAAGAATACGCCCTGGGAGCAGAAGTTCAAATGCTTCTTTGGAGGTGCTCTCAACAGAACCAGGATCCTTCAAGGTAATTTACGTTTAGAAAAGATTTAAACTCCTTTCCCCAACCTCTCAGCAGTTGATGAAACTAAGGTTGTTGTTAACATCCCATTTTAAATTTTCTCCTTAGACGGTGTGTTTGGGGAGCACTTGCAGATTTCTTGGATTTTAATCTAGATTAATATGAAAAAACTCTACTCCATTCCTTCCCTCCCTCCCTCCCTCCCTCTCTCTCCTCCCTCCGCCCCTCCCCTCCCTCTGCTCCTCCCCTCCCTCTGCTCCTCCCCTCCCTCCCTCCCACCTTCCTTTTTTTCCTTTCTTTTTTTGGAGTGTGGTTTATTTCTCTGCACTGTACTTTGTTAAAACTTGTGTATCGACTCTTTTTTTCTTTATAAGGAAGTTTTGTATTCCAACATCTAATATACCACCACTGACTTTTACTAAAAACACTTACTCAAAAAGATTCAGTATTTTAAAAAAACCGTTTGGTAAAGGCCATGTGATGTATATTGGGTAGGTATATTGTATTAGTCCTTTCTCACATTGCTATAAAAGAACTACCTGAGACTGGGTAATTTATAAAGAAAAGAGGTTTGCATGGTTCCACAGGCTGTACAGGAAGCATGGCTGGGGAGGCATCAGGAAACTTAGAATCATGGCGGAAGGTGAAGGGGAAGCTGGCACATCCTACATGGTTGGAGCAGGAGAGAGAGAGAGTGAAGGAGGAGGTGCTACACACTTTCAAACAACCAAATTTCATGAGAACACTGTCAGAAGAACAGCAATGATTCAGTCACCTACCACCAGGCCCCTCCTCCGACACTGGGAATTACAATTCGACATGAGATTTGGGTGGGGACACAGAGTCAAAACATATCAGATATTATCTGGCTGTGACCTTATTTTTTTTTTCTTCAGCAGTCCCTTTTTTTTCCTTAAAATATCTAGACTTCTAGACTTGATTTTTTTACTTAAAGCATTAGTTTTCTCATTTATTTCTTTTAAGGTTTTAGGAAATGAATAATTGAACATTATAATGAAAAATTTTGGCAAGTTAATGAATTCATACTCATTTTTTTTTTGTTTGTAGACTAGATTCTGCATTATGGAACTCTTAGAATTCTGTCTGTCATGATGTGGTTCAGGAATAGCATTCTATGTATTTCAAGCAGAAGGGGATTGAATACAAGAGTTAAAGCCTGGGCAACATTGTGAGACCCTGAGTCTACAAAAAATTAAAAAAATTAGCAGGACATGGTGGCACATGCCTGTAGTCCCAGCTACTTGGGAGGCTGAGGCAAGAGGATAGCTTGATTTCAGGAGTTCAAGGCTGCAATGAGTTGTGATTGTGCCACTGCACTGCAGCTTGGGTGACAGAGTGAAACTGTGTTCCCCCTCCACCTCCCCCACTGCAAAAAAGAGTTTAGTTCCTCAAAATCAACAGAAGACCTCAAAATCAACAGGTGACCAGCAAGAAAGGGAGTTCAGGGAGGGGCTATACCTGGATTATGGGTTCTCAGGTCACGCCACCAGAGCTGTAATCCAGAGATCAGAAAGTTGCTGCTGCTGCTTCCGCCACTGCCACAAGTCCCTCAGAACCACAAAGCTGGTGACTAGACATGCAGAGATGGCTGCCTTTGATATTTTTCTGCCAGCTTCCTATCAGGAACTTAGGACGATGCTTCTACCTCACATCTGCTTTCTAAATCTTGTGCAGGTTCATCTAATTGGATTATCCTAACGTACGTCCAGAACCCTAGCTATAAGTGACTTTGTACAAAATATAGTTTTGTTTCATCTAGTCCTGCATCATTACTATATGGTGTGTTAACTCTTACAGCTTTGTAATAATTACTGATATCTGATAGTGGCTCTTCCATATTGTTTGTTTTCAGGACTGTCTTAACTATCCTTGGCTTTTTGCTCCTCTGTATGTATTTTTTTTTTTTTTTGAGTCTTGCTCTTTTGCCCAGGCTGGAATGCAATGGTGTGATCTTGGCTCACTACAACCTCTGCCTCCTGGGTTCAAGTGATTCTCCTGTCAGCCTCCCGAATAGCCGGGGCTACAGGCACACACCAATAGGCACACCTAATTTTTCTATTTTTAGTAGATATGGGGTTTCACCATATTGGCCAGGCTAGTCTTGAACTCCTGACCTCAGGCGATCCACATGCCTTGGCCTCCCAAAGTGCTGGGATTACAGGCATGAGCCACTGCGTCTGGCCTATATGTGCTTTAGATCAGTTTTTTAAGTTCTGAAAAATCCGGTTGGGGTTTTGATTGAAATTGCTTTGACTTTACAGATTAATTTGGGGAGAATTTCTAACTTTGTGATATTAAATCTTGTCATGTATTAATATTGTATCTCAGTTGATCTATTAACTTTTAATTTTTAGTTAAAAAAAGTCACATACAATAAAATTCACTTTTTTGGTGTATAGTTCTATGAGTTTTGGAAGATAGATTGAGTGATATAACTACCATTACAATCAAGATATGGAGCAGTTTGTTCCATCATCCCTGAAAACATTTTTTCATTCTATTCCTTTGCAGATAATCCCATGTCACCCTTAATCCCTTACAATTACTGATCTATTCCCTGTCTCTCTTCTTTTTCCTTTTCCAGAAGTTTGTATAAATGGAATCATACAGTATGTAGCTTTTCACGCTGGCTTTTATCTCCTAGCATACTTAATACATTTGAGATTCATCCATGTTAATACATGTGGCTGATTTCCTTTTTAAAAAATTTTAAGTAGAGACAGGGGTCTCACTATGTTGTCCAGGCTGCAAATTTTAGAGTAGCATAGAATTAGTATTCCTGCTTATTTATTTCTGGGTGACAATTTTTTTAAGCAGCAACTTCATGATATTGATAACTTACACATATTTTAATACACAGATTAATATTACTTCATTCAAGACTTATTAAAAGGAGAATATCAGTGATCACGTAAACTCAGATTTTATTTGAACCTACTAAGCTACAGGTTAAACTCTAGAATATTTATTAGCCAATCTGGACTTTGGCACTTATATTGAAAGCAAAGTTTTCAAAGTTGTGATTTGTGTTAATCAAGTTCATAGAAAGTCAGTAAGGTTCACCTTAGATTGGGGAAGAAAGCTACAAATATATTGTATGCTGACTGCTGATTGCAAATCATTCAGCATCTAGAAAACCTTACATATTGTTTGACTAATAAATCTTGGTGTGCTAGTTAGTTTTATTGCTCAGATTTGTCTTTTATTAAATTCTTACCAAAGATTTTTTTCACAGCAGAAAATGAGCTTAAAATATTAGTGTTTTAGTGACATGTATTTAGTGATAATATATTTCTCATTCTAAAAATTTTGGCTTGTTGTTGCTTATTAATTTTTTTTTTAAAGAGCCAGTAGTTGTATTTTGTGTAAAAATCCCATGGGTTTCAAGTAGGAATCTAAATACTAGTAAGGGGTTTCATGAGGTATTTGCGTTTCCTGTGATTAAGATAAAGGTATGGAATGGGGGAAGTGGAGCCATGAAAAATGGAGGTGGGGCTGGGCACGGTGGCTCACGCCTGTAACCCCAGCACTGTGGGAGGCCGAAGTGGGCAGATCACTTGAACCCAGGAGTTCGAGACCAGCCTGGCCAACATGGTGAAACCCCGTCTCTACTAAAAATACAAAAATTAGCTGGGTGTGGTGGTGGGTGCCTGTAATCCCAGCTACTCGGGAGGCTGAGGCAGAAGAATTGCTTGAACCCGGGAGATGGAGGCTGCAGTGAGCCGATATCGCACCACTGCACTCCAGCCTGAGCGACAGAGTGAGACACCACCTCAAAAAATAAAAATAGGCTGGGCACGGTGGCTCACATCTGTAATCTCAGCACTTTGGGAGGCCAAGGAGGGTGGGTTGCTTGAGCCCAGGAGTTTGAGACCAGCCTAGGCAATATGGTGAAATCCCATTTCTATTAAAAAATACAAAAATTAGCTGGGTGTGGTGGCATGCGCCTGTGGTTCCAGCTAGTCAGGGAGGCTGAGGTGGGAGGATCGCTTGAGCCCAGGAGGTCGAGGCTGCAGTGAGCCATGATCATGCCACTGCACTCCAGCCTTGGTGACAGAGTGAGACCCTGTCCAAATGTATATATATATTTATACAGAGATGGGATGTGATGTTAAGAATGAGGAAGAGAGAAAAATCATGCATATAGGCCACAGAGCAGAAGAGCAGGGGGTTAGGAATAGAGAGGCCAGTGGGCAATGGGTTGGGGAAGACAGTTGGTAGCTAGTGGGGTGGGAAACTATGGGAAAATTTGTGAAATTTGCCTAGTTCTCCAGCTTCACCTTTGTACCTCATTACCTTCTGCTCTTTCTGAGTTAGGATCATATGAGATGATGGATGTGAAAGGTCTTGGGGTACGCTGAAGTGTGCTATCCATCTAGTTATGTTTTGTATATTCTTTATTCCCCCATGTGAAACCCAGCCGCAGAGGAAGGTCTGCTAAGTTGCTTTATACCAATATAAATGACAGGCAGAACTTGTGTGACTTCTCCCAGAAATGTTAGCATTTTCACAGGACGGAAGGCCTTAAGGATTAACTGGATATTGTGGAATTACAGACTTTTTCTGGCATTTGGCAGAAATATGTTTTTGAACAGGGAACCCTGTTTAACCACCTCCTGGATTACATAAAGTAGACACTATTTTGCTTATTTATAAATTGGGCCTTCACTAGTTTCGTTTTCTGCTAGGTCTGTTTTCTTCTCTGTTAATTCATGGTAGAGAAACTTACACCATAGGGTCATTGTGGGAAGCGAATGAGGCAGGCCATGACTGATAGTAATTCTTCAATAAATGATGGCTATGATTATTACCACTGAGTCAGCTCAGTTCCGCTGGGTTTATGTCCTGGCTCAGGCAGGGACATACTCACGCAGGCCTGCATTCCTGGCAGTTTCATTCTCAGCACTGTCCATCTTCCACCCTGGGGATTCACGAGGGGACTGCAGATTGTGGTGGAGAGTTGAACATGTGGTGCAGAGAAAACACAAAACCTACAGAGGGCTGAGAGCAGATGGGCTGGAGGAGACAGTCTCTCTGTTGGGAGGGGAAAGGTGCTTCTTTGAGAAAGGGCTGACTCTCTCTCTTTAAGGTCTTTCCTGTCTCCCTTGGGCTGTGTTAACTTCTGAAGTGATTTTCATCACAGTTTACAAACCCCAGGGCCTATGATCCCTGCTTTTCCCTCACCCGGCCATGGAGGTCCTTTTCTGTTCTCTCTTAGGAAAACACAGCTGTGTCAATTGGTGTTTTCAAAATGAACTTTGCTAAAATATAAAGGGAAACTAAAATGAAATAGAAAAACTGTGAATAACATAGAAATAAATAAATGACCAAAGCACAGGGTTCTGATTAGGAGACTCTCCCTAGAAAGCACATCTCAACTCAGACTATCCACTTTTCAACCATTCTGTAGCCACATGTGGCAAGTGGCTGTCGTATTAGACCTTTGACTGCCCATCCCAGTGTGAGCTCAAGGAGCAGGCCCGTCTGCCTTATCCCAGAGCCCGGCAGATAGCAGTTCCCTTCAGGACTGATGTAGACTCTTCTCCATTATTGCTAGGGATTGCTGGAGAATGGTGCAAATGTTATTACATGGAATTGTGTAGTTAAATTACATTTAATTAGAGTGTTATATTTCTAGAATACTTTAATGCTAGTGTATGCATTTATGTACATTCTCCATCTGCTTCCATTAGTGTCAAAATATTCTAGAAATGTAAAGTTTAAAAAAAGACAGTATTTTCGGAAACTGTTTTTTTTTTGAAATTATTTTTAGGTCGATACTGCAAGCAACTTGAACTCTGGTAAAGAGGACCACTCCGAAAGCAGTAATACAGAGAACAGAAGAACTAGTAATGATGATAAGCAGGAAAGCTGCTCTGAGAAAATAAAATTGGCTGAAGAGGGATCAGATGAAGATCTGGATTTGGTTCAACATCAGATAATCTCTGAGTGTTCAGGTAGGATAATCACTAGGTGATTGGCTAATGATAATTACAAATGTTAATGATTATTACAAATGTTATATTTAAGGTGTTAGTATTACCTGTGTTTTTATCAACTAAATATAAATAATAAACCAAAAAAAAGACATAGACTATTTGTGAGCAAGCAATCACTTTTTATTTATAACAATATTAAGAGCCCTTAAATATATTAGAAATATAACAAAATATGTCATTTAATAAAATTGTGGTCATTGTGCATTAATCAAGTAGGGAGTATTTCTGCATTTTTTGATGCAATTTATTGATTTTTTGATGACTAAAATTGTACAATATAATATATGCTCTAATTTATAGGGATAGTCCCACCCAATAACATTTGGATTTTCAAAGATGACATTTTTTATGCTGGTAAATTAATTCTAGTCAGATTGAATTAGAATAGTGTTTCTCAAAAAGTGGTCTGCAGAGCCCTGGGGGTATGGTGGGAGATGGTGTCCCTGAGACCCTTGCAGGGGCTCTGCAAGGTAAAAGCTGTTTTCATAGTAATGCTGAGATGCTATTTGCCTTTGTGTCCACCATACTGACATTTGCACTGATGGTATAAAAGGAATGGTGGGCAAAATTGCTGGTGCTTTATCATGAATCAGGACAATGGCACCAAAATGTACTAGTAGTCATTGTATTCTTTGCAACCAGGCACTGGCAGGAAAAAGACATAGCCAGTGTCACTGGCTATGAATCAGTAAAAACTATCAATTTTATGAAATTTTGACCCTTAAATATGCATCTTCTTAACATCCTGTGGGGAAAAATGGGAAGTATACATAAAGCAATTATGCTGTGTACCGAAGTTTGAGGTTGTGTTGAAGAAAAGTACTTTTGTGATGGTTGGAGTTGAGAGCTGAACTGGCCACTTTTATAATGGAACACCGTTTTTACTTGAAAGAATGACTGACAAACAATTCTCATTCAGATGGGTATCTGGTAGACTTCTTTTTAAGAAAATAAACATGTTACTTCGAGGATAACTACTGACAGTATTTGTTGCCAATGGTAAAATTTGAGCTTTGAAGTGAAAATTACAGTTTTGGAAAACTGCATATGTCACTGTGAGGTTGATAGCTTTCCAGTACTTAGACTTTTCTTTTTTTTTTTTTTTTGAGACGGAGTCTCGCTCTGTCGCCCAGGCTGGAGTGCAGTGGCGCGATCTCGGCTCACTGCAAGCTCTGCCTCCCGGGTTCACGCCATTCTCCTGCCTCAGCCTCCCGAGTAGCTGGGACTACAGGCGCCCGCTACCACGCCCGGCTAATTTTTTGTATTTTTAGTAGAGACGGGGTTTCACCGTGTTAGCCAGGATGGTCTCGATCTCCTGACCTCGTGATCTGCCCGCCTCGGCCTCCCAAAGTGCTGGGATTACAGGCGTGAGCCACCGCGCCCGGCCCTTAGACTTTTCTTATAAAAATTGGTGGCAATATTAACTGATGCCGTTGTGTAATGAAATGTGTTAAGAGGTTGAAGGTCTGCATAATTTAGTTAACCACTTTTTTCCAAATGATTAATGTAGGATAAAAGATCCATTCAATGTAAAATATAGATCCATGGATTTTAATGGAACAAATACATAAAGCTCACTGATTTGATTACAGGTTTCACTTAACAGTTAACCTGTAGGAAACCACCCCTGTTAAGTTTTGGTGTAGTATCAAAGAAGACTGTCCAATTATCTGAATAGGCTATTAAGTTTCTTCTTCCTGTTTTAACCACTTGTCTGTGTGAGGCCAAATTTTCTGCATATACTTTAGCCAAAACAACAGATTACAATAGGATGACTGTCTTCCTATGAGAATATGAGAATCCACCTGTCTTCCCTTCATCCAGATATTACAAATTTAAACAATACCACTCTTCTCACTAATTTGTTTGAGAATATAGTTATTTGTTATAAAATGTGATACTTATGTTAACATAATTAGTAATAGCATGTTTTTTATTTTTGAAAGTGAATTAATAAGTAAATATTTACTTTTCAGTGTTGATTTCTAATATGTTCATTATCAATAGCTATAACTCACATAAGAAAAGTTAAACTATTTTTAAGGCCGTAAAGGGGAGCTGAGAAAAAGTTTGAGAGCTGTGATTTAGAGTATGTTTGGGATGAGATCAACTCTCACTGTTAGGTCAGGTGACTCAGGATTATGGTTTTCAGGAAACAAAGTGGAATGGGAGATTTCCCTTATCGCCCTTGAAGGACGTGTGACAAGGGTACGGCTCACTTCTTCAGTGCTTCCCTGCTCAAACCCCTAGAGGGGGCAGGCAGATGAGCAGGTGCAGAGGCCATGGGGAGTGCTTTTGGGCTCTGATCCCATGGCAGTGTCTAAGGGTGAGTGTTTACAACTCCCAAATCCCAAGTGGGAGTGTTCCAGTGTGCTCTTTCAGCTTTGCCGTCTGCTGGCGGCTTGTGTTAATCAGCTCAATGAGACCCTCTGCCTTATGACAAGGGCAGAGGGCTTTCTGTATCCTGGGTTCTTGCCCTGGTATACCAGAAGAATCGAATCACATGTTGGCTTGGAGGATGAGTGCAAGGTTTTATTGAGTGGTAGAGGTAGCTCTCAGTGAGATGGATGGGGAGCTGGAACGGGGATGGAGTGGGAAGGTGGTCTTCCCCTGGAGTCAGGCTGCCCAGTGGCTGAACTGTCCTCTGACTGCCTCTGGCTGAACTCACCTTCGCATCTGCATCGTTCCGTAGTCACTGGTTTGCCAGTGTCTGCTGGTGTGTTCCTCTGCTCCTCTCAACGTCCAGCCACTTGTGTCTTGTACGCTTAAGGTCTCGGGTTTATATGGGCACAGGATGGGGGCATGGCAGGCCAGACTGGGCTTGGAAAATGCAACATTTGGGCATGAAAATAGGAGTGCCTGTTCTCACTTAGGTCCATGGGCACAGGCCCAAGGGTGGAGCCCTCGCCAGGGACTCTACCTTTCTCTACCCAGCACTTCCCTGTCCCCTTCCTGTCTCAAAGATATTATAATTGAAATTAGCTGCTGACACAGTTTACATTGGATTTGTTTATATTGTTTTAGTACTGCATGAGTTACTTCAAAATGCCCGCTATATAGACTACCTATGTTCACGGAGCCTGAGAATGCTAGGATTGGCAGTTGGGAATGAGAACTAGAAGGTGTTGCTTTTGAAGTACATAAGCAATAAGATTCAAGGAACCTCCTTATTAATAATATCCTTTTTGGATAAGTTGCTTTCCTCTTTCTTTTTTTCCTCTAAGAGGAAATGATGGAATTGAGAGCAGTAGCTCACACCTGTAATCCCAGCATTTGGGAGGCCCAGGCAGGAGTATCACTTAAGCCCAGGAGTTTAAAACCAGCCTGGGCACCATAGTGAGACCCCCATCTCTACAAAAATTTTTTTAAAAAATTATCCAGGTATGGTGACATGCACCTGTAGTCCTGGCTCTGGCTGTTCAGAAGCTGATGTGGGAGGATTGCTTGAGCCCAGGCGTTCGAGGTTGCAGTGAGCTATGATCATGCCACCACACTTCAGCCTGAGTGACAGAATGAGATCCTGTCTCTTAAAAAAAGAAGAAGAAGAAGAAGTGATGCACATTATAGAGAAACATCACTTAACCCTTTGGGTTTTCAAAAGTTGATAAATTTGGCCTTACTTAGCACAATATGCCACTTCTAATGATCTAATCTGGGGTGGCTGAGACTTACTGTTTGAGCATTCATGCTCATTCATTGCTGGATTATCAGCTTTCATCAGATTTAAATGGAGAGAATATTATCTGTGGCTAAGAGGCTAAGAACTTTGGCTCTGCAGTCAGACAGATTTGGGTGGAACCTGACTGGCATTTACCAGTTATATGACCTTGGACATACGTGTAACTCAGTTAAAAATTAGCTTCAGTTTACTAATTTGTAAAATGAGAACAGTGATTATACCACCTCAGAGGGTTAATATGAGCATTAAATGATATAAAGTTTAAAAATAAAGCACTTAAAACTGTGCCTATCAGGTAACTCTATAAATGTTAGTTATTATTATCGTTAATCATAAGTTAATGACAGAAGTTCTAAAGAGTCCTTAATTTCAAATAAGTGACTATCAATTGTACTTTAAGAAATTAGAACAAAAGAAGCAGCATAGAAAAAAGATACAAGCTACATAGAGTACTTGTTTTGAGTTTTTTTCTTTCTATATGTTGCAACCACTTTGTGTCACTGAAGACTTACGGCTTTCTACTGTAGCCATTTGTGTACACGCCTTCTCTTTCAGTTAGTCTGAAGCAGCTTTAGGACAGGATTCTTGTCTTATTCCTTATTTCCTATTTTTTAGTCATGAACATAGAAAGTATAACAGAATGAAGGAGAAAGAATTTGGGATTTAAAATCACGAGGATCACTTCTGAGTCCAGTGCTATAATTTGTTACATATTTGAAAGGACCCAGTTATCTCAACTGTAAAATAGAGATAAATGTCTGTTTCATAGGGTTGTTAGATAATTATATAGACAAACACATGTGAAAGCACCTTGTAAATTGAGATACATGGTACCAATGTAGTAGTTATTACTATCAGCTATAAATATTTGTTGAATGAAAGAACAAATTGTAAGAACAAAACAAAACTTTATAGTTTTACTATACTTCAAACCTATTTTTACTTTCAACACAATATAGATGAACCCAAATTAAAAGAATTAGATTCTCAACTTCAAGATGCTATTCAGAAGATGAAAAAACTTGATAAAATATTGGCAAAGAAACAACGCAGAGAAAAAGAAATTAAGAAGCAAGGTCTAGAAATGAGAATAAAGCTGTGGGAAGAAATTAAGGTAAGAATTATCTAACCTTATGCTGACATGTAAGAAATAAATTCTCCTGGCTGGGCATGGTGGCTCACACCTGTAATCCCAGCACTTAGGGAGGCTGAGGCAGGAGGATTGCTTGAGGCCAGGAGTTTGAGACCAGCCTGGACAACATAAAGAGACCCCATCTGTACAAAAAAAACCTAAAAAATTAGCCAGGCATGGTAGTACGTGCTTGTTGCCCTAGCTACTTGGGAGGCTGAGGTGGGAGGATCCCTTGAGCCCAGGAGTTCAATGCTATGCAGTAGCTATGATCATGTCACTGCACTCCAGCCTGGCTGACAGAGCAAGACACTCAAAAAAAAAAAAAAAAAAAAGAAAGAATTTCCTCTAAGATGAGTAAGAAAATCATGGACCATGGTGTTACTGTGGCCTGCCTTGATTGCTTTATTTTGTGGAGGTAGTGGCAGTGGTATGTATATGTGTGTATATGAAGGAGTCATGGGGTGATATTTTTCTGGAACCTGAGAAGAAAACTTGGTCTGCAACATTCAGATTTCAAGCACTGCGCTGGCGTGTTCATCTCCCCAGGGACAGGCCCAGGGTACCATGTCTCTTACCAGCAGCAGGCTGGTAAAGTGCTGGGCCCCTCCATCTCTGGAATAGGAAGGGGTGTAATAGCTGCTTTCATCAAGTATGTATATCTGCTTTTTCTTCAGCAGCCTTATAGTTTGGAGATAAATAGACACAGTTTAACCCTCTGGTTAGCTTTATTATTTGGGTAAACCTTTGTGACAAACAAGTTTTGGGGAGTTGACTGTTTCCTGTGCTGGTCAAGATCTTTGGGAAGCTGTGAAGTGCTTGAGGTCTGGGACCATACTTCATTTGCTTCTGTCTCAACAAATTCCTGGTGCTCAATGAACTTTCCTTGGCCTTCTTGGACCTCTTATTCTCTATAATATTGAGGGCTTGAAGTTGACTAGATGTTGGCATTGACTTGGTATATAGCCATTGGCTCATATTTCAATTTTGACCCTCAAAGGAAAGCACCTTTAAGGTAAGGAACCTTGTCATAAGAGATTGGTTATTTTTGATAAAGTCCTCCTTGAACAGTTGACTGACTTCTGGGAAAGTTTCCTAGGCAATAATGTGAATTAAAAATGTAGTAATTAAAAATACATTTTTATGAGGTTCCCAGGAAGTCCACTGGGATGGAAAGAAAGAAACATCCAAAATGCAATGCTTTAAACTGGAGAAATCGTTTCTGGAAATTTTAGCAGAAAAAGTTAGCCTATCACTTTTTCCTACTGAATCTCAAGCAAGTTTTTATTTCCTTTGAAGCAAGAATTATAAATGGAAACATAATAAAACATAGTAACAATGTTGAAATGTCTGAAATTTTTAAATTTTATGGTGTATCTTTAGGTTACTCACAGATTATAAAAATATCAAGCAGAAACTTATGATACTTTAAGCAAAGTAATTATCATATAATGATAGGCATATACTCTGACTCTATCTGGGAATACCCATTGACAGAATTTTGTGAGAACAGAGGAGATTTACAGATTTCCTCAAAAAAAAAAATAGCCTGAGACTTCTCGTTTGTACGTATGTGATTGGGAGCCGTGTTGGAGTTTAAAAAATCAATGATTATAGTTGCCTTCTTTTCCCATGTTTAAATTTTAATTTTCCTTTCATTAGTCTGCAAAATATAGTGAAGCTTGGCAAAGTAAAGAGGAGATGGAAAATACAAAAAAATTTTTATCTTTGACTGCTGTTTCTGAAGAAACTGTTGGTGAGTAGATGGAGATGTCATTCAACTTTGTTTTTATCTGAGTCATGGAATATTTGGATTAAAGTAAAATTCCCAATCCAGTTTTTCTGTCCTGTTCTTTGTGAGTTTGACTGTTCTTTAGGGAAATAATTGATCACATTAGGTAGGATTATATGAAACTACTCCGAGCTTAGGTATGTTTTGGTGTCTTTAAGTGTTTGTGTCTGCTTGATGGTAAGGGGGACAGGGCAGGGACAAACTGGGAAATAGACAAAAGTATGTCATTGCCTTTACTTCCTTGTCTCTTTTAGGTGTCTTTAGACCCCACTTTCTGCATACAATTCCCTAACTGCTTATGAGCCTGTGGAACTCCTTTTGTTAAAATCTATGACCGATTTGTCCTATTTCCTGGTCTCTCACAGTCCTATATTTTTGAGATGAGCCAATTCTGCATATTTATTTCTGCCTTTCTCCTTTGTTTGTATGTATATTTGTGAATCTTCCTTTTTGAAAACAGAAATATTATGGAGTCATGTAACCTTTAACCCATTTATATGATGGTGAAAATTTTAGGGATTAGAAACATTTTGTATTTTTGTATATTCTAGTTGAAACATCAAAAAATACTAGTCTGGCCTATATTAAATTCATAGATCATTTACTTTTTGCATCTTCTGTTTCGTTACGGAGGTAACACATGTATAATCTATATAAGAAAATATTGGTTAAACAAAAAAAATTACTATCAGCTAAATTCTCAACTTGTAGAGATAACCACTATTAATATTTTAGTTTACTCTTTATCTTTTGAGATGTGTTTAATGCAAATATCCATGTATATATTTTGAGAATAAAAATATGATCAAATTATATATGTATATGGTATTTTGTAACCTTTCCCCCACTAATTTGTATTTCACGAGCACCTTTACCTGTCAATAATAGATGTGTGTGGTAGTTTGTTTCCAAACGGCTGCCATTAGTTCCTTCCCTTTATTTGTGTTCATTCTCCTCCTCATTTAGAGATGGAGTCCATGTTTCCCTCCCATTTCAGTCTTGGCTATCCTGGAACAACTTTGATTGATATATTACAGCAAAAATGATACTATGCCATTTCCAGGCCTTGTCTTTAAGAAAACAGGCAGTTTCTGCTTCCCTTAGAATGCTCACTCAGAGGAAAGCCAGCCATTATGTAAGAGGTCAGGTTACCCAAGGCTGCCATGCTGTGAGAAACCCAAGCAAGCCATATGAAGGGGCTATGCAGAGAGAAGATGATGGTGGCCAGTTCCTGGCTACAGTGATTTTGGTAATGTCTCTCTCAAATTCATGTCCACTTGGAACATTGGAATGTGTCTTTATTTGGAAACAGGGTCTTTGCAGAGACTTAGTTAAGATGAAGTCTATTGGATTAGGGTGGGCCTTTAAAAAAGAGGAGAGGACACAAAGAGACATAGAGCCACAGGGAAGAAGGCTGTGTGAAGATAGAGGGATGTAGCTACAAGCCAAGGAATGCAAGGATTGCTGTAAGCCAAAAGAAGCTAGGAAGACCCAAGGAATCATTCGGAAGGAATGCTCTGCTGACACCTTGATTTCAGATATCTCTTGATTTCAGATATCTTGTAGAACTGTAGAGAATAAATTTCCGTTGTTTTCAGCCACCCAGCCTGTGATAAATTGTTATAGCAGCCCTAGGAAACCGATACACTGACTGTTCAACAGTTTCAATGCAGACACTGAATAAAAGAGCAAGCTTGGACATTTCAGCTCCACTAAACACAATGCAGAGAATAACCAAGACTAGACATACGGCCCCCTGACCTGCTCCAGGCATCTCCAGCCAAAGGGAGCTACCCAGCCATCTGAGGCCCCATTCATAGTGGAGCAGAGATAAATTGTTCCTGCTGTGTCCCTCAAATTCCTGGCCCACAGAAGCATGAGCATAATAAAGTGTTCACTGTTTTATGCCATTAACTTAAAAATTTTTATTGTAAATTGACAATTTATATTTATGGGGTACAAAATGATATTATGATTTATGAATACAATATAGAATAATTAAATCAAGCTAATTCGCCTATCCATCACCTCAAATACTTAACATCTTTTATGGTGAGACCATTTGAAATTTAGCCTCTTAGCAATTTTGAAATGTACAATACATCCTTATTGATGATATTCACCACACCGTGCAATAGATCTCAAAGAAAAACCCTTATTCTTCCTGTCTAACTGAGACTTTGTACCCTTTGGCCATTATTTTCTCATTTTCCCATCCTCCAGCTTCTGGTAACCACCATTCCACTCTGCTTCTATGAGTACAATTGTTTTGGATTCCACATATAAATGGGAACATGTAGTATTTGTCTTTTTGTGTCTGGTTTATTTTGCTTGGCATAATGTCCTCTAATTCTATTCATGTTGTTGCAAATGATAGAATTTCCTTCTTTTTAAAGACTGAAAAGTACTCCATGGTGTCTATACAACACATTTTCTTTATCCATTCATCTGTTGGTGGATACTTAGGTTATTCCATAACTTGGCTATTGTGAGTAGTGCTGCAGTGAGCATGGGAGAGCAGACATCTCGTTGACAAACGAATTCCAAAGCTTTTGGGTAAATGCCCAGAGGTGGGATTTCTGGATCATATGGTAATTCTATTTTTAGTTTTTTGAGGATCCTCCATACACTTTTCCATAATGGCTGTAGTAATTTACATTCCCACCAACAGATTGCAAGGGTTTCCTTTAATCCACATCCTCACCAACAATTTATCTTTTGTGTTTTTGGTGAGAGCCATTCTGACAGGAGTGAGATGATAGTTCATTGTGGTTAATTTGTATTTCCTGAATGATTAGTGAGGTTGAACATTTTCTGCATATTTGTTGTATGCCATTAAGTTTTATTTTTTACTTTTTATTTTGAAATAATTTTAAATTTATGGAAAACTTGCATAAGTAGTACAGAATTCCATATACCCTTCCCCCCTGCTTCTCCTAATCTTACATAACCATAGTGATCAAAACTCAGAAATCAACATTGGTATAATACCATTAATTAAAGTATAGACTTTCTTAAAAATTTACCAGTTTTCCCACTAATGTCCTTTTTATTTACTAGTATCCAATCCAAGATCCCATGTTACATTTCGTTGTCATGTCTCCTTAATCTCCTCCAATCTGTGATAGTTCCTCAGTCTTTCCTTGTCTGTCGTGATGTTGACCCTTTGGGAGAGTATTGGTCAGCTATTTTGTAAAATGTCCTTCAGTTTTGGTTTATGTGATGTTTTCTCATGATTAGATGAAAGTTATGAATTTTGGCAAGCATACTCTGGAAGTTATGTGCCCTTCTCAGTCAATCACACTTGGTATACCTAATGCTGTTATATATTATTATTGGTAATGTTTCACCTTGATCACTTTGTTAAGATGGTGTCTGCTGGTTTTCTGCACTGTAAAATTACTATTTTTTTCTTTTACAATTAATACATATCTTGGGGGAGATGCTTTAAGACTATGCAAATATCCTGTTTCTTCTCCAGCTTTCACCTACTAATTTCAGCATCAATCAGTAGATCTTGCCTGCAATAATTTTTACCATATGCCACTAGATTTGGGTGATTTTGTAATCCAACAATAGATAACTGGAACAATGTGCATCAGCATTATTTTTAATGATTATATATTAATTCATTAGATGGATGTGCCATCATTTGTTTAACTAATACCCTTCTATTGAACATTTAGATTATTCCCTTAGTTTTTCAATTTTTTAAATTACACATGTTGCAGTGACATCCTTAGTCAATTATTGCAATGATTACCTTCTGTGGTTGGCTGAAAAAAATCCACCCCAATCCCCCAAGAGATATCTATGTCAAATCCCTAGAGCCTGTGAATGTTACCTTATTTGGAAAAAGGGTCTTTGCAGATGTGATTAAGTCCTGGAATATTGAGATGGGCCCTAAATTCCATCATAGGTAGCCTTATCAGAAAGAGATGGAGGGAGAAGAGGTAGATAAGGAAGAGGAAAAGGTGCTGCAAAGACGGAGGCAGAGATTGGAGTGATGCAGCCTCAAGCCTGCTGGCAACCATCAGAAGCTGGAAGAGGGAGGAACAGAAATTCCTCTAGAACCTCTGGAGGGAACGTGGCCCTGCTGACATCTTGATTCTGGATTTCTGGCCTCCAGAACTGTGAGAGAATAACTTCTGTTGTTTGAAGCCACCAAGTTTGTGGTAATTTGTTAGGGCCGCTATAGAAAATGGGTATACTTTCAAATACATTCCTAGAAGAGAAATACTTAGTCCAGGGTTGGACTTTCACAAGATTTTTATTCACATTGACTTATTGAAATCAATTTAGACTCTTACCCACATTGTATCTGAATATTATTTTTCTATGCCAACGATGGATTTTGTAGTTATTTTTAAGCTTTGTTTATTTAAAGTGGAATCACAATAATTTGTATTTCTCTGATTATCAGGGAGGTTATAGATTTATTCTTTGGTTTAGCTAAGTTGTGAGTTACCTACTCATGTCTTAGTCTCTTTTATAAAGTGAGGTATTCTTTATTGATTTGAAAGACTTTTTTAATATTAAGGATATTAATTATTTGTCACAAACACCATAAGCATTTTTCTAACTTTTTTTTTAATTTTGTGACATTTCTTGCTCTAGTTAGTCATTTCTTTTATGTTATCATTCATTGGTACTCTGCTTTAAAAGGCCTTTTATGTCTCAAGATTGTATAAAAAATATATATTTTCCTTTCATCAGTTATAATTTAATGAAAAAATTTAAATATTAACCCACTTGAGATTTATTTTGGTATTAGATATGAGTTAGAGAGTTGATTTTGTTTTTTTCCCCCAATTTGCTAACCAGCTATTCCAAGACCCTTTATTGGATAATCTGTCATTTCCCCACTTATTTGAAATGCTAGCTTTATCGTGTAGGAACTGGGTTTATTTTCAGATTTTCTATTTTATTCCATTAAAATTTCTGTCTGTGCTGATGTTAATACCACTCTATTTTGATTATTGTGTCTTTGTAATATATTTTATTGGGGCAGTATTTTGGAATAACATGGTTTTCTCAAACCTATTTTTTTTCTGAGTTTAGCAATGACTACATTATTTTTTAAAAAAGAGATTGTAAAAGCACCTCTAAAGCTATAGCTTATGAACTGCTTTTTTATTTATTTAAATGTCTAAAGACCAGTATATGAACGTAGTCTGCTTGGAAAAGTACAACTTACTAATATATTTCATTCAATGTTTATCAGTAATTCTATACCTTCATAGAAATGAGACTATACCCCTTATTCCCCCCCCTCAAAAAAATCCATGGACAGTGTCAGGAATGAGATTCTGGATATTATAGTATCTCAATGTCTATAGTTTGGAAACCAGGAGTCAAATACTGATTTTTCTAGTGGGTAGGGCTTTTCTGAAAGACCAAACCTGCTTGTGGTTGACTCTGGAGCAAGCAATGTAAGACAGGCCACTCTGTAAGTGGATCTATGGTGGCCTTTTAACATTAAGCTTTTCGGTCACAGAGTTCACTACCCAGTGAACTTTTGGTCCTGGAAGGCAAGACATTTGTTTTCAGTTGCCCTTTTTTCAAAACCAAATCAAAACTGTCAAATATGTTTAATTTTTAAAGCTCCTGGCCCGTATATTTGACTTAAATCTATGCTCACATTGTATTTCTGGAGTTATGTGACTGCTGTAGGCCCTGTAGACACTTCCCATAATGTTAGATTAGTCCTGATGTTCTAACATGGAAATTAAGTGGACTTAATGATATGAAAGCTGGAGCTGCAAGGGGCTTGAAAGCTATGTTAAGAGAGAATCATTGTTTTAAACATGATGACATTATTAAAGCTTCAATTTTTAGATTCAGACTTCTTAGTTATTATGTATTGGCAGTGTGTGCAAAGCAGGTAAGATGCAAAAGTAGGGTCAACGTAAAAGGAAAAGGGAATACAAGATACTGTTAGGTGAACCAGATGTCTGTTGCACTTCACTCTTGCTACTGACTGTCTTAATTAGTTCACACTTGACCAGTTCACCAAAATGAAGAGGTAACATTATTGTATTACTGGCTTCTTCAGATTTAATTAGAATCTTTTTTTGATGATTGTTCTTTTACAGAAAAGCCAAATTCCTTAATGAAATTTCCTGCTTGCTGTTTACTTCATAGACATATGTTTTGGAGTCATTTATTGCCACACATATCTGTTTTTTTTAAATTCTTAAAAACAAAAAAGTAGTTAGCATTTACTTTAGGCTGCATTATTAACCTAATTATATTAATTTGTTTTTTGGACTACATAACTATTACCTTATTCTAAAAGAGGAAACTTTTGGAATAATCAGCTTAAACTTGGTATTATTAGCAGAATATTTTCACTGCAAGTATGAAAGAAATAATTAGAAACACAACAGTCCAGTTTGACCTCATGCCACGGATTTTTTGAAAGTCTCATATTCCTGGTATTTCAACATAAGCACTATCATAAGGTGGTACGAAGCTACTTTCATCTGTTCTACAATGAAATGAATTTCCCATTACTCATTAGATCTCAGCTACTGTTTTAATTAGAAATGTATAAAAATTTAAAAATTATTTTAATCAATCATATATAGCCATACATTTCTAAATAAGATATTTTTATAAGTATTATTAGGAAAACAGGAAAATTTTGCCTTTTTTTCCTGTATAATTTTTTGTTGCCAGCACAGTTTCAGGCACTTGTAAATTGTCCAGTAGGTGGCAGCATCTAGTTACAATAAGTACTTTAAAAAGCCTTAAAGCATTTAAAAAAATTTTAAAGCTCCTGGCATACATTTTTGGCTTAAACCTATAGAGTTCACATTGTATTTCTGGAGTCATGTGACTGCTCTACACCCTGCAGACACTTCTTGTAATGTTAGATTAGTCCTGATGTTCTAACATGGAAATTCAGTGGACTTAATGATGTGAAAGCTGGAGCTGCAAGGGACTTGAAAGCTATATTCAGAGAGAATCATTTTAAGCATGATCACGTTATTAAAGCCAGACCTATTTCAGCATACCTATCAATATACCCAAACCTACTTTCTTTCTTTTCATTTTTTGTCTTTAAACAAAGGGAGAAATTCTTAGGATGGATATTTTTCTTTTCTAGTCAGTTTTTCTTATCCTCTTATTTAAGAGTTAGCTTCAGGTTGGGTGGGTGGTTCATGCATGTAATCCCAGCGCTTTGGGAAGTGGAGTCAGGAGGATTGCCTGAAGCCAGGAGTTCGAGACCAACCTGGGCTACTTAGCAAGACCTTGTCTATACAAAATATTTAAAAATTAGCCAAGCATCAGGAGGCTGAGGTGGGAGGATTGCTTGAGTCCACGAGTTTGAGACTGCAGTCATGCCATTGCTCTGCAGCATTTGTGACTGTGTGAAACCCTATCTCCAAAACACAAACAAACAAACAAAAAATTAACCTTAAGGACTTTGGGCTGATGGCTGAATGGCAATTTCCAACCTGTTTTCAGCTTCCAAAACACAGAACCCATCCCAGTTGGCTTATAACATCACAAATAAGCAACAGCAAATAAATGAAGAAAATAACTGTGGTTGGATAGTGCATTTACTTTTATTTATAGGTGCTAAACACAAAAGATGCCTTGACTCCAAGAGAAAGTTGAAAACAACATTAAATTGATTTATATCACATTTGAACCTTATAATCCAGACATATTAACCTCAAGTTTACTGGGATTTTGAAGTAAACAATATTGTACTTGCTAGAGATCTCTGAAGTATTTTAAAAGTCTGTCCCATCCCATTACTGAGGGGTCACTTTTGGGTTTTTTTAGAGGCATGTTGCAAAAATCAAAACTCTTTTACATCGCCAGGAGTTTTCCCTTAGTTTCTATCATTTATCTAATGAATACAGGTAGAATTCAATATTCTTTGAGACAAATACATCTAGTGACAGGGTTGCTTTTTGATAGAGGTTATTCTTTTTGTCTTTGTCACGTTTCTCTCTTGTGTTTCTAGCTCCAAATATAGAAATGCATATAAACACAAAACATCAACATCATAACCAATTAGGCTTTTTCAAATTTGAGAATACTTTTTTCTAGGTGCCTTTTCTGTGAGACTCAGATATATGATACTTCTGCTCTTGGATGCTTGGGTTAAATACTCAAAGAAAATCTGGTAGTCTCTTTCTACTCTGATATGCAGAGGGTAGAGGGAGGAAATCACATAACTGTGCTGACTGACACAGGCAAGGATTTTGGTTTTTAATTTCTGTTGGAGTCTCAGCATTGTTTAGCAATCTCTTGCATTCTCCAAAATGGTGATTCCAAACTATTACTATGTGCTTCATCTCCCATCTTCTGCAAGACCTTCACTGTCTTGGTTGGTCTTCCTTTCCAGAGAAAATGAATCTACAGGGTAGGAATTCCTTTTACATTCATTTCTTCTGTTTCTAAGCTTCATCCTGACTGTGTTCATTCATCCTCTGCCTCTTGCCTCTAACTTTAGATGGAGGGAAGGTACTCTTATTCTCTGAGGCCAAAATCAGTAACATCCCATCCCTTTCACTGTGTTCCTGGCTGTTGGTTTGTTCGTCATTCCATTTTTTCATCTAGAGCTTCAATCTCTCTGGCTCTTTCCCTTTAACTTACCATGTTTAACTCTTCTAGTCCTAAAACAGAATCAAAAAGCCATTGAACCAATGAATAACCAACAGAACATACAAATAAGCCTTTTTCCTCATTTTTTTTTTTAATCTTACTCTAAAACAGACACCACTCAGTTTCCCTCTTCTCCTTAAAGGTCAGACTTCTTGAAAGAATAGTCCACATCTCTTGGTGCTACCTGGTCAACTTCCATTTACTTCTTAACTTTTCAGTGTCTGTATTTTCTACTGTCACGCTGTGGAAGCTGCTTCATAAGTGGTCCTCCTAAATTTGAAATCTAATGGCATACCTCCAGTTTTGATTGTACTTGACATCACTGTAGAATCTGACACAGTGACCTCTCATAGCATAGTGCAATTTTTACTGGATTTGTTATTCCCTGCTGGTTTTCTTCTTTTTCTTTCCTTCTTCCTCCTATTGTTGAAACTTATTCCTTCTTTTATATGTTTTCTCTGCTTTAGTTAATGGTTTCATCACCCACCTAGTCTCCTAAACTAGAAATTGAAGAGCCAGCCTCAGTTCCTCTGTTATTGTTCTTTTACACTTCTTCCTTGAGTTCCCCAAATGAGTATTTGTTCTGCCCTATCTGTATCTGACCTGTTTTTTTTTTATCCCCATTATTAAATGGTTTGGTCTCAGCATTTCTCTATCAGATTATTCAAACAGTTTTCAGTCTCGCCTCCATGGTGTCATTATTTTCCTGCAAGATCATTGTACTGGTTATCTAGTGCTGTGTAACAAATTACCCCTAAAACATGGCAACCTAAGCCAACAAACATTTATAATCTCACAGTTTCTGTGGGCCAGGAATCTGGGAGTATCTTAGCTGGGTGGTTCCGACTCAAGATCCCTCCTGTCAAATGGTTGCCGGGGCTACAGTCATTTGAAAGCTTTATTGGAGTTGGAGAATCGGCTTCCAAGCTCACTCACATGGTTGTTTGCAGACCTCAGTTTCTTGCTGCCTTTGGGTTGGAGACCTTAATTTCTTACTACGCAAACCCCTCCATAGGATGCGTGTATGTCCTCACAACATGGTAGCTGACTTCTAGAGCACTTAGTAAGTGCTCAACAAATTGAGTTATTATTAGTAATCCTGTGATTACTAGACGTTACTGCATCAACAGGAACATGGTTTGTGTCTCTTATATTATCATTTATATGTCAAAGAATTTCTTCAGGTTTCATACATCTGTTAGCTATGCATAGGTCTTATATATCTTTTTATTGTTATTACCCTGATTGGTGTTTAGCCCATCATATTTATAAAGGGTTATTAATGACATAGACGAAAGTTAGTGACTTTTTAGACATTTATAATTTGTTTTCTATTTGTACATTTAACTAAATTATCTTATTAATTTTAATTATTTTTACTTGTTTACCTTTTTTTTAGTTTATGAACACATAACCAGGAAATAATGTTAATTTTTGTGTCCTTTTTAACAATTATTCCTATGCTGAGAGCTGTAAGAACTTAGTGTTGAAATTTATTGAATGCATTTCAATATATATTTAAATTATCATAAATTTTTATTTCATGTCCAACATATTTAATGTTTTAAAATTAATGGATTTAAATACCAAATGAGTCTTTTATTCCTGGGCCAACCCTTCTTGGTTATGGAAGATTATTCTTTTAATTTAGTACCAGATTTAAATGAATGAATTTATTCAGATTTTTTGCATCTATATTTATAAGCAAGGTTAGTTGTGTTTGTGTGTGCACACACAGGTGTGTGAAATGTTTGTTATGGTATAGGGGGTGAAGTTGAGGGTGGAGAGTCGATGTATGTGTGTTTGCTTTGTCAGGCTGTGTGAACTTCATAAAATGAATGGGGATGGCTGCTCACTTATTTCTATGATTTGAAACAGTTTATATAACACAGGGATTATCTGTTCCCTTCAAATTTGAAAGATTTCACTGGAAAAACCATCTGGTTCAAATAATTTCTTGGAGGCACTTCTCTGACTCTTTTCTCAGCTGCCTTCATATTTGCTATTCTATTTCAGGTTACTAGCTATTCTGGAGTCAATTTTGGCAATGCATCCATGTCACTAAGATTTTAAAGTATCCACTTCATGAAGATTTAAAAATTTACTAACATGCAATCTCAGATAGTCTTTTAAATAATAATTCTTTTTCATATTGTTTGTACATCCTCTTTATCTCTAATTTTGTTAATGTTTTCTCAATCTTTTTAACCTGGAAGTTTTTTCTAAACTTTTTATTTGGGCACAGTTTTACATTCATAGAAAAATTATGAATATGGTACAGAGATTTCCCCTATACCCACCCCCAGTTTCCCTTATTATGAATATCTTGCATTTGTATGGTTCATTTGTTTCAACTAGTGAACCAATATTGATATATTCAGGTTTCCTTAACTTTTACTTAATGTCCGTTTTTTGTTCCAGAATCCCATCCAGGATGCCACATTCCATTTAACCCTCATGCCTCCTCAGTCTACTCTTGGCTATGACACTTTCTCAGACTTTTTTTATTTTTAATGACCTTGACAGTTTTGAGGAGTACTGGTCAGGTATTTTGTAGAATGTCCAAGAGTTGGAATTTATCTCATGCTTTTCTCATGATTAGACTGAGAGTATGTGTTTTTGGGAGGAAAACCATGGAGTTACAGGGTCATTTTCATTACATTACATCATATTATTAACATAACATTGCTATTAATGTTAACTCTGTTCACCTGGCTGAGGAAATATTTGTAAGATTTTTCCACTGTAAGTTACCATATTTCCCCATCCTTTGCCACACTCTACTCTTTGGAAAGAGATTGCTATTTGCAGCCCCTGCTTAAGGAGTGGTGCTGGGAAAACTTGCTAACCATAGGAAGAGAGATAAAACTGGATCTCTAACTTACCATGTACAGAAATCAACTCAAGATGGACTAAGGATTTAAATATATAAAAATTCTAGAAGAAAACCTAGGAAATACTCTTCTGGTTATTGGCCTAGGCAAAGATTTTATGACTAAATTCTCAAAAACAATAGCAACAAAAACAAAAATTGACAATGGGAACCTCATTAAACTAAATATACTAATCGTTATTTAGAAAATGATGATGACTTTCTTTTCTTCTCCAGAATTTTGTACAAGTCCTATATTTTAAAAATGAATATTGAGTCTCATAATATTGTGGTCATGGTTTTGATATTCTTAAAAATAAATTTTATTGTGTATATTTAAGGTATTACAACATGATATGAGATACATATATCTATAAATATATATGGTAAAATGGTTACTATAGTGAAACAAATTAACATATCAGTCACCTCACATAGTTACCCATTTCCTCTCCCCAAACCCCCATCATGGGAAGAGCAGCTATAATCTCATTTAGCAAAAATCCTGAATGTAATACACTATTATCAATTATAGTCCTTGAGTTGTACATTAGATCTTTAAACTTGTTAGTCCTACATATCTGCTATTTTTTATCCTTTGACCTACATTTTCCCATTTCCTCCCAGTGTTCTCTCCCCAGGTAATCATTGTTTTATTCCCTTTCTCTGTAAATTTGACTTTTTTTTTTGGATTCCACATATAAGTGAGATCATGATCATGCGGTATTTTTCTTTCTGTGTCTGGCTTATTTCACATAGTATTATGTCCTCCAAGTCTACCCATGTTGTGGCAAAAGGCAGGTTCTCCTTTTTTAAGGCTGAGTAATATTCCTGTGTGTGTGTGTGTGTGTGTGTGTGTGTGTGTGTGTTTATGTATTACAGTTGCTTTATCCATTCATCTGCCAATGGACACTTGGTTTGTTTCCATATCTTGGCTATTATGAATAATGGAGCAATAAACATGGGAGTGCAGATGTCTTTATGAGGTGGTGATTTCATTTTCTTTGCGTTTATACCCAGAAGAGGAATTGCTGAGTCATATGGTAATTCTTCCTATTTTTAATTTCTTTAGAAACCTTCATATTGGTTTCCATAATGGCTCCACCAATCTGTATTCCCTCAAACAGTATACAAGGGTTCCCTTTTCTCCACACCCTCACCAATAGTTGTTATCTCCTGTCTTTTTGATAATAGCTTTCCTAACAAGTTGTTATCTCACAGTAGGGTTGATTTACATTTCCCTGATGATTAGTGATGTTGAGCACCTTTTCATATTGTTGGTCATTTTTATGTTTTCTTTGAAAAAATATCTATTTACTTTGCCCATTTTTAATCAGGCTATGTTTTCTTGCTATTGAGTTGTATGAGTTCTTTATAAATTTTGAATATTAACACCTTATCAGATATATGATTTGCAAATGTTTTTCCCAATCTGTAGGTTTTTTTCTTTTATTGATTGTTTCCTTTGCTAGGCAGAACCTTCTTAGTTTGTTGTAGTCTCATTTATTTATTTTTGCTTTTGTATTCTGAACTTTTGGTGTGATACCCAAGAAATAATTGCCCAGGGTGATATTAAGGCACTTTCCCTCTATGATTTCTTCTAGGAGTTTTGTAGTTTCAGATTTTATGTTTTGGTCTTTTATTCACTTTGAGTTGATTTTTGTGTATGAGGTAAGATAAGAGTGTAATTTCATTCCTTTGGATGTGGAATTCCAGTTTTCCCAGCACCATTTATTGAAGAGACTACCTTTTCCCCATTGTGTCTTCTTGGGCCCTTGTTAAAACTTAGTTGACTGTATATGTTTGGATTTATTTTTGGGATTTGTATTTTGTTCTGCTGGTCTGTGTGTCTGTTTTTATGCCAGTATTATACTGTTTTGATTACATTAGTAATACTAATTTGATCACCTTTCTGTGTGATGCCTTCAACTTTAGTTTTTCTTTTTCAGAATTGCTTTGGCCATTTGGGGTCTTTTGTGGTTCCATATGAAGTTTAGGACTTCTATTGCTGTGAAAAATATTATTGGGATTTTGATAGTGGTTGCTTTGGGTAGTGTGGACATTATCACAATATTGAATCCTTTGATCCATGAGCACGGAGTATCTTTCCATTTATTTGTGTCCTCTTGAATCTCTTTCACCAATGTTTTATAGTTTTTAGTGTCCAGGTCTTTTACCTCCTTGGTTTAATTTATTCCTGAGTACTTTATTTGATTTTTTTGATGCTATCATAAATGAGATTGTTTTCTTGATTTTTTTAGGCTAGGTTGTTTGTGTATAGAAATGCCACAGATTTTCATATGTTGATTTTGTACTCTACAACTTTTCTGAATTTATTTATTACTTCTAATAGTTTTTTTCTGGTGGAATCTGTGAGGTTTTCTACATACAAAATCATGTCATCTGCAAGTAGAGATAATTTTACTTCTTCCTTTCTGATTTGGATGCCTATTATTTCTTTTCCTTGTCAGATTGCTCTTGCTGGTCCTTCCAGTACTGTGTTGAATAGAAGTGATGAGAGTGGGCATCCCTACCTTGTACTAGATCTCAGAGGAAAAGCTTTCCGTTTTTCCCCCTTGGTTATGATGTTAACTGTGAACTTTTTATAAATGGCCTTCAGGAAATTTTCTTCTATACCTAAACTCTTGAGAGTTTTTATCAAGAAAGGATGTTGAACTTTGTCAAATGCTTTTTCTGCATCAATTGAAATGATCATGTGGTTTTTGTCTTTCAATCTGTTAATGTTATTTATATATCACACTGATTGATTTACATAAGTTAAACCACCCTTACCTGCCAGGGATAAATCCCACTTGATCATGATGTGTAGTCTTTTTGATATATTGTTGAATTTGGTTTGGTGTAATATTTTATTAAGGATTTTTACATCAATGTTCATCAGAGATTCCTGGTGTGTAATTTTCTTTTTTGTGTTGGGTCTTTGTGTGGCTCAGGTATCAAGGTGATACTGGCTTCATAAAATATGTTAGAAAGTATCCCCTCTAGCCTGGTTTTTTTTTTTTTGGAAGAGTTTAAGAAGTATTGGTATTAATTCTTCTTGGAGAGTTTGGTGGAATTCAGCCATGAAACCATCTGGTCGTGGGGTTTTCTTTGCGGGGAAGTTTTTAATTACTACTTCAATCTCTGTGTTTATTGTAGATCTGTTCAGGCTTTCTGTTTCTTCCTGATTTAATAGTGGTAGTTTATATTTTTCTAGGAATTTATCCATTTCCTCTAGGTTATCAAATTTTTTGACACATAATTATTCATAATAGTCCCTTTTGATACTTTTTATTTCTTAGGTGTCTGTTGTAATTTCTTTGTTTTCATTTCTGATTCTAGATATTTGAGTCTTCTGTTTTTTTCTTAGTCTAACTTTTGTTGATTTTGATTTTTCAGAAAAACAACTCTTAGCTTTATTGATTTCTCCTTCCCTGTGGCTTTTCTATCCTCTATTTGATTTATTTCTGTTCTGATCTTTATTATTTTCTTCCTTCTGCTAACTAGGTTTAGTTTGTTATTTTTGCAGTTCCTTGAAGCATAATGTCAGGCTACTTATTTGAGATCTTTCTTCTTTTATAATGTAGGCATTTATTGCTGTAAACTTCCCTCTTAGAACTGTTTTTGATATTTTGAATTGGTTGAAATTTTCTTTATAGCTTATTAGAGAGGTTCTCAATTGTAGGAGACATTTGGATGTGTGCATTTTTGGTTGTCATAAGGATGTGCTGCAGGGGAGAATGAGGGAACTACTGGAATTTATGCCACTATGCCAGGGGCCAAGTTTGCTAAAGGTCAGGAATTGCATAAGGAAGCTCCACACGGAGAATTGTTTTGCCTGTAATATGATTAATACCCCCAGGGAAAATTCACCTAATATATGATTAACTTTTATAAGTACTCCGTGGACACTTGAAAAGAAGGACTGTTTCTCTCTGTGGAGAACAAACTTTGAAATGTGCAAAATGTCCTTATTACTTGTCTATTTGATTTGCATTCATCTTAGAGAGTTCTGTTAAGGTCTTTCAGTATAATTGTGCTTTTATTAGTTTCTGAAAACTGATTGGAATCCTTCAATATAGTAGAAAATGCGTATTATTTGTGAAACCAAAAAAGAAGAACTGGAAGAAAGAGTATATTAACATGAAATGACAAGAGGATGATTTAAAAAAGAAGCTGATTAAGATGAGAAAGGATTACAAGGAAAAATAGGAAAAATGCACTTATTGGAGTAATGAGCATAATTAAGACTGCAGGAGAATCAAGGCAGTGAAGGATGCTCCACAACATGAAGGGATAAATAGATGAGGAAATGATGAAGTAAATGATAAGTGTGGAGATAGGGAATAGGAATTCCAGTTAAAAATTATAGAAATTTCTGAGAAAGTAAACTAGTATAACTATTATAGAAACAATGATCACAGGAAATTTTTCTGATTTAAAAAATATTATATATGCACTATTAATGATAAAAGGCCAATACCCATATATACACAGGTAAGATTCTGAACCATGGGAAGGCCCTAAGAAATCTTACAAGCATCCAGGCCCAAATTAGAATAATCTTATTTTACCTATAAAAATGGAAGCTGAGTTCAGATATCTTTCTTGCAATAAAGGAAAAATATAGTAACTAGGGATTACATATTGCTTCTGTTATTGTTTTGTGAAGACAACAGAAAGACATTCTTAGATATGGTAGAGTGGATAATTCACTGCTCATATTGTTTTTGGAATAAATGTACTTGAAACCATACTCTAGGCAACCAGCAGATGAGTCACAATGTACAATCCAGGATTAGAGAAGTTGCTATATAAAGGAATGATCTGTGAGCATTATAACCAGCCAAACACAGAGGTGAACAGAAAGAAATGTATGTTTATAAATCCAAGAATTACTCTATGCTAGAAGATAAGAATAACCATAGGTAGGCCTAAAAGTCCAGATTATATTAACAGAGGCTGAAAAGTGGGAGAAAAGTGAGGGTAAGTAAAACAATTCTAAATTCCTTGTATTACTTTAGAGGAGAGGCAGAAAACCATTTTTTGTTCTTGACTTTCTTAATATAGAAAAAATATGTTTATATAACTTAGACTTCAAATTAAAGTGCAAACTTTCCAAATTGTTGTATAGTTAGGATTATGGTTTATAAAGGAGAAAGGAAAAGAAGACAAGAAAATGAGCATTAAAAGAAAGGAAGAAAGGGAGAGAGGGAGGAAAGAGGAAGGAAGAAAGGAAGAATGGAAGGAGGGAAGGAGGGAAGGAGGGAAGGAGGGAAGGAGGGAAGCCCAAACAGGAAAACCATTAGGGTCTAACAGGAAAATCACTAATGTGTCTAGTGATGTACATGTTAGGTGAGGCAATGAGTGTACTCTTTTGAACTAGCCTGTTAAAAGATACACTCTCACGTTGGTTTTCTTATCATCTCTCCTTATTTCACTCAGTTCCCCCTTCTTCCCCCTTTATTTTTATAATCCCATCCTCTTGTCTTTTTATATTCATCAGTTCTTTCCTGTGACTTACTCCTCTAGTTTCACAAATGTCATATATTTTGATATATTGAGGATGCCAACAAGTTTTTAGAAATTTTATGATTTTTTTATAGTTATTTTCAAAATGTCTGCTGTCCCATTGATTACCAGGATGCTGTTTCATTTGTTTTTCATTTTTTTTCCTTCTGTGTCTTCTTATCCTCCAATGAGGTAAAATCCATCCACACCTGCCATTTACCAACAGAGCAAAAAGGTACATCTGCCTTGAGTCTGCTCATTGTCCATCTGCATGCTTTTAAAATTGTGATCTTCATTGCTGATTTCTGCTTCCTTTCTGTCCAGTTGTTTTCTAAGAGTTGCAGCCTCTGAAGAGATGTAGAAAGAAGTATGACAGCGGTTGAGTAACAGCATTTGAACTGCCTCAAGAAACAGTGTTGTTGCTCAAGGAGATGGGGACTCTGGTTTCTGGTTGTTTTTTTCCTTTTATCTCTGAGTCAAGGGGGTGCTTTCCATCTAGATCTAAGTCTGCCCCTGCGCTGTTTCAGTAGGCAAAGCTTACATGACCACTGATTGCTTTTCTCTTTCCCTTTCTATCATTTGTGTTGGTGGCAATTTTTTCCAGATTCTGGAAATAGAGAACATTAGGTCGTTGAATGAAATTGTTTCATTCAACATCGTGTTTTTTTATTTTTAATTTTTTAAATTTTTATTTTTTAGAGATGTGATCTCATTTTGTTGCCCAGGCTGTAGTGCAGTGGCATGATCACTGCTCGCTGCCACCTCGAATTCCTGGGCTCAAGGGATCCTCCCACCTCAGCCTCCTGAGTAACTGAGATTACAGGTACATGCCACCATGCCCGGCTAATGTTTAAATTTCTGTAGAGATGGGGTCTTGCCATCTTGCCCAGTCTGGCCTTAAACTCCTGAGCTCAAGAGATTCCTCTTGGCCTCCCAAGTGCCAGGATTACAGGTGTGAGCCACGCCAGGCTCTGTCATTTTATTATAACATTGATGAAAAAAAAATGGATTCCCAGCTAGGGCCACTGTCTGTATGGAGTTTGTCTTCCCCCTGTCTGCATGTGTTTTCTCCAGACACTCCAGTTTCCTCTCCATCTCAAAGATATGCATGTTAGGTTATCTACGTGGTTCCACTGTGAGTGAGTGTGGGTGTGTCTGAGGGCACCCTGCCATGGCATCCTGTCCAGGGTGTGTTCCCACCTGGGACTCTGAGCTGCACAGATAGACTCTGGCCACTTGAGACTCTGAATTAGAATAAGCTGATAAATAATTACCTTGCTTATTTTTATTAATTTTTCTGAAATGTACTTATAGCCCACATTTATGTGAGTTTTAATATTACAAGTGTTTTGGTCTTTATTTAGAAGTTTAATAATGTTTTTGTTTCCGGAAATGTGCCACAGAAACTTAATTCTTATTTATATTAATTAGACTATGGTAAAATTGGTTTCCTTATATGTCATTTTGCTTAAAGTCGCAGTTTCCAAGAATCTATAGATGACATTAAGAGAGGATTTACTATACTCGTGTAGGGCATCTAAAAATTGTATGGCATAATTCAGTATTCAGAAATGAGGCTCTTTTTCCCTTTCTGTTTCTTCCTGCCTTTTCTCAGGATGGTGTCTGGGTTCGGGAGGACGCTTGTGTAGCATCATGGCCTGGGGATGGCGGGGTGGGGGGCGGGGTGGCGCGTGAATCTGGTCCTTGCTGTTCTCTCAGAGGCGTATCTTGTCCTGCTTGGTCTGTGGATATGGGAAGCCAGCTGGGGCATCTGCTGACTTGTAGCTGGTCCCATTTAGCCTTTGTCATCTGCCAGCAGATGCTGATGTTGTATGTGGTCCCTGCCACATCCTCTCTGGTGGAAGGCTCTATGCCACCCCCTCATCACGACCCCAGTCTTCTTCACAGGGGCATGTGAGAGCTTCTGTTCTCCTTCAAGCCACAGGCTGGCCAGCTGTGGGGAACTGTGTGTGTGTGTGTGTGTGTGTGTGTGTGTGTGACTGAGGGGGAGAGAGAGAGAGAGAGAGACAGACAGACAGACAGACAGACTACTTCAGCCTCTGTCTCCCTGTAAGCATGCCACACTGCCTTTGCTTGTCTGCAGCTGTCATGGGTGGTTGGAGAGCACCATGTTCCTTTGTGCGGGGTCTCCCCTCAGTTCCAGGTGTACAGTGAGGCAGAGCTCACTCTGCTGTGGGTTTCTCCAGCCTCTTCAGGTTCTCTATGCACCTCCAGGATTTCACCTCCAGGGGCTGTGCCGGGGAGCAGCTTAATACCTGTATCACTTGTGTCTACTCTAAACTCATCCCCTCTGCTGGTCTTCCAGGTCCTCTAGGTCCTTATTTGGGATGGGCTTTAATTTCTTCCATGGGTGGCAGGAAGCAATTTAAATCACATCCTGCAATCTTCCTCTTTCAGGACTCATATTAAAAACTTGCTCAATCATCAATGTTTTGGCTCATGATCTCTAAAGGGAGATTTTTTTTTCCTTCTCACATGAATGTTTGTAGTGAAGAGAGGAATTTTTAAAATTTTCTTATTAACTTTGAATTTTGATCAGATTTAAAGTCATAGGAAAAGTACAAAGGATTCTCAAATACTCTCTATCCAGAGTCTCCAAATGTTAACATTTTACCACATTCTCTTTTCTCTTTCCCTCTCCACACAAGGACACACATATACACACATACATGCACGATTATACATATAAATCAGGAAATGATTATTTTGCAATTATCTATAGGCTTTATTGAGATTTTGCCAATTGTCCCTCTAATATCCTTTATAGCAAAAGAAAAATCTCAGGCTATGCATTACATTATTGTCATACCTTTTAGTCTTGGTGTTTTATGACACAGGCATTTTTGAAGATAGTAGGCCTATTATTTTGTAGCATGTCCTCTAGTTTGGGTTGGTTTGTTTCTGCTCGGTTAGGTTCAGGTTATGAGTTTTTGGCAGGAATCCCACAGAAGTGATAGTGTCCTTCTCAATGAATCAGATCAGGAAGTGCATGACGGTGATTGTCCTGATGCTCACAATGTTAACTCTGGCCACTTTAAATGAAAATGGTGTCTACCAGGTTTCTTCATGGTAAAGTTACTATTTTTCCTTTGGTAATTAATAAATTATCTTGTGGGGAGATAGATACTTTGAGGCTATTATCCTATTATTCCTCAAACTGTCACCCACTAGTTTTATCGTTCATTGGTGATACTTACCTGAGTCAGTTATGATGGTTACTAAATGGTTAATTCCATAATTTCTTCTACGTTAATTGTTTTTGAAAAAGAAGGAAGAATTTTCTAAAGGGAGATGTGGAATTCAGAAAATGTTTTTTTTTTCCTCCAAGGGTTAAGCTCTTGCAATTGAATGCCCAACTTTTAAAACTGTTGTCTTTTAAACTCAAAGCCGATTGATGGCACCTTTGTTGTATGTAGTACACACCTCTCTCTGAGGCAATGAATACCACTGGGAAGATGGGCAAAGAGCCACAGGGTCACAAGAGTAATTTCAAATTCTTCTTACCCACCTGCATGACACTGGTCTCAGATAGTCGCTGATCACCTGTGAGGGTTTTCCATATTGTAAATTTTCATATTTTTGTGTCTTTACAGGTGTTTTAATATAAAATTGAGTAAACTGTTATCATAAAGGAATTATGGGATAGAAAAATATATTACCACTTCAGGACTATGATGTAAATGTAACTTAAACTGATAATAAAATGTTGCCAAATTGCTGACTTGCTGAGCCTACTTTTAATGAATATTGAAGACCCCCTAATAATAGTGGTTGCAACAAAAAACTGAAAGTTCAGAAACAGTTTTAAATCTTTTTGTTTTCTAAGTAGTTTACCCCTCTCTCCCCAGGCTTACACCACAAATTTGCTTGATTAACTCATCAAAGATTGTACAAAGACTAACAGTGTAATGTTAACCACAGTTCATAATTCATTATTATGAATTCCAAATTAGGGAATTGGAATTGATGAATTAGTGTTTGTAGCAGAAGTTTTGTGTTTTGAATTAGGTGAATGTGTGTTGAGGGTGAATGTATCTTCTGCCTGCTTCCTTTGTCTGTATCAGCTCATAGAGGGTGTCTGAACTTGGTTTGCTTTCTGGGAGAGGTGGTGGATCCTGTAATATCCTCAAGACTTCCCATATTTTCTGAGGCAAAACCATTTCTGTGCTGCAACCTGGCAGATTCCCTCACATTAGGGTACAGAGACACACTTTTAATAAAACGTTTATGTTAACGGCGTCTTGCAAATATACAGTGTCCGAATTAGCTAATAGGAGAACATAAAAATAAACTACACTGAAACAAAGTTAAGTTGAAAAACACAATGTCCTATCTATCTTCTTTATGGAGGTGCCAAGAAAATACATCAGAAAAGAAGAAAGTTAACTGCTAAGAGTCTCCCAAGTTCTCTCTCACATTCCTTTATCTTAATGACTGATCGCATATTTGAAGTCTCCACCTTGGGGACCTAAAATAAAAAGAGAAAACCATAATTATAGTTACTCAGTATGCATATTCTCTGTATTATGAACATCAAGATTTGGATGCATTATCTCTGGAGAGTTAATGTGTTATTTTAGCACACTCTTACACATCCTTTTTGTGCTTAAGTTCTAGGGAAATGCTGTTTAACTATCTTAGCTTCTGTAGTTTGTTTCATTTGGCTCCTGTATACAAAGGTGATTGTCATTTCTACTTGGAGGTGACATTAACATTGTCTTAAGAAATTTATGTGTGTGGAGGGGACTGAGGAACACTGGAGAGAATATTAAATGTTATCTTTTTAAAACAATTTTGTAGACAACTACTTAATTTATTTTGTGAGCATTGAACAAGTGATTTTTTAAATCAACAGGTCCTTCTCATGAGGAGGAAGACACCTTTTCCTCAGTGTTTCATACTCAAATCCCTCCAGAAGAATATGAAATGCAGATGCAGAAACTCAATAAAGGTATATTTAAATTTGTGTGATTATACACATTTTCACAAGGGAATACTGGCTGTATACAGAAATATTCATAAATGAAATAAGTTCATGTAATTTAATCCAAAGGTAAGTGGAAGCAAGTAGAGTTCAAGATGACACAAGATTGGTTATTGTTGCAGCTAGTTGTTGAGAGTTTGTTATACCATTCTACTTTGGATGTTTGAAATTTTGTATAATAATAAAGAGTTTTTAAAAAAAGCTGGCTGCAAGTAATGAAAACCTGGCTTAAGCAAAAACAAGTCTGTGAAAATGATTTTGGTGGGAGGCAGCTTTCTTTGGTTCCCAAGAGCATATGCTGTGGTTAGTCATTCAGAGGTTGGCTCAGTTCTGCAATCCTAGAGAAGAGCCTGAGTGATCCAGCTGGGTCAGGGGCCTACCCCTGGCTCAACCAACTTGTCCAACCCAGCAAGGTTTGGGGTCACTGTAGGAACATGGCAGCTATGTCAATACCAGACTGGAGAGGAGAAGAGGACATTTCCAGTGAAGACAGTTCTGGCCAGATAACCCAATGTGTTTTCCCTACTGTTTATTAGAAATATGTTTTAAAGGAGCTCTGTGATAAATGTAAACATGGCTGCATTCAGTTTGTATTTTTTAAATGTTGTATTGGTTAAGAGTATATGAAACTTCAACTGAATGAATAAACAAACCTCATATTTCAACTAAAAAGACTGTATACAACTTGAATTATGGAAAGAAGTGTTATATTTTGTATCTATTAGGCCACTCACCAAAAAAGTAACTCATACGTTAACTATGGGTAGTTGATTTAAAAGATAATTACGTGATTGTTAAAAAATAAAACCCCAGGTATAAAGCATAGGTTTATTTGCCTATATAAGCTATAAGCTTATATAACTTAATAACTTAAGTTATAAGCTTATATAACTTAAATTTGAGTAAAATTTTTTTTTACTCAAAGCTACTTCTGTTTGAAAAGAATTTTAATCAAGAGATCTTACTCTTTCTCTCGTTCTTTCCAGCTATTTTCATCAAAAAAATTTTAAATGGTTATATCTGTATTGACTCTTTGATAACTAGCTATAAACACACCAGTTGACTAGCTCCTTTAATCCTTTATGTTCAGGTAACCTCCCTTATAAAACAAAATTAAATTTTATATAAACTTTGTCTGGATTGAGCTTGTGACTGGTGTTTTTTTCCTTTGTGGACTTGATTGTGGAAATGCATCCTGTTTTGTAGGGTGAACTGCATGTGTTGTATAAGGAGACATTCCTTCTTCGTGCATATTTTCAGAGCTTTAATGAAGGGTTCACATGATCTTGTTTTAGAATATTTTAATGCGACACATAGAAAACAAGATATTTTATAAAGGGAATACGAGTCCACAAGTATTTTTCTTATTCTTATTTTGAGCACTCGGTGTCTGAATATCTCAGACATTGACTCAAGCCTCTTCCAAAAGGTTGAGGAAAATTGGCCAACTGAGATGGGCTCTAGGGGTTTGTGCAGATGGGAGCTAGGACATGGGACGCTAACTCCCAGACCTTGCTCAAAAGACAGGCAAAACAAAATGCACTGTTCAGAAAGGGTAATGGCAAATTAATAGAATAGCAGGGATGACCTAGCCTTTAGGGAAATTTTTGTTTTGTGTCAAGACTGAAATAAAAAATATATTTTAAAGTCTCCCTAACATCAGCGATTTCTTCTTCTCATGTCTGTCTTGAAGTTCTATTGATATTTCCCATCATTCTCATGGAATCAACAGGAAGAAGTTTGATACATGATAATGAATTACACAAGAAGTTTTATGAGAACTTCATTTGAAGTTACAGTAGCACATTTATCTTTTTAAGACTAGATCTCCATTATATATTAGGTTTCTGGATCTGGAATGTAGAAGTTAGTTCTTCTGTGTGTGTTTTAGTTCTTATATATTTTAATATATGCTTAAAGTGAACTTTTAGCATAATTGACACTTTTAATTATGAAAAAATTTTGAACTTTTTTAATATTAGATTTTACCTGTGATGTGGAAAGAAATGAGTCATTGATCAAATCAGGAAAGAAACCTTTCTCGAATACAGAAAAGATTGAGCTCAGGGGTAAACACAACCAGGATTTTATTAAGAGAAACATTGAGGTATGTACTTAGAAATTCAGAAGCCAGAATTTGGGGCTAAATGAGTTGAAAAAAATGGCAATAGTTTTGTTCAGTGTCTTTAAATATTTTTCAACCATCATAAATGTATAAATGATTGAATTAGTAGATATAATGAAAGAAAACTTTTATGAACCAGTACTTCATTATTTCTATGTTCAACCCACTACATCCTATCCTATCCTATCTCTTTTTAAAAATGGTAGGTGCATCTATCATTTATTTCACTATCCAGAAATAGTCTGTTTCCTGCAATTTGCAAAACATTTATTCAGATAATAGCTTTGGACAATGTTTCTCAGATTTTAAATTGCATATTAGTAAAATTGTTTTTTTTTAAGTAATGAGACTGATTTTGTAGCCAGTACATTTAGAACTTTGAATGGAAAATGCTCCTGGCAGAGCAGCAGGGCTGGGCTGGAGAAGCCAACTGGTTGTCCGCCTCTTCTCTGGACGTCCCAGCAGCTGGTCACTGGCCTTCATTAGCTTCTGCTTCAAGCACCTATCTTTGGTCTTACAGGCCTTGCAGCCTGTCTTTAAGGCAGATTCAAACTAAACAAGGGCGCAGGGGTTCCTGGGTTAGACCAGAATGTGAATTAATTAATTTACAACAAGAAATGTAGTGAGGAGGACAGAAGCTCTGCACACCCTTGAGCAGAGTCACTAGAAAACTGCATGGGCGAGTGTGGAGTATTGACAAGAGAGAGTTAAGTAATTTTTTACCCTTCAAGCCTGATGCTTTCCCCATAATTGGCACATCATTTCCAGGCAAACTGGATTCGTGGGGCAGCCTGCCACTGCCAGGACTGGCCTCTGGGACTCTCGATTTTTGTGCTCCACATTCATATGATCTTCTTCAGGAAACCTCCATCTTGTTCTGTCTCTGTCTTTGCAGTGGCCTGTTGTATGTTTATTTTCTGTTCAATTTTCCTAGAGGAGTAGAGTTCCCCCCTTATCCAGGTTCTTGCTAACACAGATAGCAGGTCTACCGTAGATTTCTCTTTCCCCTTTTTAATAGTAACTGAATATTTAAATTCCTCATATGATAGTCTTGAAATTTAAAAGCACTTTCATTTAGTGGATAAGTACCCCAAAGAAAGTGGCAAGAAGATTTCTTCCAAATGTCTCAGCAAGTATGTTTTTGCATTTATATTTTTTATCTATAGTAGAGAGGTTTGAAAACTGCTCATATTATTTTTTAATAAAATGTCTGTTGGAGTGGTTAACAGCAGGGCCTGCTTATAGGGATAATATCTTTGGATATTAGAGAATGGCCCTATATAAAAATTTTGGTATAAAATAAAATTACCTAGAAAATGTAAAATGCCTAATCTTGCAACTTTTCTTTGTGTATCTGTAGTGTAGAAGTCTCAGATTCCATTTTTTTTTTCCTGAACTGTGAATTTCCTTGAGTATATGATATTTTCCATTAATAAATTCTGTAGTTGGCCAAGGAATCAAGAAACCCAGTGGTTATGGTTGACAGAGAGAAGAAAAGGCTGGTTGAGCTTTTGAAGGACTTGGATGAGAAAGATTCCGGGCTCTCCAGTTCTGAGGTACGTAAACTCTGATAGGGAACACTACACTTCTTAATTTAGATTTTAAAAAATAATATTATTGGCCCAGTATCATAAATTTACAATAATTTTTCGGATTCTGAGACATTATTCTTTGATTTTAAAAAAACCCTGTTTTACTAACACAGGAACAGATAACAAAATACCGCGGGTGTTCTCACTTTTAAGTGGGAACTAAATGATGAGAACACATGGACTCATAGAGGGGAGCGACACACACTGGGGCCTGCTGGAGAGTAGAGGCTGGGAGGAGGGAGAGGATCAGGAAAAATAACTAATGAGTACTAGGCTTAATACCTGGGTGAAAAAATAATCTGTACAACAAAGCCCCATGACACAAATTTACCTGTATAACAAACCTGCACATGTACCTCTGAACTTAAAATACAAGTTAAAATTTTTTTTTAAAAATCCTGTTTTATACAATTATTTTTATTGAGGTTTTCAAATTTATTCTTGGTCAATTCATTATTGACTTTCAAAGGATTATTTAATGTCATTCTAAGCAGTGTTTACACATTGGTTATCACAGTAACTTCTTCCTGTGATGTGATGTGCTTATTACTGATGACATATGAATGTGTTTTTCTGTCTCCTTTTCTTATTGTCCCTAAACTGGTTTTGTGGTATTTCAGTGTAGTCTTCTTCAGTAATCCTAAAGAATTCCGTCCTGTTCCTGCCCAGTTAACTTTGAGCACACAGTTCCCTGGAGAGTCCTGGGGTTAACAGGAGGGCCTGCTTATGGTGATAAGTCCGGGTGGGTACAGACTAAAGTGAAAGAGGGGAACAGCATGTAATGGGGGTGAGGTGGGGCAAACGCAGGTATTTATAGGGCCCGGGAAGGTCACCTAAAGAGTGCTGTGGCCCAATGTTTGCACTTGTTTACATACTAAACTTGAGAAATATCCTTTGCTTCTGTGAAGAAATACACTGTCCTATGTTCCTTGAAGCACTTAGCTCTATTGTATATCTTTTATTCCCCTGCATTTAATAAGGACATGATGGAGTGAATGCTGCTGGCCCCCTGCCCATATCCCCTTTCCCTGAAACTGGTCTGTGCATCCACGCCCCAGCCCTGTGCTAAGGGTGCACAGCTGTCCCCTTCCCCTGAGAATTTCCCTGAGCCAAACAGCCCAGGATATCACTCCCTCCCCACCCTAGGCCCCTTACCTAAATGTGAGATTAGCTCTCTGGTGCAGTGTGTCCTCCATAGCTTCCCCAGGGATCAGACTGAAGCTGAGCTTCAGCTGAGACCACATCCTCGCTTGGCCCTGTGCCCTTGCCCTCGGCTGTTTTCCTCATGTCCCTGGTCCCAAAGGCACTCTCCCAGTGAATTACTTGAACAAGAATCCTTGTCTTAGTTTCCACATCTAGGGACACAGAGATTCAGAGCGTAGTTTTTTTTGCTATAAGTCTAAAAGCAGTGCATGTGCAGTGATCCCTGTGGCCCACGGGGGAGGAGGGTGTGCCCGTCCAGTGGGAGGTAACACTCAATGTCTGCTGCATGGAAATCCCAGGCCAGGCCTGCCTGGATCCTCCAGTTTTTCAAGGGAAGCTAGAAATTCAGATTTTTTTGTGAGAAACATTAAACTTGTAAAATGTTCACAACTGCTCCTATTTAAAAAAGTTCTGTGTGGGCAAACAAAATATCCCTCCCTTCCACCAAAAAGCAAAAACATATCTACAGAATATCACACATAATAATCCTCTAAATAATCCTTCCTGAGATGGTGAGGTCCCAGCGGGGGCTGTGTCTAGGAGCAGGTGAAGGTGTTGCTATGCCTGGGGCTGATGAAGTAGGGGAAAGGGGTGGGTGAGGGAAACTGCTAAATGCCCACATAATTCTGAGATATTTCAGCTTCGCTGGTTCATGGTATAGTCATGTGCCACATAATGATGTTTTGGTCAACATGCATACATGACAGTGGTCCCATAAGATAATAATGGAGCTGAAAAATTCCTGTCACCTAGTGACACCGTAGCTCTATATTTTAGAGTGTGCTCCTTGTACTTACATATAAAAAAGTGAATTGTAAGACAGCTTCAGGCAGGTCCATCAGGAAGAATTTCAGAAGCAGGCATTGTTATCATAGGAGATGACAGCTCCATGCGTGTTACTGCCCTTGAAGACCTTCCAGTGGGACAAGATATGGAGTGGAAGACAGTGATATTGATGATCCTGACCCTGTGTAGACCTAGGCTAATAGGTGCATTTGTGTCTTAGTTTTTCATAAAATCTTAAAAATAAAAAAAGAAAATTTTAAAATAGGAAAAAGCTTACAAAGAAAGAAAATATTTTTGTACAGTTCTATACTGTGTTTATGTTTTAAGCTAAGTGTTATTATAAGAGAGCGAAAAAGTTAAACAAATTTAAAAGTTTTAAAAGTAAAAAAGTTACAGTAAAAATTCCTTTATTATTAAATAAAGAAAAATATTTTAAAATAAATTTAGTGTAGCCTAAGTTTACAGTGTTTATAAAGTCTACAGTAGCAGCCAGTAATGTCCTTGGTGTTCACAGTCGCTCACCACTCACTCACTGACTCACCAGAGCAGCTTCCACTCCTGCAAGCTCCACTCATGGTTAAGTGCCCTTTACAGGTATGCCATTAAAAAGATTTTTATACCATATTTTATTGTACCTTTTCTATGTTGTAATATGTTTAGATTCACAAATACTTCCTATTGTGTTAACAATCACCTACAACACAGTAACTACAAAACATACTGTACAGGTTTATAGCCTAGGAGCAATAGGCTTTACAATGTGGCCTGGGTGTGTAGTACACTCTACCATCTAGGTTTGTGTAAGTACACCCAATGATTTTTGCACAATGACAGAATTGCCTAATGGTACATTTCTTAGAACACATATTCCTGTCGTTAAGCGACACATAACTGTAATTTGTCTACTTTATTAACAAAAGCTTAGATACCAGTAAGAATTAAGGGATCTGGGTTTCATTCTGGTTTTGTTATTAATTGTAAAATTGGGTAAACTGCTACCCATGGTCTCACTGCGTATCAAACTATGGCGATAGATTTTCTTGATACATTCTAGGAATGCTTTCATAATGACTTTTTGTTAATAATACTGCCTTTTGCATATTATTTTTGTTAGTATTTATGTCTCATCTTTCTAGTTTAAGGTCATCTCTATCATTTTAGTTTTTGATCTTTTACAAGTACTATGTAGCTGGGCTTTTGCTGTTGCTTTTGTGTCTTTATCTTTAATTGTTTCTTCATCCTTTATCTTTTGTTATTATCAATATGAGCATATTTAATTTGCTCATATTCATTACGACCGCATACTTTTTGAATCTTTTCCTGACATCAAACTTTATATTTTATTTATCATATTTGTTTTTGTTTATCTCCCTATCCTCTTGTGGTTTGGAAACTTAATATCCTATTTCTGATCTGGTACTGTTAACCTTCAAGTTTTAAAAATACATTAAAATGCGTATTTTCTTTTCAACTTCAATAATTAGTTTCTAAAATTTCATATTTTAACAAGATTGGATCTTTGGTGTACTTTCATTTCCCTTGTGTTTCATTTTCTTTCCTCCAGGATATATTGAAATCATCTGGAATTTTAGTTCTAGAATACTACACATTTTAGTTTTTACCTTTAAAAACAGTATGCTTCTTGTATGTTAGGAATCTCTCTAAACAAAATTTAGCCAAAATTTTTAGCCACATCATTAACTGTGTATTTGGACTCAACGAATTATTTATTTGTATAAATCATTCCTTGAATTATTTTTCTGGAACTTTTTTGAAAAATTTTGCCCCAAGAAATGGTGAAGTGTGGATAATTTTTGAGTGTTTGTGTATTCAAATATTTATTTTTTCCTCATTTGAATGTTAGCTTAGCAGATGACTAAATTCTACTTGCAAAATCCTTTTTTTCTTGAAGCATGTAGGATTTTCTCCTTATTTTGGAGTTCACAATTTTATCAGATTATATTTGTGTGTGTCTTTAAAAACATTTCAGTTCCTGCTTGGTACCTTGTAGGCTCTTTTCACCTGAAGGTTCAAATCTTCCTTCAGCTCAGAAAATTATCTTATATTATTTCTTCCTTTCCATCATCTCTTTTTTCTCCTTTTGGGAGGTATCAGTTGAGAATGTGATTGGCTGCCAGTAACAGTGGCTTAAACAGTAAAGAGTTTACTTTTTTCTAGTAACAAGAAATCCAGGAGTGAGCAGCTCATGTCTTTCTGTCCTCCTGTTCTACATTCCTATGCGGATTTTGTCTTTAGGTTTGCAAGATTGCTGCTACATCTGTAGGCAGTGTGTCCATTTTCCAAGCAGACAGAAAGAGGGAAGGGTAAAAAGCAAAGAGACTGTCCTCTGAGGCTTTGCTTTTTCACTGGGGATGGAATGGTGTCCCCAGGACTTCTACCTGCATCTCAGCGGCCAAGCTGTATCGCGTAGCCATTTGTTCAGTATGTTGCTGCAAGTGAGAAGGGGGATTCAGGTATATGACTTACTCTTTTTTTGTAGTAGAGGTAGAAATGGGGATCATGTCAGTCAGTAGACAGTGTCTGCCACAGGTGGCTATAGGACCTCTTGGATTTCTCTTCCAGGTCTTATAACATCTTTCTCATAATGTTAATCGTTTTTGTCATTTTGTACATACGAGCTCCTTCTACAGTTTTCTAAGTTGGGTTTCAACCATGTTGTTCTGCTGCTTAGCCATGTAGCTCTCTTTTGAGATTTTTAAAGGCAATTGTTTTTAGGCCCAGCGTGGTGGCTCACGCATGTAATCTCTGCACTTTGGGAGGCCAAGGCGGGAGGATCACTTGGGGCTAGGAGTTTGAGATAACCCTGGCCAATATGGCGAAACCCCATCTCTACTAAAAATACAACAATTAGCCAGGTTTGGTGGTGCATGCCTGTAATCCCAGCTACTTGGCAGGCTGAGGCAGGAGAATCGCTTGAACATGGGAGGTGGAAGTTGCAGTGAGCCAACTGCACTCCAGCCTGGGCAACAGAGAGAGACTCGTCTCAAAAAAAAATATTTACACTAATATTTACTGAGAGTTCTTTCTGCAAGTCCTCTTATCTGATGTGGGAGGTAAACATACAGAAATTCTAGAGTCCGATGGATGGTGACAAATGTTAGAATAGAAATTCAGAGGAAGAAGCAGTGCCGCAGGAAAAGTTTAGGAAAACTTTGAAGAAGGAACCTATTTACTATATTCTCAAATCATACCGAACTTCTTGCTGTTCCTCAAATTCTCTGTGTTCTTTTAAATCTCTGTGTTTTCAAATGTGCCCTTTCCTTTATGAAGTGCCCCACAACCTCATCTTTGACAAATAAATGCACAGCTTAAAGAAGACTAAATGATATGACTAAAATGATAATTATGTTTTAATTCCCCTGAACTCTTGTTCTCTAGTTGTTTTTTTTAGTAGCATGCATAATTTTTTTTTTTTTTTTTTTTTTGAGATGGAGTTTCACTCTTGTCACCCACACTGGAGTGCAATGGCACGATCTTGGCTCACTGCAAGCCCTGCCTCCCGGGCTCAAGTGATTCTCCTGCCTCAGCCTTCCAAGTAGGTGGGATTACAGATGCCTGCCACCACCCCTGGCTAATTTTGTATTTTTAGTAGAGATGGGATTTCACCATGTTGGCCAGGCTGGTCTCGAACTCCTGACCTCAGGTGATCTGCCCACCTCAGCCTCCCAGAGTGCTGGGATTACAGGCGTGAGGCACCATGCCCAACCGTCATGCATAATTTTATGGATGTAATCTTCTCTTGAATCTCTCTAGGACGGGGACTGGTACCAGTTGGGCCCATGGCCTGTTAGGAACTGGGCTGCACAGCCGGAGGGGATGAGCGGTGGGCTAGCGAGCATTACCACCTGAGCTGTGCCTCCTGTCACATTAGCTGCAGCATTAGATTCTCACAGAAGCACGAACCCTGTTGTGAACTGTGCATGGGAGGGATCTAGGTTGTCTGCTCTTTTTGAGAATCTAATGCCTGATGGTCTGAGGTGGAACAGTTTCATCCTGAAACCATCCTTTCTAACCCCATTCCCCCCAGTCCATGGAATAATTTTCTTCCAGGAAACCTGTCCCTGGGGCCAAAAATGTTGGGGACTTCTGCTCTAGGATACTTACTTAGAATTTAAGAAATATTTTCATCTATGTTGGGAACTCACACTTGCAGTGAATGGCACCCGCTAAGCTAGATGTCTCTACTACCACCCTCACCAGTGAAATGGGTTTGCATCCGATCTCAGGTCACTCACATCTAGTAGTATTGAGTCGGGGAGTCTGGTGGTGGACCCTTAGTTACCTACCTGAACCCTGGCTATAAAGGTTGCTGGTGAAAAGCATTTTCTGTTCTGTCTTGGGAAGGTAAGTTTCCTAAAAGCTAGAAGTTCCCCACACATAGCAAGGGTGTATAGAGGTGCTAGACAGATAGAAAAAAATGATGATGCCATTTACTACCTTTTACATATATCTTATTTCTGTAACGGCATAGTGCATAAAACATATACATTTCTGGTGAATTTCGTCTGACATACTCTTTTAACTTCAGTGTCATATGAAAATAATCCCATTCAGACAGAACTTAAAATTTATTAGCCACTATTTCATCATCGATTTCATAGTTTTACTTTTTTGTGATTCTTTATTTTTTATCATTTAGGCTATATGGTATTGACATCACTTTTATTTAGGAAAAATTACCAGAGTTTGTGAGTAATTAGGTAATATAGTATATTTTAAAAATTATGCATAACTTTCTTTTTTTTTAAGCTGTCCATGTTTATTTTCAAGGGAGAGCAATAGAATTTAAATCAGAACCTGGAATTCTGTCAGTTTATCAGAGTTGTGTGCCTTTAGCTAACTGAACCTCACTGAGGATCAATTTCTTTATACCAACTTACAAGTGTGTTTAAAAACATTTATGACTATATCATAATCCTTATATTGATATACTACAATCTACCCACTTTCCCCCTATTTTTAGACGTTTTATTATAAATAGTGTGACAATAAATTTTTTATCAGTCACCGTTCTGGGTTGCAAGTAACAAAGATGGACTTTGGCTAAAGCAACAGAAAATGAATTTATTGGGAGTCTTGAGTAGTCCATAGACTCAGTGGGAAGTTTGGGGAACCAGGTTTGTACACCGGGCAGATGTCCAGGCAGCCATAAACATGGCTTTAGGAACAGCCTGGTTAGGGGCTGGCTGCTGTGGCTCCGCAGCCACCAGACGTTTGCTTTCCACGAGATGCTCATTGCTGCCACCATCACTGTCCCTGTTAATCATTTCCCTGCACCTTTGCTTCTGTCCCTCAAGGTTTGGGGTGTTTGCTTTCAAATAGCTGAATCTAGGTCATTTGTTTGTCTTCCTGATATCAGAGGGTGGGGAGGAGTGTCTTGTCGTGATCCTCCCCTGCCAAGACTCACACACTGTTTGGTTTCACTGAAATGGACTGTGAATGCCAGGGTCAAGAGGATAAAAATATAAAAGTTTTTGTGCATAAAGTTTTTACCTATAATGCCTCTGATTATCACCTAGGGCTTAGTTCCTGGTATTAACATCGTGAAATCAAAATGTATGAAATAAGTTTCTTTGCCCTCTACTTGACACGTTATTCCAAATATTCTTCATGATTCTTCTGTCCTCTTTTTGCAGTAATGCTTCCCTTTATGACCTTATCCATTCTCATAGCCCCCAGGGTTTGAACCACTGTAGATATGTGGGTAAGTCAAGTGTGTTTATTTAATCCCAAGCCTCTATCTTGAATTTCACATAAACATATTTAACTGCCTAACATAATCTGTGGATATCCTAGGGGGATGTCTGCCAGTTTCAAAAGGTCCCAAACAATTCATTATCTTTCTCTCCAAACCTACTTCATCTATAGAATCCCTAGTTTAGATAATGTGACCACCATAACCTACTTCACAAAATCAGGAACTTGTTCTTTTTTTTTTTTCTGGTAAGGCCACAACAAAGTTTATTATTTTTTAAGTTGTTTATTTTAAATCAATAAATACTTTTATTTTAGGTTCAGGGGTACACATGCAGGTTTGTTCTGTAGATAAATTGGATGTCACAGGGCTTTGGTGTACAGATTATTTCATCATCCTGGTAATAAGAATAGTACCCAATAGGTAGTTTTTCCATCCTCTCCCTCCTACCACCCTCTGCCCTCAAGTAGGCCCCAGTATCTGTTGTTCCCTTCTTGTGTCCATGTGTACTCAATGTTTAGCTCCCACTTATAAGTGAGAACATGCAGTATTTGAGTTTTCATTCCTGTGTTATTTTGTTTAGGATTATGGCCTTCAGTTGCATCCATGTTGCTGCAAAGGATGTGATCTCATTCTTTTTTATGGCTGCATAGTATTCCATGGTGTGTATGTCCCAAATTTTCTTTATCCAGTCTATTGAAAGGCATTTAGGTTGATTTTTGTGACTAGTGCTGCGATGAACATACGCATGCATGTGTCTTTTTTTTTCTCTCCTTAAGACAGGGTCTTACTCTGTCACCCAGGTTGGAGTGCAGTGATGTCGTCATGGCTCACTGCAGCTTCGACCTCTCAGGCTCAAGTGATCCTCCCACCTCAGCCTCCTTCGTATCTGGGACTACAGGTGCATATCACCACATTTGGCTAATTTTTAAAATTTTTTTGTAAAGGTGAGGTTTTGTCATGTTGCTCAGGCTTATATTGAACTCCTGGGCTCAGGCCATACACCTGCCTTGGCCTCCTGAAGTGCTAGAATTATAGGCATGAGCCACTGCACCTGGCCTGCATGCATATGTCTTTATGGTAGAATGATTTATATTCCTTTGGGTATATACCCATTAATGAGATTGCTGGGTTGAATGGTGCTTGTGTTTTAAGTTCCTTGAGAAATTGCCACACTGCTTTCCACAATGGCTGAACTAATTTACATTCCTACCAGCAGTGTATAGGTGTTTTTCTCTGCAGCTTTGCCAGTATCTGTGATTTTTTGACTTTTTAGTAATGGCCTTTCTGACTGGTGTGAGATGGTATCTCATTGTGGTTTTGGTTTGCATTTTTCAAATGATTAGTGATGTCGAGCGTTTTTTTCATATGCTTGTTGGCTATGTGTATGTCTTCTTTAGAAAATTGTCTGTTTGTGTCTTTTGCCTACTTTGCTCTTTGCTTATTAATTTGTTTAAGTTCCTTATAGATTCTGGATATTAGACCTTTGTTGAATGCATGGTTTACAAATATTTTCTCCCATTCTGTAATTGTGTTTACCCTATTGATAGTTTCTCTTGCTGTGCAGAAGCTCTTTAATTAGGTCCCATTTGTCAATTTTTGTTTTTGTTGCGATTGCTTTTGGCATCTTCATTATGAAATCCTTGACAGGGACTATGTCCACAATGGTATTTCCTAGGTTATCTTCTAAGGGTTTTATAGATTTAGGTTTTACTTGATTTTTGTATATGGTGTAAGGAAGAATTCTGGTTTCAGTCTTCTGCACATGGCTAGCCAGTTATGCCAGCACCATTTATTGAACAGGAGTCCTTTTCCCCATTGTTTGTTTTTGTCAACTTTGTTGAAGATCAGATGGTTGTAGGTGTGTGGCTTTATTTCTGGGCTTTCTCTTCTGTTCCATTGGTCTATGTGTCTGTTTTTGTACTAGTACCATGATGTTTTGGTGACTGTAGCCTTGTAATATAGTTTGAAGTCAGGTAACATGATTTCTCCAGCTTTGTTCTTTTTGCTTAGGATTGCCTTGGCTATCCAGGCTCTTTTCTGGTTTCATATGAATTTTTTAAATAGTTTTTTCTAATTTTGTTAAAAATGTCATTGGTAGTTTGATAGGAATAGCATTGAATCTGTAAATTGCTTTGGGCAGTATGGCCATTTTAGCAATACTGATTCTTCCTATCCATGAGCATGGAATGTTTTTCCATTTGTTTGTGTCATCTCTGGTTTCTTTGAGCAGTGCTTTTTAATTCTCATTGTAGAGGTCTTTCACCTCCCTGGTTAGCTGTATTCCTAGGTATTTTGCTCTTTTTATGGCTATTGTGAATGGAATTGCGTTCTTGATTTGGCTCTCAGCTTGGGTGTTGCTGGTATATAGAAATGTTATTGATTTTTGTACATTGATTTTACATCCTGAAACTTTGCTGAAGTTGTTTGTCAAATATAGGAGGTTTTGATCAGAGACTATGGGGTTTTTAGGTATAGAATCATGTTGTCTGCAAACAGAGATAGTTGAACTTCTTCTCTTCCTATTTGAATGCCTTTTATTTTTTTTCTCTTTCTTGGTTACTCTGATTAGGACTTCCAGTACTGTGTTGAATAGGAGTGGTGAGAGTGGGCATCCTTGTCTTGAGGAACTTATTCTTTATCCTTGATCTTTATGTCTGCCTTTACTCTTCCATAAAATTATCTCCAGGTTCTGTAAATTCTACTTCCTGTGTATCTCTGGATTCTGTTCTGTGTTCCCAGAAAACATTCCTTAGTTCAGCCATTCAGCACTTGTGTTCTAGATTATAGCTATTGCTTCTTAACTGGTCTTTCTGCTTCCACTCTTGCTGTCAGTAGTTCCAGTTTTAAAATACAGACCTGATCATGGTGTTTCTTTGATTAAGGTCTTGTTTTCTCCAGCCCCTTCCTGCTCACAGAGGTTAGTTGATCCTCTCTGGTTCCCATGGTGCCCAGAGCTTACCAGCACTCTTCACACCTTGTTAAAATTGTTGCTGCCAAGAAATTGAGAACTCCTCGAGGGCAGAACCTTGTGATATTCATATTGAATCACCAGTGCCTAGCATAATACATATGTTCAGTAGGCATTATTTTTGAATGAATGTAATGAATGGGTTTGATGAGATAATATGGAACAAACATTAGTTGAATGAAAGATGATCAATTAAGTTTGTGAAACCCAAGCAACTGATTTTATAGATGCTATGTTACTTTTAAGGGACAGAGTTTGAAAATACCATGTCCCATTACAGGGTAAACCTGATTTCTTCCTACTTAACATGTCACAAAACATTTTTTGAATGTAGATAAATGAGAATGTCATGAGAACCAGACTGTGAAACTAAAAGATTTGTTCCACAGGGGAAACCCCCCTTAAAATATTAGAGGATACTTTATACAGGCTGGCAGATAACAAAACCAGAAACTATTTCATATTATTCTTTTACTAACCCAATGTTAATTCTGTTTGTGTGTGTTGTGTGTGTGTGTGTGTGTGTTTGTGTGTGTATGTGAAGACCTGGGCACTGTTATAGCCACTTGAAAGGTATATTTTGGCAAAAATATAGCCTGAGAATGACCTGGTGACCCTTGTTTCCTCTTAGGGTGATCAGTCTGGCTGGGTGGTCCCAGTAAAAGGATATGAACTTGCAGTCACCCAGCATCAGCAGCTTGCTGAAATTGATATAAAACTCCAAGAACTCTCTGCAGCCTCCCCTACAATTTCCAGTTTTTCTCCAAGACTTGAAAATCGGAATAATCAGGTATTTGAAGAACCCATAGACTGTTCAAGTTAATGTGTGCTAAAGCTGTTCACATAATTTTACAATCTGGTTGTTAACCAGTTGCTTTTTCCAGTGATCATAGTTTCATAACAGTGTGTATATTCCTTTGGTTACTTCCACTTTCTACTCACTTTTCTTTCATTTGGTAATTTTCTGGGATGCGGTCACTGAGGAAATATTTCTTTTAATATTATTATATCTCTATGATTTAAGCTAAATCTCGATCATGATCAAGAGAGAGGGGAGGGAAGAAAGCGGATATGGCACTCACGAGTCCTTTGAGAGCCTTATTTTTCTTTATTCCTGTGGCACTAGGTATTAGCAATGACAGCCATTGTCCCTTACTCCACCACATTCTTTTATCTCCTTTAATTTAACATCAAGCAGTGAAGCTCATTATGTTGACTTCTCTCCTATGAGAGTTTTGAAATGAATGTGTTTCTTCTCTCAGTAGTTCCCTCAAATACTCTTTTACAAAGCAGGTGCGGTGGCTCATGCCTATAATCCCAGCACTTTGGGAGGCCAAGGTGGGTGGATCACTTGAGGTCAGGAGTTCAAGACCAGCCTGGCCAACATGCAACATGATGAAACCCTGTCTCTACTAAAAATACAAAAATTAGCTGGGTGTGGTGGTGCATGCTTGTAATCCCAGCTACTCGAGAGGCTGAGACAGGAGAATCGTTTGAACCCAGGAGGTGGAGGTTGCAGTGAGCTGATATAGTGCCGCTGCACTCCAGCCTGGGCAACACAACGAGATTCTCTGTCAAAAAAAAAAAAAAAATCTGGTAGAAGGTATGGCATATCAGAAAATTAAATTTCTCCCTCAACCCTATATTTTAGTACTTCATGGAATCTGGTTTGGTTTGGGTGGTAGACTGAGGAGAAAATGTCTGATTGCATAAGAGAGTAATAACCCTGTAGCAGCTTTGTAAAACTTTTCACCAAATCATTTTCTCTACAATTGTAGATGACCATGATCTTTGTGGACCATCCAAAGATTTAAATATCAGTAGCCTATAGGTAATCCTTCTGATTCATAGTAAGCACTTTCTCTAAGCTGTCACTTGAAGGCTGGGGATCTAGCTTCATGCCAGTTGAAGCAACCTCAGGGGAAAGGAGCAGTGTGAAGGTGTTCCAAGGAAACAGTTTTGTGACTGGTTGTATTTCTGGCGGACAGGAACAGCTGCTTCTGACCCTTTAAACAGCAGTAGTGGTGCTGTTGTTCTCACTATTGATTTGAAATTCTGCAGTGGGATTAGAATTCTTGGAAAACAGAGATAATTGGAATCTTTGTCTTCACTCAAATGTGTCCCAGGACTTTGTATTTTATTTTATTTTGAGACGGAATCTCGCTCTGTCACCAGGCTGGAGTTCAGTGGCGCGATCTCGGCTCACTGCAAGCTCCGCCTCCTGGGTTCAAGTGATTCTCCTGCCTTAGCCTCCTGAGTAGCTGGGACTATAGGCATGTGCCACCATGCCCAGCTAATTTTTGTATTTTTAGTAGAGATGGGGTTTCACCATGTTGGTCAGGATGGGTTCTATCTCCTGACCTCGTGATCCGCCTGCCTTTGCCTCCCAAAGTGCTGGGATTACAGGCATGAGCCACTGCATCCGGCCGTATCCCAGGACTTTGACATGAGTTAGGCTAGTTTATTTATGTTACTGAATTCTATTTTTCAAAAAGGAGGAACCCTAGATGGGATAATAAAATGTTTCACAGATACTCTATTCTTTTCATGTTTCAGTTGATTTTTGTTGTTCTTGTTAGATTTCAAGGGTAGCTGAAATCTCAGAGCTGAACTGTGGTCTTAAATATAGAAAATGTTTCATGGCTGTCAAATGAAGTGAAGTCTGTGAAGTCCGAGGCACTGATATAGCCATCCAAAAGATGTATTTTTGGCAAAAATATAACATGGGAATGACCTGGTGACCTTTATTTCCTTCTCTTCTTAAAAGAGACAGAGAATTCAGAGATTTGTTTGGCTATTAGGACTTCAAATAAAAAGTATGAATATGGGCCAGGCGCAGTGGCTTATGCCTGTAATCCCAGCACTTTGGGAGGCTGAGGCGTGTAGATCACGAGGTCAGGAGATCGAGACCATCTTGGCTAACACGGTGCAACCCTGTCTCTACTAAAAAATACAAAAAATTAGCTGGGCGTGGTGGCGGGTGCCTGTAGTCCCAGCTACTTGGGAGGCTGAGGCAGGAGAATGGCGTGAACTCGGGAGGCAGAGCTTGCAGTGAGCCAAGATCGTGCCATGCACTGCAGCCTGGGCGACAGAGTGAGACTCCGTCTCAAAAAAAAAAAAAAAAGTATGAATATGGTCCCATTTTCTTATCATCAGCAAAATCACATTTTCAGAGTTCACATTTATGGTTCAGATAAGATATTTTAAAAATAATGAAAGGGAAAACCAGTACCTTACATTTTTGTTACATACTGAGATTACGTGTTTTTATGTGAAATAACATATATTTGGAAAGAAAAGGGAAAACAACATTTTGGGACTCACATTGGATGTAAAAACAAAAATGTAATGTAGTTGTTAAAAAGAAATAATTTATGCTTCTTGCATGCAAAAATAAAGAATATCTTTTGAGCTTTTGTTCAATTTCCCTTTGGCATTTCTTCATTTCTAACTAAAACCAGCATTACACATTGAATTTTCAAAGCAGGAATGCTAACATGGCAAAGTATTTTAGGGATATTATTTTTGGATTGGACTACTTTTTGTATAAATACACTGTATCTTGAATAAACCCTGTGTATCTATGTAGTTGATGAATGAGTTCCAATCAGTTGCTAATCCACAAACATTCATAGTTCATATTCACTTTAACTCTTCTGCAAACCATTAACTCACCAGTAATTTTTCTCCATACTCCTTAAGAAAGAATTTCTTTTGAGTGGAATATAAATTTCTGTTTTTGAACAATTGATTCAACACATATTGAGTGCTCCTGGATGTAAGGAATTTTACAGAACTTAAAGATGAATCAGGCAAATAAAATACTTTGGAATAAAAAAGTCTCACTTCAGGCTGGGCATGGTGGCTCACGCCTGTAATCCCAGCACTTTGGGAGGCCAAGGCAGACAGATCACAAGGTCAGGAGATCCAGACCATCCTGGCTAACATGGTGAAATCCCATCTCTACTAAAAATACCAAAAAATTAGCCAGGTGTGGTGGCAGGCGCCTGTAGTCCCAGCTACTCGGGAGGCTGAGGCAGGAGAATGGCGTGAACCCGGGAGGCAGAGCTTGCAGTGAGCCAAGATCGCGCCACTGTACTCCAGCCTGGAGGACAGAGCGGGACTCTGTTTCAAAAAAAACAGTCTCACTTCAAATTTGACTTTTGCATTTACTAGTTCTGTGGACTTGGGCACTAATTAGAAGCTCTCCAAACCTCGTTTTCCTTATTTATAAAATAATAGTAATATTCTTTAAGGTTCTTTAGGTAATGGGTAGCTGAGTTAATATACATAAAGTGTTTAGCACAGTGACACAGATCTCAGCCAATTATGTTATTATAAGTGATATAAAGAACTTATTTCCTTATGGGAGGTATTGAGTATACGTAGAAAACTGTGGACAAGACAGCACAGGCAGGTGCCATAGAAAGCTTTTTTTTTTTTCTTCAAGAGACAAGGTCTCGCTTGTCACCCAGGCTGGAAGTACAGTGGTGCAATCATGGCTTGCTGCAGCCTTTACCTCCTGGGCCCAAGTGATCCTCCAACCTCACCGTCCCCAGAAGCTGGGACTACAGGTGCATGCCATCACACCAGCTAATTTTTTAATTTTTTTTAGAGGTGTGGTCTCACTGTGTTGCCTAGGCTGGTCTTGAACTCCTGGCCTCAAGAGATCCACCTGCCTCAACCTCCCAAAGTGCCCAGATTCATAGAAGGCTCTAAGTAAAGTGCTGTGGTGGTTTAGAGCAGAGAGAGAGAGAGCATATCCAAGGAGTATCCAGAAAGTCTATTTCCATAAGTGAGGGGCAGGAGAAGGAAGAGGAACTAGGGAAGGAGGCAGAGGGATCAGAGACACAGAAGAAAACCACCATTATGTATCACGAGGCTGAAAACTGGTGGCCTACAGCAGTGGTCCCCAAGTATTTTGGCGTCAGGGACTGGGTTTGTGGAAGACAATTCTTCCACGGGCCCAGAGAGGGGGATGGTTTTGGGATGATTCAAACATGTTACATTTATTGTGTACTTTATTTCTATTATTATTATATTGTAACAAAATAATTATACAACTCACCATAATGTAGACTCAGTGGGAGCTCTGAGCTTGTTTTCCTGCAACTAGATGGTTCCATCCGGGGGTAATGGGAGACAGTGACAGATCACCAGGTATTAGATTCTCATAAGGAATATGCAACCTAGATCCCTTGCATGTGCAGTTCATGATAGGGTTCACACTACTGTGAGAATGTAATGCCGCTGCTGATCTAACAGGAGGAGGGAGAGCTCAGGCGGTAACATGAGTGATGGGGAGCAGCTGCAAATACAGTTGAACTTGGGCCTGCCGCTCACCTCCTGCTCTGGGGCCCGGTTCCTAACAAGCCATCTACCAGAACCGTCCATGGCCTGGGGGGTCAGGAGCCCCTGACCTACAGGACAAATTAAGCTCCCAGATGGGTCTGCTTTTGCTTACAAAGGGTTTAATGATTTTTTTTAGCCAACATTTAAAAATTAGGTAAATTCCTATAAAAATCCAAATTTCTAGTTCTCTCTTGAAAAATTCAAATTAGAAAATATGTCAGCATTAGACCTAACTTCTTGCTTGACAATTACCGAATTGAGATGAATAGCAACTGCTCTTTCTATGGGGCACAGATTCTCCGGTTTGCTGCAGTATCCACCACTCTATATTGTATGGCAGGCCCTAAGGCCCACTTCATGCATTTATGTTACTTGTTCAGCCTTTGCAGAGATCGTCAATACATTTTTGAATGCCTGCTTATTTCATAGGAGACACTGTAGTGGTTGATGTAGTGTCCAGACTAGTATGAAGCTTGATCTCTGACCTCAAGGTAGCTTGTAGGATACCAGAGGATATGATGTAAACAATAGAACAAGTTGTGGAGTAACTGTGCAATGAAACAAGAACCACCACCAGATGGGCACTGATCAGATGAAAAGTACGGAAAGTGTATGCTGCGGGAGCACAGAGAAAGGAAAGGTTATTTGATGAAGGCATGATATTTTAAAAATTCCTTTGAAGATTTATCTTTGTTGGTCAAGAAAACAGTTTTCTGAACAAGTTGAAACATAGACTTTCTGACTTATCTCTGTATGGTAACTATAAGGTAGTAAGTTGGTATGCATATAGATTTAAGATGATAAATGTGGTTGAGTCAATGTGGTTAAGTCAGAATAGTTTGAGGAACTCTAGGAATGTGGCTCAGAGATGAAGGAGGTGTTGGTCTTTGTGAAAAGGGCAGATAAGAAGTCTTCTTTTCCTTATGGGCTCACTGATTGTGATGTTCTCATATAGATGCTCTGGCCCAGCACTTAACTTTATGGCAATGTTTTAAAAGCAGCATTTGGCTTTTACGTATCTGATTTCCTTAGCATAAAACAAAGCTTGTGGTCACAGTCAAAAGAAAGAATGGCATATTACTGCTCTTTCTGTAGTGTGAATAATATGTGGTTGCAGTTTTTACATCTGCTTTTTATTTTCATTTTGTCTTAGCAAGAGAACTAATTGAAGCAATTTTTTCTTAAGATCTGTGGTTTAACTGTGCATACTTTTCTTTATCCATCTCCTAACCCTCAACAAATCAGTTCGTTCTTTCCACGTATTGTAAATCCCACCATAAAACTGAGTGATGTTCTATAATTTAGTTACCATACTTCTTATTCGTAGAAGTATCAGATTCCAGTTCTCTCCAGAAATATCTAAGATATAGGAGTTATGTAAGCATTCAGTTTCTTAAATCCTTAGCAACCGGATTCAATAGTAAATTCTATTCCATTTGGCTGTTATATACAAGTATATTTTATTCATCTCTCATGAAGTCAGCTTTACTAAATCTAGAATTCCAGTTCACCGTTAGATTTTTTTTCTGGTTGGGGAGGGCCTCAGAAATGGCTCTCCTTGACAGGAGGCATTGCTGTGTTCTTAAACTAACTAGTTTAATTGAATATAAAGGTCCTCCTTAATTTGATTTATTTTCTTATTCTTGAAATATTGATTCAATTGTACACAATTTGATAAGCTTGAGAAAAAATTAGCAAACATTTGATTGAGGAAAATTGTAGTTTGTATTGATCTCCTTTCTTGCCAAGATCATGCTATTATTGCTGACAGCAACAATTAATTTTTTTTTGATGTCTTCCTGTCTCAATATTAGCTAAAATTGAGGAAATACAGACCATTGTTTGACATGTAATTCTGAAAGATGTTTTATTATTGGGTCCAGGGATTTGTATAGTTCCAGTAAGGGCCATGGACTCTACTTGACCCCAAATGTACTTAGGTGTGTGTTGGTTGAGGGCAGGAATTTAGGATTTTTTAAATGTATGCTAGTCACAGGCACAGAAATCTTATTGACCATCTGCTCATTTCCAAAACCCATAGAAGCCACAGGAGCATGCATTTCTGGGTTTGAGGAACAAACAAGAAGTTACTTCAGAGCTCTTTACCTCCAGTGCCAATCTGTTAGATCTCCAGTTAAATCTGGGAAACTGCCCTTGCCACCTCCATTTTACAGATTACTGTGAAGTTTATATTTCTTTGCTTTCCTCTGTTAAGCTTCTGATGTAGTCAAGGTTTCCTTCATTTTATGGCATTATTCCAAGGTGATAAAAACAATCTGCCTGAAGTATCTTTTTCCCTGCTTTTGGTACTGCCAGACACACGATCCATCTAATGACAAGAAATAGCAGGAACCTACAGAAATGTATAGCATTGTCTCGAAAACATAGGACAAGCTGTCTTTATTTAGGCAGGTTTGTATTTTCCCAATCCTAACGCATGCCTTATTTGCATATCAGATAACTTACGAAGCTGCGGGTAATTTGCTGTTTTTGATTTTTGAAAATGAGTTTATTTTGCTTCAAAGATCCCTTTTGGCCTAGTCAACACCACAGATAATTTTTCTAAGGATAAACTCAGAATCTCTTGGCAACCAATTAGTCAAATCAACAAGTATCTATTGATCTTGGCCTCAGGGACAGTTCTCTTCTTGTGGCATATGGAGGAGAGCTTTTATTGAATTCTCCATGAAGGCATTCCTGTATGACCCAGAAACACAGAAATGATATGTTGGTCAGATAATCTGATTAAATATTTCTACTATGAGAAATCAAGATATTTCCTGATGATCACGAGGACAGATAGTACTGGTTGGCACTTTGTTGTGAAAAAAGAATCTTTCCTGGCACCACAGAGCTTTTTGCAGCTGGGCAATTTTCATCAGCATCAGTGGCAACCTTTTCTTGCCCCCTCTTGGCCTCTGCTTTCATCATACAGTATTTTTCGAATATTTGAACTATATGGTTATGCCATCGGAGGCCATGACTGAAGAAAGCTGTTATATATCCTTTGGGTCTAACTGTAGAGAATTATAGACTCATAAGCTATTAGAAGGGGAAATAACTTTCTCAGAAGTAACTGAGACCCAGAAAGAGGAGGTGACTTCCTCAAAAGTGCACAGCTGATTGGATTGGAAGCTAGAATCCAACCTTCGGGTGTATACCTCTTAGGTATGGAGAGTCACATTGTCAGAGCAGGACAAAAATGGCTTTGGCAGAAAAGTTTATTAAAAATAAAAAATCAGTGGCTCACATCTGTAATCCCAGCACTTTGAGAGGCTGAGGCGGGAGGATCCCTTGAGCCCAGGAGTTCAAAATCAGCCCGGGCAACATAGTGAAACCCATTTCTTCTTCATACAAAAAAAATCAGCCAGGCGAGGTGGTGTGCACCTGTAGTCCCAGCCACTTGAACTTGAGAGGCTGAGGTGGGAGGATCGCTTGAGCCTGGGAGGTCGAGTCTGCAGTGAGATGTGGTTGTGCCACTGCACTCCAGCCTGGGTGGCAGAATAAGACCGTGTCTCAAAAAAAAAAAAAAAGGTTTGTCTGCTTATGAAATTGATAACATGTTTATTGTAGGAAATTCAGGAACTACAAAAAAATAAGAAAAATAAGATTAAATCATCAGGATTTTTGCCAAGTTAATTATTGTTAAATTTCCTTCCAGTCTATTTCTCTATACGCACACAGACTATATATATATACACACATATATATGTACACACACATATATATGTATATAATTATATTTGTGTGTGTGTATATATATGTGTGTGTGTGTATATCTATATCTGTATCTATATCTATCTATCTATCTATGTATATATCTATGTTAGAGTTTTTGACAAGAAACAGAAGGAATACCTAGCTTGGATTTCGAAGATAATTATATGAAGGGACTATTTATATAGATTTAAAGGAGCTAACAGTGGATGTTGGGACACCGAGAGACTAGCCACCGTGGATGGGGGAAGAAAAAGTGTGTGGGAGCTCAGCAAGAGCTGGAATTGTGGGAGAAGAACTGGCCATCTGAAGTTGTAATAATAGAGGACATGGGCAAAGGGTTAGCCAACCCCAGCCCCCTCAGCGTGAGCGCTTGAGCGGTAATTAGTTTCCTAACTCTGTTTCCTTGGCAATCTGAGAAAAGTTGGCATGCTGAATATGTTAGGAGGCGACTTTGCTTATGCTTAAAATGATCCCTGGATTGGGAGAATTATAAAGACCTGATGGAGAAGCTGTATTTTGGCCATCTCTGACTGCAGTGATTCTTGTGGCTGGGCACGTTTCTTGCTGGGTCCTTGGACTCGGTGTGCCTATGGGGCCATTTCAAGAGATAATGGCTCCTGTAGGATATGAGGATTTTAAGACAGTCAGCTTATAGCTGTTTTGCTCTTTATACCTATATTGTTTTGGCATGGACTGTAGCAAACACTCCCATTGAAAAGGGATACCTGATACTGGCCTGCTGTGTTTCCTGTCTTATAACCTTCTGAGTAGAGTGGCTCTAAGTGTGTCCTCTGTTAGTCTTTGAGCATGAATATGCAGTTGAATCTAAGAAAACTCAGCACATCTCAGGGATACATCACTGCCCAAACTGTGATGCAAAAGCATTAGGGGAAGGGGAAAAAATACCCTAAGCTCTCTCTCCTTCTGTCCTGTACTCTCCCCTCACTTTGACTAAACCTAACCAGAAGATGGAGCTCAAGGAGAAACACTCTGATTGTCCCAGCTGTGGCAGGTGCTCACCATAGTTTATCATACTCTATTGATGGACATCTGGGCTGTTTTCAGTTTTTAGCTGCCATGAACATTTGTGTACAAGGCTTTAGTTATATATTTTAATTTCTTTTTGATAAATTCATAGGAGTTGAATTTTTGGATCACATGATCGACAAACATTTAACTTTTTAAGAAATGGCCTGTTTTGGCGTGGTGGCTCACACCTGTAATCCCAGCACTTTGGAGGCCAAGGTGGGTGGATCACAAGGTCAAGAGATTGAGACCATCCTGGCCAACATGGTGAAACCCTGTCTCTACTAAAAATACAAAAATTAGCCAGGCATGGTGGTGCATGCCTGTAATCTCAGCTACTCAGGAGGCTGAGGCAGGAGAATCGCTTGAACCCGGGAGGCAGAGGTTGCCGGGAGCCAGGATTGCGCCACTGCACTCCAGCCTGGCAACAGAGCGAGACTCCGTCTCAAAAAAAAAAAAAAAAAAAAAGACATGGCCTGTTTTTCAAAGTGGTTGTACCTTTGTATAGTCCTGCAAACAATGTAAGAGAGTCCCTGTTGTTTCACACATTTCCAACATTTGGTGTTCACAGTTTTTTTCATCTGGGCCATGCTAGTGGCTGTGTAGTAGTGTCTCATTGTGGTTTAATTGCATTTCCCCAGTGACTAATGATGTTGAGGAGGTTTTCATGTTCTTATTTGTCATGCACATAGCTTTTATGAAGTATCTGTGCAAGTCTTTATAGAATTTGATTGTCATTTGATTAATTATTATTGTCTATTTGATTATTTTTATTATCGAGTTGTAGGAGTTCCTTACATATTCTGGATACAAGTCCTCTGTCAGATTTGTGTGTTATGATCATTTTCTCTCAGTTGGTGGTTTGTTCATTTTCACAGTGGTGGTTTTGATTAAGCAACATTTAAAAATGTTGTTAAGTGCAACTTATAATTTTTTTCTTTCTGTGCCTTCTCTTTGCTTGCCCCAAGATTTAGAAAAAATCATAGTTGTAGATTATTAAAATAATTTCAATTTAAAAATGAAATCCGGGGTGTTTTGCAGATTACCATGTGTCCTACTTCATAGCTGGTGTATCTTCATGAAAGTTTATAAAATGCTGACTGCTTAGCATTGCAAAGAGACCTTGATACCATTTTTTCCAAACTTCCCCCTAACATTAGATTTCCTTTAAAAAATATTTCTGATAATAATTCAGCCTCTAGATGTGTATTAGTCTGTTCTTTCACTGCTATAAAGAAATACCTGAGAATGGGTAATTTATAAAGAAAAGAGGTTTAATTGGCTCGCGGTTCTGCAGGCTGTACAGGAGGCACAGCAGCTTCTGCTTTTGGGGAGGCCTCAGGAAACTTACAATCATGGCAGAAGGTGAAGGGGAAGCAGGCACTTCTTACATGGCCAGAGCAAGAGGAAGAGAGAGAGAAGAGGGAGGTGCTACACACTTGTAAACAACCAGACCTCATGGTAACTCATTCACTCACAATCATGAGAGCAGTACTGAGGGATGGTGCTAACCCATTCATGAGAACTCCACCCCCATGACCCAATCACCTCCCACCAGGCGCCACCTCCAACACTGGGGGTTACAATTCGACATGAGATTTGGTAGGGACAGAGATCCAAACGATATCAGGATGCTTCTAGAGATTGAAAGCTACCAGAAGTGAGAAATGAAGCCAAATATAAAATAATCACTTCTTGAAATTGACGCACTCTTAATAATTTGCTTGGTAGAACTGTATACAATAAGAATTTTACTGAAATTCATTGCTAGTTTGATGAAAGTTTCGAAAACCCAAATTACAGTCTATTGGCCAGTGCTTACACAGCTTCAGGATTATAGTTTGCATTGGGATGCAGAGAATAGGGTCAGCCATGTCACTGTCTAGGTGGTGACAGTGTGGTAAGTGCAATAAAGGAGCATGTGGCGTGGCTGAGAGAATAATTTGTCCTTTGTGGGTATGTCAGGGAATATTATGGAAATATGCTTGAACTGGGCCCAAAATGGGTAGGAGTCTCAGGAGTTGGAGGGTTGGAATTGGGGGAACTGGTAGTAGTGAATATTGCTGCACATTTGAGTCTGAGTCTCAAGCAGTGGGAAATGAGATGAAGAGATTGGCAGGGCCTAAAGCATGAATACTTTGCACCTTGTTCTGTGTCTTCCCTGCAAAGAATGGAATCAACAGGGTGACTGGTAGCATCAAGACCAGCCAGGAGGCTCTGGCAGCAACCTAAGTCAGTAGTTCTTGAATTCTCAAGTAGGTGTGCTTCAGTTTATTAGTCCTTAGTCCTTTTTTTTTTTTTTTTTTTTGAGACAGAGTCTCATTCTGTTGCCCAGTCTGCAGTGCAGTGGTGCGATCACAGCTCACTGCAGCCTCGACCTCCCAGGTTCAAGTGATCCTCCCACCTCAGCCTCCCAAGTGGCTGAGACTGTAGGTGTTACCGTGTCTGGCTAATTATTTTTTTATTTTTTATTTTGTAGATATGGGGTCTCACTGTGTTGCCCAGGCTGGTCTCTAACTTCTGGGCTCAAGGGATCCTCCTGACTTGACCTCCTGGAGTGTTGGGGTTACAGGTATGAGCCACCAGGCCTGTCCTGTCCTTCCCTTTTGAATCAGAACCTCCTGGGTAGAGGCTGGTCCTTCGGATTTTTTCCTGGGCTCTGGAGGTGATTCTGAAGCTCACTGGAGTTTAAAAACTGCTGGTGAATGATGAGGATATCTTAACTAAGACGGTGAGAAAGAAACAAGTGCCTTGATTAGAGAGGTATTAGGGATTGGCAACTAGATAGTATTCCTGGTGACCATCTCTATGTAAGGAATGAGGGAGTAGCAGGATTATGGCTTGAGTGATTTCAAAAATGTCATTACTGCCCATCACTTATATGGCAACACAGAGCAGATGTATGTGAGAAAGGAAGTTTAATCTTAGATACAGGACCAAATTCCTATCAAGAAATGCCCATTTTTATCACCCAGAAATAACATTAACTTTGGGAAAATATGGTTCTGTCAATATAAATATTGCAGACAATAATGAAGTACTTTCATTATGTAATACTTAGTCTTTTCAAAGGACATATTCAGCTCGCATTTGTTTGGCATTAAGATTTGTTGCTTGCCTACTACATACTGTGATGACTTTTAGCCTAGATCTATTATTACTGTTACTGTTTTACAGATGATGAAACTGAAGCTCAGAGAGGTTAATTCATTTCCCTCAGGTCAGTCTAGTCAGGAACCAGGCAGGGCAAAGATTCAAAACTCCTGACCTTGCCAAATCCAGTTTTCTTCCCATTATTACACAGCTGCTTCTAATAATATGGATGGGCAGGGTTTTTTCCTTCTTATTTATACATGATAAACTTGAAGTCCAAAGAAAAGTCCAAGGTCTCAAGCTGGTAAGTATCAGAGCAGGGACCAGAACCCAGGTTCCTGTTTCCTGGCTCCAGCTGTTTTCACTGTCTCCTTCTGCTTCCCAAATGATTACAGAAGTTGGGTTCCTTTCCTACTTGTTATATGTACAGTTGGACATTTACCTCCTAAAATGGGAAGACTTTAAAGCGTTATACATATTGTTTTGAAGGGAAGAAATAATTGTTTGAGAAGCAAAGCTAACCCTCAAGGCTCAGTTGCTTTGAGGTGGTATGTGACAGCACATTTCCAGCCTGTGAATGATGTTTTTTTTTTTTCTTTAAATTAGAAACCTGACCGTGATGGTGAAAGAAATATGGAAGTAACTCCAGGAGAAAAGATACTTAGGAACACCAAAGAGCAACGCGATCTGCATAATCGGCTGAGAGAGATTGATGAAAAGCTGAAAATGATGAAGGAAAATGTGGTAAGTCTTTTTGTTTTAATTAATTTTTTTTAAGAAAAAAATAGAGGCAGGTTCTCACTATGTTGCCCAGGCTGGTCTCGAACTTCTGGGCTCAAGTGACCTGCCCACCTCAGCCTGCCAAAGTGCTAGGATTACAGGTGTGGGCCACCGCACCCGTCCATCTCTCTTATTTAAAGTTTAATTGTAACCAACACTTGTACCAAAAAAGGTTTCAGTCTCTTTTGACTGTTTTATGACTGTTCTCATGTGTTAAATCAGCCATGTGAATTTGTCAGTAACAATGTGAATAAAAGCTAAAAATATAATTCGTAGGACTTTGATATTATTCTTAATTTAAGCAATTTATATAATATAAAACATTAAATAACATATAAAACATATTCTGACTTCAGATAGTGTGTAAGATACTATGTGAAGTCAGAATAATAATCCATAATCCTAATATTCTGACAGTGACACAAATATTTGTTTTTCGTGGAAAAATTTGGTAGTTCTCCCTAAAATCTTCCCTATGTTTTGAACTTATAGCTTAAATTCTCTTTTTGTTTGTAATTACTAATATATTATTAGTAACTAGTTAATTTTAATGCATTCCAAATCTTTCTTGGCCTACTTCATGTTTTTCTTGCTCAACATAAAGACATGTCATTCCTGATGAGTGAAAACTCTTAAAGCAACTAAGTTGTGAGCTGGTTGATGCTCTGAACCTCTTAGAATTGCTCTGTCATACTATGATTTTCCCACTACCCATAGAATGTTTTCAGCTGGATACCTGGATTTTACCTAAAATTAAACATGTCAAGGCTGAGCTTGTGATTGTGGTCTTGCGGTAATTACCTGCAGTAACCCCTTTTGGTCTCCTACTAAATTCTGTCATCTTGGGTGATCTTCAAGCTTCTTTGAGTTTTAACCAATGTGACTAGTTTGTTGCCATATTCTTCCTGAGTTTCTTAAGACTCAAAATCTTTTTTTTTGGTCCCTACTTTTATCACCCTTCTCTCAGTGTTGTCACCTCATGCCTTAGCCACTTATAACCTGGTTTTTGTAGGATTTCTTGTTTCCAGTCACTCCCTTCTCTCATTATTCCACTTAATATGCTGCACCATGGAGTAAACATCAGGTGAGTGATTTTAAAATGTGATGCCCTTCAGAGCCCCTGAGAGTGTGCCACAATCCCATCTTCACACCTTGTAATCAAGCCCAGCTGAACTGCCCTCACTGCCTGCAGGCCCACTGCAGCAGCACTGACACAGAGCCTACAGGAGCTCAGGCCCCCTAATGAGAGTTAGGCAGCAGATCTAAAGGGAATGAATACATCGTGCTTTTTTTATAGCTCATTTTTATTTGCTTTGCATGAGAAATCTCATGGGCATTATATTTCAGGGAGACCTCTATTTCCATTTTCAGAGAGATTTCTCTGATTCTGTTGATGGGATGAAGTAGAAGAAGTAGGAATGGGCTGGGTGCGGTGGCTCACGCCTGTAATCCTAGCACTTTGGGAGGCCGAGGCGGGCAGATTGCCTGAGCTCAGGAGTTCGTGACTAGCCTGGGTAACAAGGTGAAACCCCGTATCCACTAAAATACAAAAAAAATTAGCCGGGCTTGGCAGTGTGCGCCCGTAGTCCCAGCTACTTGGGAGGCTGAGGCAGGAGAACTGCTTGAACCCAGGAGGCAGAGATTGCAGTGAGCCGAGATTGCGCCACTGCACACTCCAGCCTGGGTGACAGAATGAGACTCCGTCTCAAAAAAAAAAAAAAAAAAAAAAAAGAAGTAGGAATGGTAGGGAAGTGTAAGGAGGCTCTTGGCCAGTCATTGTAGTGGTAACGATAGTACATTGTGAATTCGATGTGATAAATGAAATGTTTTGGTTTGATTGGTTTTGAAAACTGTTGGTACTTCCTCTCACTCCATATCTGCCAATCCAAGGCGGGCTAAGCCTGTCACTCCCCATGATCCATTCTCCTGATTTCTGACTGCTGTGGTTTGGATGTTTGTGACCCCTCAGAATCCCTGTTGAAACCCTAGTCCCCAAGGTGATGGGATTAGGAGGTGGGGAATTTGGGCAAGTGATTAGGTCATGTCAGTGAAGCCCTCGTGAGTGAAATTAGTGACTTTATAAAAGAGGCCCCAGGGGACTCATTTGCCCCTTTTACCATGTGAGGACGTAGTGAGAAGTCATCCCTATCAAGAAGGAAATGGGCCCTTACTAGGCACCAAACCTGCCAGCTCTTCGATCTTGGACTTCCCAGCTTCTAGAACTGTGAGAAATAAATTTGTGTTGTTTATAAACCACCCAAAATACCATTATTTTGTTGCCCAGACAGACTAACACATTGGCCATTTATCACATACCTTGAACATGTAGCTGTTACTTTCTACCACATCTCTACCATTATTTAATTTTTGGCTCAAAACCAGGGTCCTTTAAGAAATCGTATGTCATTCCAGTGCCTTATGGAATTTGGCTACACTTAAAGGGATATGACAAATGTCAAGAGTTGGTTGTTATCCAAGTGGAAAAGAATAATACATGAGTAGATAAGAGCAATTATTGAATACCAACTATGAGCCAGGCACTGTCCCAAGTATTTTACAGATACTAAAGTATTTAATCATTGCAACTGCTCCATGAGATAAATACCACAGTCCTCATTTTATAGATGAAGAAATGGAGCGAAAGAGAGGTTGACTAATTCCTTGAGGTTATACAGCTAGTAAGTGGAGGAGGTAGGATTCAAATGGTTAACATTTAATAACTATGCTATTACTGCCTTTCTGAGACTTGATTTCCTTTTCATGATTAATGTCTTTTTTTGTGAATTAAAGTGTGATAAACTTGTTATAATCAGTAATCATGAGCAAAATGTTTGGGTTCCCCTATACAAATTTAATTTTCATAGTTTTGTGTTTTATAGTCAACACTTTCAGAGGCTGTTGTCTGCATGATAAAGGCCCATGAATGTTGATCTGTACTGTTTTATGTTTTTTTTTTTTTTTTTTTTCTGAGACAGAGTATCACTTCTGTCGCCCAAGTTGGAGTGCAGGTAGTCCTCCCACCTCAGCCTCCTGAGTAGTTAGGACTACAGGTGTGTGCCACCATGACCAGCTAATTTTTTTATATTTAGGAGAGACGGGGGTTTGCCTTGTTTCCCAGGCTTGTCTCTAACTCCTGGGCTCAAGCAATCTGTCCACCTTGGCCTCCTGGAGTGCTGGGATTACAGGCTTGAGCCACCATGCCTGGCCCTGTTGTATGTTTTCATTGCTTAGTGTTTCATAACTGTAGATTCATAACTGATTTCATAATTGTGGATTCATGTTGTGTACCACGTGACCTGTTGAGGGGAAGATACTGTGTGTTTCAAACTCTGAAAACGCACTGTACCTCATAGATGACTAGATATTATTTCAGCCGGGAATCTGGAGACCTGAGTCCTTGTTTCAGTTTTGTTAATAGCCTGCTCTGTGACCTTGAATAAATTACATAGTTTCTTAGAGCAGGGGTCCCCCACGCCTGGGCCAAGGACCAGGTACTGGGCCGCTCAGCAGGTGGTGAGCAGCAGGTGAGGGTGGCTTCGTTTGTATTTACAGCTACTCCCCATCTCTTGCTTTACCTGAGCTCTGCCTCCTGTCAGATCAGTGGCATTAGATTCTCATAGGAGCGCGAGTCCTGTTGTGAACTGCACATGCCAGAGGTCTAGTTTGCATGCTCCTTGTGAAAATCTAATGCCTGATGACCTAAGGTGGGACAGTTTCATCCAAAAACCATACCCCTCCCCCACCCCTCCCCCTATTGCCTAAAGGGTTGGGGACCACTGTCTGAGAGACTTCATTTCATTGCTTTAAAATCAAGAGAGTAGTGCAAGATGACCTCTGTTCTTTTGCCAGAGATTCTTGGCACACTTATTTTTGATAAGAAGTGATGTTATTTGTAATATATAGTATCTAAAACTAGTTTGTGTTTCCTAAATATTTGTTATTAATTGGATTAAATCTTCTATTGAAAGTTACTTTTGAAAGTTTAGTAACACTTTTTAGGAGAATGCGAGATTGTCTTTTCTATATACAAAATTAGTCTACTGCCCTCCAACCAGAGAATGTGGTTTCTGAATGATAGGAAATGGCCAACTTTGCAGTTTTGCCTTATTCTGCCTCCTGCAATGGAACATCCTTTCAGGATTACTGGTGGAAGAGGTAATCTGTGGCCACTGAATTGGTGATCTAGGGATCAAACCCATATCCTGTTTTAGCGATGGGAGAAGAAAGAGTGAGCTAAGGGGCAGTATAGGAACCCTGGGGGTTACTGGAAACGCCTGCATCTAGGATTGATTTGTCAGTAAATGCTGGAAAAGTAGCTTAATTCTGTGTTTCAGGGTTAGGCTGAGGCTGCTGATACACATTTGTCTTGGTCAAGACTGGTTGAGGAAGTGGGATTTGATTTAGTCTGTAGGAGGTGGTAGTGTTGGCATCAGTGGATTTAGCTATTAGGAGCTAGGGGAAGTAGACACAATGGAATGAGGTTGAAGCTCACACATTTAATATGAAACTCAGTAGGCATATAGGGGCCTTGAAAAGCAGCTCTGAGAGTGGAGGAAGGATGAGCCTTGGGTGCTGGAAGTAGCATGTGTGAAGCACATCTGTAGGATTTCCTTAGTGTGAGTCAACAGTGTCATACAGCTGCTCTGGGACACATTAAGAGAGAAGTAAGCAAAATGGATCATATTTAGATATTAGAGTGACCAAGATGAGGAAGAGATGTAAAACCAGGTCATATGAAGGATTGTTAATGGGGCTACATGTATTTATTTAGCCCAGCAAAGAAGGGACTAGTGTGTTTTGTGTGTGTTGGTTGGGGTAGGAGGGAAGGGGAGTGGTTTGGTAGAAAAATCACAGATGGTAACTTCCCAAAGAGATTTAAAGGGCTAACATGTTAAATGTTAATTTGATTCTTTATAGTGGAGGAGGAAAATGCATGGTGATTGGGAAGCCAAAAAGAGACGTATTTCTGGTAAATATTGAGGAAGAAAGTTAGAATTATCTCATTGGAAATGGTCTGTCTGGGACTAAGTATTCAAAGTAGACTGGAGTGACACTGGCTGGGTAGAGAGAGTGTTGAAGTATCATGGGGTGCCTGGATGGTTTAGGTGAGTGTCTCAGGCATAAGCAGGCAGCCTGTAGATGGTGAGTAGGTGGAGGAGCTGTGCTTTGAGCTCTTTTCACATGTCAGGGAGTTTGTGCTGAGCCACCTGCAGCTTGCCTAGTTGGTTCCCATGGTATTAGGTGTAGTGGCTTTAGCCATGGATAAGAGTTTTTCCACCAGGTTAACTACTTGTATGGAGACAATCTGAGATGTTAGAATGAAGAGATAATGGGAGTATCCGCTTTCATAGAATAGGCACCATAAGACAGCCCCCACAGACAGTCTCTCCATCATTTCCCATACCAGTGATGTTTGTCTCTGGTACTTCAAACCAGACAAACAAGAGAGTAGTTTTCTGTTGGTTGGGGCGCTCTACAGGCTTCTCTGCCCATCCAGTCTTCTAACTCCACTCTGCTCTAAATCATTTCCCTGGTCCTATTATATAAGCTTTATATAGGGGGCTTGGTGGTTAAGGGCCAGACTGCTTGGGGTTTGAATCTCACTTAGTAGCTGTGTGACCTTGGCAGGTCCCCTGAGCCCAATGTGCTTCAATTCACTAATCTGTAGAATGGAGATAATTACAATTACTGTAACACTCACCTCATAGGGCTGTTATGAAGTTTAAATTAGTATATATAAGGTACTTAGAAGAGGGTCTGGACATTTTAAGTGCTATATACATTTTTATTATTAACATAATTAATATGGCATTTACATAAGCTTGTTTCCAGGATAAGGGGGGAAGGACATCGTATGGAGGGCAACATTGAAGATGGAGGGGTAAGCCTTGGAGAAGAACCAAGGTACCCTTTTCCTGACTTGGGGTGAAAGAAAGGAAGGGTGGGCCAAGAAAGGCAGGATGAGAGATGAAGAGAAGGTGGGTGAGGCCATGTTTGAATGTTCTCTACTTACTCTGTAAATTAGCGACCTCTCCGTATGGTCAGAGTGGGAGGGTAGAGTGGGGATTGAAGAAGGGTAGGAAGGGACTGGAATAGAGCTAGTGAAGATGAGAAAAAAGCAATGGTAAACAATCAGGTAGCCCAGGGGAGGTTGGAAACCCTGCTGCGAAATGGAGCCAGTCAGGAAGGCTGAAAGGTTTCTCTGACAGCCCTCAGCAGTCCACCAAAGCTGGAGATGAGGGTTGATGAGTTGAGGCAAGGGTGAGGAGAGGTTGGGTGATTGCAGTGAAAGATCAAGGGGGCAGAGGAACTGGTGGCAGATACCTATGGGGGCAGGGGAACTGGTGGCAGTTACCTATGAGACCGTAACTGAAAAATTGTAATGTATATACCTCAGATATCAGCTGGGACCCTTTTGCCTTGCTTTGACCCAGTTTCATAACTTACTGTACACAGATTAGAATACCATCTGCCTATCAAAAGAATGAGATAGGTCTATGTATCTTGAAAAGATGTCTGTGATAGAGTATTAAGGAAAAAGAGCCTGTTGCAGAAGACAATGATCAGTGTGATTCTATTTTTATAGAAAGAAACATAGGAAAGTCCTGGAACAATATACATATACCAAATGCTTAACAGTAATTACTTTTAGCGGGGATCGGGATGGATGGGGAGGCGGAGAAAGGAAATTAACTTTTTGTAACACACAGTATTTAAAGGGAAAAGTGTGTTGGGATTATGGGTGATTTTTATATTATTCTTGTGCTTTTGTTTATATCTCAGACTGTCTGTAATATACATATGTTGTGTCTATAAACAGAAATAAATTAATGTTTAAAAATATGGAAAGCATCTACATGTACAAGAGATCATTGCTTATTGTATCTCAGTAAGTGGTTTTTATATATTTAGAAAAATAGAGTGAGTCATCACAAGGAATAATATTCAGCCTTATCAGCAATTAAAATTCATATTCAGACAACCTGTAGGAACTATATACACCCGTTAGGCCAGCCAAAAGAATGACAAATGTGATATCATTATGTGTCAGTAAGAGTGGTGTAAAGATTGGGACAGCGATATTTGGACATTATTGGTAGCTGTTTGAATGGGTTATTTTTTCTCCTGGAAAACAATTGGTCAATAAATGTAACAACAGCTATAATATGATTCATATTTTTGACCTGTATAATTCTACTTTTAGGAATATTTTCAAAGTAATAATGCCCGAGGAAACCAAACAACCAACCAAACAAAAAACCCAGGAAATAAATGTTCTCAAAGAAGGGAATGTCAAAGCAACTTATATAATATTAACCCATTTAATTCTATGGTAGGATGATAAAAATGACAAGTACGTGGACTTTGTCAATAGAAGACTTTTAGAAGATTTTTTTTTTTTTTTTTTTTGAGACCGAGTCTCACTCTGTTGCCTAGGCTGGAGTGCAATGGCATGATCTCAGCTCACTGCAACCTCTGCCTCCCAGGTTCAAGCAATTCTCCTTCCTTAGCCTCCTGAGTAGCTGGGACTACAGGCATGCACCAGCACACCCGGCTAAGTTTTGTATTTTTAGTAGAGATGGGGTTTTGCCATGTTGGCCAGGCTGGTCTCGAACTCCTGACCTCAAGTGATCTGCTTGCCTTGGCCTCCCAAAGTGCTGGGATTACAGGTGTGAGCCACTGCACCTGATTAATATATGACTTTTAATTGAAAATATATGATACGAAACATAAAAATAAACATTTAAGATAGATTTTTATCAACTATGTTATATATATATATTCGTATATTGGCGCATATATACTAACAACCATCTGAAGGGAAATAGAATATGTGCTGTAACTTACCTTTATTAGATAATTTTCTACTTTCTATTAAATTGCCTTTATTCCTAAAGAAAGGGGAGCCATAATTAAGGCAATTTTATTATATCATTCTCTTATTTAAAGATATTTTAATCCATTAACATAATGATGGACTTTTTGAGTAATTTAAATGAATAGTAACAATAATTCATGATTTGTCTCATTTTTCAGAGGTGTGAGTGTTCCACTGTGACAATAAAGATTTTTTGTTTTTTTTAAAAAATAAAGAACATTTTTGACTTCTAGGGTTAGGTAAAAATACCTTTGATGAAGTTGCATAATGATCCTATCTTTCACAAATCAAAAGAATTCCATTTTAGTTTTTGCATTTTAAATAAAAAATAATCAATCTGACCTTATCCCATTGATCCCACTAATGATAAAATACTCTCAAAGATGTTTTATTAGTATTGTTAGGAAAAACTTTCCCTGGTTCTAGTCATTCCAAATGCATTGACCACACTTTTTAGGTCTTTTTTCTGTCTCTTTTTGATTCTCAGTTTGAACTTCATTCATTTTCTTCATCATTTGAAGTCTCTACTATTTCTATCCACATTCTTTCTCTTTTCAGTTTCCTGGAAACCACTGAGCTTGGCCTTGTTTGGTGAACTGCATTGTCATTATTGCATCAAAATGTTTAGCACTCTAAGCCCTGTTGCTGAGCATTGAGGATAAGAATGTGGCTGACAAAGGATGATAAATCCTCTCATTTTGATTCTTATTTCGACATGCTCTTGTCATTTAACCTGATATAAGCATATATGAACCCCAGTCAGAAGACTGGAGTGTTCCTTCTGCTTAGAGAATGGGGTGGAAAGTCTACCTTCAATTGTTACACATGCTATAGATTCAGAATTCTTGAATGTGACAGCTAAAGGGGCTTGGAGGTCATTGGGCCAGTTCCATGGATTAGAAACCAAAGTCTTGAGCAGCTAAATGATTTTTCAGAAATAATCAGAAGGCCAACTCTTCTGACACCTCAGCCTGTGAACATTTCAATAAATCCAACCTCTCTAAGTCACGTCCGTATAGTTCAGCCAATTTTTAGCTAAGATTTGTGGCCACCCACAAATGTAGGCTTTATTCTAAAACCTTTAAGCTGTTACCAACCGGATATACATCTTTTCCACATTCAACACTACTCCAAACAGACCTGACATGTTTGTGGTTAAATAGGAAGACCAACTAGTGTGCTTTGGCATTCGTACATTAATGAAGGTCCGAATTGGAAAAATAGTTATACTTTGGTGTCTTTGTTTAGAACTGCAGAAATTATTTTAATCTTTTTTTCACTTGTAACAGGTTTTAGAAATGTGGATAAAATAATAACACTGCCACATACAATTGGTATTTAGAGTATACAACTTTTGTTCTTTCTGTAGGTGGTGGCAGGTGTGTGTAATGATGCAAAACATTTGGTTGTAAACTTTGGAGAGTGAGATTTGTACATTAACAGAGAAACGTTAAAAAATTTGTTCTCTTAATCACAGGCCCATTTTGAAACAAGCAAGTAGAACATAAAATTTTCAGAATTATATATTTCTACATCATTTAATGCAGAAACCTTAACAAAACTCCTTGCAATGGAATATTATCATTTAATAGTTGAGAATGTAGTACAGTTATAGGTATTTCGCTGATGATCATGAATTATCCTGCAATGAATAAATGACCCAGTAACCTTTTAAAAGTTATTGACTACATAGATCAATATAATTTATGAGAAATTTAAAACATAATTAGCTGGAGTTCTTTGAGAGGAAAATGTTTTTATTTATTTATTTATTATTTTTTAAAATTTTACTTTAAGTTCTGGGATACATGTGCAGAAAGTGCAGGTTGTTACATAGGTATACATGTGCCATGGTGGTTTGCTACACCTATCAACCCATCATCTAGGTTTTAAGCCCTGCATGGATTAGATATTTCTCCTAATGTTTGAGATGAAAATGTTAAGGATAGTTGGATATTTTTCCATTAACTTACTTTGTTTCAACTATCATTTATAATCAATTTATAAATATATTAGTAGGTTTCAGTTTCAAATTTATTTTGGAACAAGAGAGGTTATAAATATACTTTGTATTCTACCTATACTGTAAACATTTTAAAAATTATTAAAGATGTTTGGTTCTGGATTATGGTTTTTCACATGTGTTATGATAATGCAGATGATATGTTATAGAAGGTGTAGGCATTGTGCTGTTTCTGAATAATAATGTGCCATATCTTGAGAGGCACCTTAAAAATGACAATTATGAGCTGGGCACGGTGGCTCACGCCTGTAATCCCAGCACTTTGGGAGGCTGAGGTGGGTGGATCACCTGAGGTTGGGAGTTCGAGACCAGCCTGACCACTATGGCAAAACCTCATCGCTACTAAAAATACAAAATTAGCCGGGTGTGGTGGTGCATGCCTGTAATCCCAGTTATTCGGGAGGGTGAGGCAGGAGAACTGCTTGAACCCGGGAGGGGGAGGTTGCAGTGAGCCGAAATCGTGCCATTGCATTCCAGCCTGGGCAACAAGAATGAAACTCCATCTAAAAAAAAAAAAAAAAAAGACAATTATGATAGTAACTTTGTTTTATAATATTACTTATTTTTCCTTAAATTCTTATTGTTGAGCAGAGGCTCTAGAAATAGGTAATACGACTAGTTAGGTTTTAACATAACTTACCTTTTGCTTTCTGAATTGGTTTTTAAAGTTCATTGGTAGAGGCCATGTGCTGTAGGTGTGATTACATGGAACAAGTACAGGTACTTGCTTCAAGAAATAAATAAATGTGAATATAATTAAGTATAATTATATAAAATAATTATTGTAAAAATTATAATATGTGATACACACTCACACCATATTTAAACAGTATAGCATTGAGGTAAAAGAAAAATGTATACATAAACATTATACTGATTTTAGAGGTTGAAATGAAGCCTGTTATTTGGATGTTGACCCAGGGTAGTAACATGCCACATGGGACTGTTTACAGCCCCTGTGCAAATCTCTGGACGGGAGAGTTCTAGTTCTAGCTATATGGCAGACTAGATGTTAAGGGAGACCGTGCTTGGGAAAGCAAGCCTGAACATGCTAGATAAAATATTTTTTAAAAAGTAGTTTTAAAAGCATGGCTGAGCTGGCAGAAATGTAAGGGAATTCCTTGGAGGGTAGGAATGACAAGACACTATGTGTCAGGAGGGGTAAGTGACCATTGGAACAAGCATTGGTCCCCGTGGTATCTGTTAACCTCTAAAGGCCTAAAGTGTGGGTTTTAACCAGGCATGTGTAGGGAGCACAGGAAACAGAGCCCAAGACAGGGTAAAGGTCAAGTCAGAGCTCCCACATAGAGTCAGCACACCAAATGGTTAACCCCGAGTGGAAACACTAGGAAGAATCTGCTCTGGAGAGGGCATGGTGGGGACATATATAACTGTCTCTGCTTTGGTTGTGGGAGGAATGGAAAAGAGAAGTCCCCCATGAGAGTTACCAACGATAAGCCTGCATGAAGGTAGGCTCTGGGTTTGAGTTCATACCACCTGTAGGGCCAAGTTGAATGTTCAGTTGAAAATGGTCTTGGATTGGCAGTAATCCCAGCTCCTGGTAGAAGGAAAGGGAAATCTCTCTGGAAGAACACAATAATTTAAACGTAGACCTTAATAAATTCCCACAAATAAAACTGAAGGGCCTTGAATCCACGGTAGAGGACTCCTCCCATCCCCAACACATAAAGAAATAAACTATCATGAGCAATCATTAATTGAAAAAACACACTATAGAGTCAGTTCCACGTAGACTGCAGAGTTTGGAGTGGTCTATTTCAGAATGTAAAATATGTCTGTTTAATATATTTAAAGAAATAAAATGAGCTTTGAGAATATGACAAAGATTTGAAATGAAACCAGATAGAATTTGTAGAAATGAAAATATAACGTTAAGTGGACATTCTTGGAGTTAGACCTTCCTTGATCCTTTAAACAGGATCCTGGCACTTACATCTATTTTCCCTTCATCACTCTATAGCTTTTTTAAAGCTTTGCACCATCCCTCTAGTGAGAACAACATCAGTTTTTCAAACCAGTCAGAGAAAAGTTGTTATATGTTTCTCTAGAATAGCACGTTAGCCTCTGAGACCTGGGGCAGAAGGAAGAAAAAGAGATACATTATAATCACACACAACCTACATGTGCAAGAATATTATTTTTTTGCCAATAAGGTGGATTTTTTTCCAACTTTTTTTTTGCCCTTCTTATTGCCCTTCTTAGCTTCTGCTCTTTGTTCCTTAGAATGTTAATTCTTATCACCCCAACTTTTTACATTGAACAGTTTATTAATTGGAATACATGCTATGTTTACTAAATAAGTGTGCTCCCTGATCCATTAAAAAATTTTTTTTAAGACAGGGTCTCACTTTGTCACCCAGGCTGGAGTGCAGTGGTGCAATCTTGACTCACCGCAACCCCTGCCCCTTGGGCTCAAGTGATCCTTCCACCTCAGCCCCCCAAATAGCTGGGACTACAGGCACGCACCACCATGCCCAGCTAATTTTTGTATTTTTTGTAGAGGTGAGGTCTCACTATGTTGCCCAGGTTGGTCTTGAACTCGTGGGCTCAAGCAGTCTGCCTGTCTCGGCCTCCCCAAGTGCTGGGATTACATGAGTGAGCCACTGCATCCAATCAAAGCTGTATTTTAAATGGGAACTCACCTGGAATGGCACAAAGATTCTGTGTCCCAATTTTTGGGTTCAGGAAATCTATTCATCCTTTGCAGATGCTCAAGAATCGTTGTGTAACTGGATTCTTCTGCTGAATTTATATGGGGACCTATGGGCTGCATAGTGGAGTAGTGAAAGCCTTGTATAGACACTGGGGTGGGCAATCTTTCCTCTGTGCTCAAGGCCATAGGACATCCCTTCATATGTTTGTAGTAATTTTCTCTGGAGCTCAAAATGGAAAGCAATGGGCTGATTATTATTTTGACAGTCATAATTTGTGACCAGACTTTAAAAAAACATTGTGGTCAATGATGTTGCACAATTACTTTTTGTCTGTCACATAGACAAAACAAATCCAGATTTAATTCAATGCAAACAAATAAATAAAATGCTCTGCTAAGAGTATAGAGTCAAGCTTTTGATCTAGTGGGAGAGGCTGAGACTGATCGAAAATATAAGGCAGAAATAAATGACATGAGAGAAATAGAAATAAAGTGCTATATTTGATCAAAATAGAGAACAGTTATAGCAGAGCGATTTGGAAAGGCTTTGTGGAAAATGTGAAATCAGAATTGAACCTTGAGGAATGAGTAGGGTTTCATTTGGTATAGATGGGGGTGGGTGTTACAGAAAGAAGACACTTTGTGGAAAAGGGCCAGCTTTTGGAAAGCTTGGGCCATTACAGGGAACAGAATTGATCAGTAACATTTATGAATTAATCATAGAAAGTTCTGACTTTTTGCCAATGCCATAAAGATATATGACATTTTAGAAACTTGAATTTTGCTGAACCAAGAACTTGAATCAGGCTTTCTGCAGGGCTCTTGTTTGGGAGTGAATCACGTAGTGAGTGAGTGAGTGCTCCCAGCTGAGGGCCTGGCATCCTCAGGCAGTGCAGCTCTCCCATTCTCAGCTTGGCATGGTGTAGGCCTTAATACTTGTGAACTACTGAAGCTATGTTTCTATGTCTTTTAAAAAAATATCTTCTAGTGGCAGTGATTGAAAAACAGACAGTGGTTCTTATTAGCAACAACAGTGCTTCAGAAATTTGAGTGGAATGCTGAATTTGGTATTGGATCAGATGGGTGACAGGAGTGTGGAATTTTGCAGATGACTCAGGAAGAAACTCGTTTTCACATTGGAGGTCTGCTTTCATCCACTCTGGATGACAGGAAATAGAAGGAAGTAAAATTATAAAAGTAGAGTGAGGCCATGTTGAATAGCAGGCTGTGACTGGTGGATAAAGTTTTCTAAGCAGCTATTTGATTTAATATGAACTAAACTTTTAGAAAAGATATTACTGGCAGGTTGATTATACTTTTACTATCAACAAAGATACATGCTGAAAGTTGTTGTAAGAACTATTCAAAAAAGTGGACGTTCAATAAAATGAAATGATCCACATAATAGACATTATATTCTCAAAGTTTCCATTCTCCCAACTTTGTATCCAACATTAAGATTGTGAATTTTGTTGGATTTTTCTTTAATCCCCTTATCCCTAGGCATTTATTCGTATCTCTAACAAAATTGCAATAATATTTGTGAAAATATAGCTATGGTACACATTAACAACTGCAAATCCATTTACCGTTCTTCCTTACTGATAAAATTCTAGTTAAAAATGCTGTCTCAGACTCCCTTGTAACTAGGGTGACCACATAAGTTAGTTCTGGCCAGTCAGATAAAAGCAGAAGTCTCCTGATAAAAAGAAAAACCGCTGACATGTGCCTTTTGCCCTTCATCTTTTCCCTTCTTAGTTGGAGCATAGATACACTGCCTGAACATTCAGGAGGCATCTTGAGACCACAAGGGCAGGTCGGAAAGACAGAGGAGGCTAGGGCAGTTGTCCCATCATAAAGCTATTGCATCACCTCTTATCTGTTTACCTCTGACCAATTTCTTAAGTTGGAAAATAAACCAACCTTGGTTATGCCAGGCAGGTCATTGGGTTTCTTTTATGAAAGCAATCCTAACTGATACAGTAGGCCACTTTTGGGCAGGTATAAAATGGTTAACATTCCTCCTGGTGCACTGGGAGAATTCAGGGAATGAATGAGTTTTGCAAGGGAATTGTGGTGGCACTTTAGTGTGTTTGCCCTGTGGGAAGCGAGTTTGAACCCCAAACTGAAAGTTACGCCATCCACCAGCATTGGCAAACTATAACGCCACTCCACTGCTCAAGTGTATGTGGCACAAAGGGGCAGAACACCGCTGGGGAAAACACTGATCACGAGGAGTGCAGAGTGCTCAGATTAAAGTAGAGCTAAAGCTTCTAGTAAGCACAGACGTTAATTTTGGGGAAAAGGAGTAACTAGTGGCAGGTGTTTTACCGAGTGTGGTAGAGGGAGCAAATCTCTTGAGTAATGCCACTGATGAAGACCTATTATTTAAAGAGAATACTGAGTATTTGCAGAGTTACAGAAATGGCAGTAAGAATCTCGACATGATGAACTAGCATTCCAGACCAGCACCATCCAACAGAAACACAATGCAGCCACATAAGTAATTTTAAATCTTCTGCTAGTCACATCAAAAAGGCAAAAAGAAGCAGATGAAATTATATTTAACTCACTATAGTCAAACATCATTGTGACATGTAATTAATATAAACATTATTAATTGTATATTATATATATATACAATTAATATTTTATATATATATATATTTGAAATCCAGTGTGTTTTGTACACTTTCAACACATCTTGATTTGGACTCAGCCACCTTTCAAGGTCTCCATTGCCCCATGTGGCTAGTGACTATTGACAGGGCAGTTTCAGAGTAGAAAAAGGTGATTTATGTAGCACTCAGATACATTGGTTTATTTTTTTTTTTAAAGTAAACATTTCCCCAACATTCTAATTTTCTAGGGGTATAGAAGAAACAGGCATTAGTAAGATTCTAGGAGAGTCTAAAAATAGTGAAGAGAGAGGTCCCATAGAAGTGTCTAGCTGTGTGTTTTTAAAGTGAGTCTGACATGGGTTGTTAGATTTGATCTAAAAAATGATGGCCAAGAAATGAAAATTGAAATAAAAGATTTATTGAAACCATATGTGTAATCTTGGAAAAGAAAGAATACGCTCAATTTCACATCTTGGACATATTGAGAAGTAGGAGAAGTGTGTCTTTGTAGAATTATTCACAATGTCTATCTAAAATGATGGAAACTTTCTTGTTTTATTATTTTTCTGTTATAGGCTTTTCTTAACTTGGGAGTGACGAGCGAAGACGAATTTGGGAAGCACAGGGCAGAGTGTCTTACTTCATTCTTATATGCTGCTGAGCTTGATGTCGACTCAGTTTGTATTTGATTCCTGAAGTTAGAATATCTCAGAAATCTTTCTTTGGGCAGTATTTGCTAATGTAATTATTATTTATCCCAGTTCATTCCATACATTAAGTATTCTGGAAGGGTATTTAACTCTTCACATTCTTATTGGCCAACCAGTATCTAATACATGGAATGAGGTTTCAGGCCCTGCCTCCACTGAGGCGCTTCCCACTGGGAAGTACTAGAGAATATTTTTAAAGAGTCTCTGTGGACACACAGCAAGTTTTAGGTTTTTTTGTTTTTGTTTTTGTTTGGTATATCTAGAAACACACTTTGTGAATGTGAAAGGTTCTCTTGTACCCAACTAGAAATAATCACTGACTGCCTCTGAAGATAATGATGGAGAATTTGTTAAAAGATTTCTCTTTAATTATAAAGTGGCTATGCAAATGTGATTACAGTTTAAATTTATTTTCGTAGTGAAAATAGCTTTTGGGGGCATTCAGGCATTCTAGAAAAATATAAAGAAGAAAAGAAAAATTATGCATACAAGCATAGTTAACACTTGGTCATGATCCTGTCTGAGGTTTTCCCTATTCACACATACCCCAAATGCTTACCTTCCCCCATCCCAACACACACACACACACACACACACACACACACACACACACACACACACACACACACAGACACCCCTTCCCCCTCCTCCTTTCCTCTCTTCTTCAATCTCCTTCCCTCTCCTCTCCTTCCTTCCTCCTTTTTTTGTCTTTTTACAAACCAGGATCATATTCTACATACATTTTATAGCCTGCTTTTTCACTTAACAATACATTATGGTACTATATGAGTGTGTCTATTGAATGAGGCCTTTCTCTGTTCATTTCTAGTAATGTCCAATATTGTTATTATAAACCATGACAGAGTGAGCATTTGTTTAATTATTGTCTTAGGATATATTCTTAAGTGGAATTGCTGAGAGTGTATGTGTAGAGTTTGGCTGTGTGTTGCCAAATTGTCCTCCAGAGAGGTTGTGTAATTTATTCTTGCACTAAGAATATTCTAGAGTGCTATACCTATAGTGTTAGTATTCTTTTTCTGCCAATCTCAGAGTTTAAAAATGATATAGTTGCTTTAATTTATATTTTTTTGGTTCCTAGTAAATTTGGACATGTTTTCAGTTGTTTATTGGCAGTTTGTGTTTCTTCTTCAGTGCATTGCCCATTTGTATCTTTTTTCATTTATTTATTTTATTAAGGTATTCTTTTCGTTTTGTATTGGAAAGCTGTCTTTATATATTTAAAACATATACTCTTTGTCACATATGTTACAGATTTTACTACCTCTAAAGTGTTAATTTTATTTACTGTTCTACAATATTGAAAAGTTTTGCAAGGTGCTATTTTTCTCTCTTATTTTCATATGGAGTCATTTGTGAGAAATATATGCTGGGTATTGCAGCCTGCTTTTTGTTTCTTGAAGTGATCCATCAAAAGCATTTATATACTTTCATGTATAAGCCCTGCATCATCTCTAGAGTGTGTTTTGAGTAAGTAATGTCAATGAAATCACCATCTAATTATGTTCTTGCGAAAGCGCCTGCTACTACCTTTGAAGTTTGCTGCTAATCTCTTCTTACCTTCATTTCTTAGTATCTAAGGTTTAGATAAGCAGTGACAATTAAAAACATAGAGGAATGTAATTTTTTTCTTGAGTGAGTCTACTTTTAATATTTGAATTGAATGTTAGCAAGAAGTAGTAAGCTCACTGGTTTAATTTTTATTTATTCTATCTCTACGTTGTGTGCAAACACACATGATCAACATCAATGGCCTAAGATTATCCTTCAGAAAATTTTCTTAGCAACTCAAACAATGTCCCGTAGTCAGTGGGCTCCTAACAGTGTATTAAGATTTAACTATCTGTCAAAAAGCAGGAATTTGCATAGTGTGGGAAGTCTACCCATTGTCATACTTCTGCATATGAAAGTAATATGGTAATATTGAATTTGACTGTGAAAAATAGTAACATTAAATTTGTGTCCATAAGAATTTAAAATTATATAGGGGACACAAATAAATATAACTCATGGGAGTATATAAACAATAATTTAAAGGCTTTGAAGGGTAAAGTGTGTAAAGTAGAATGTGATACTTTGGCAAGAAAACTTTATAGGCAGAGTGTGAGTTATCATTTAGAGAGAAGGAGCAGAGTGAGGCAAGCAGAAGAGGAACAGTTGGGTACTGGGTGCCACGGGGTACAGATGGGGATTGGCAGCCATGGAGGGGAGGCTGACAGAGAACACCAAAGGCAATTAAACACCAAAGGCAATGACCAGAAGTGTATTTTGATGTAGAGGTCAAGGACTAATCCCAGGTAGGCAGCTAGTACCTTTTCAAAATGGTGGGCATGGCATGCCTATTGCATGCAGTTTAAGAAAATAGGTGAAATGCTGGCATATGCAAATGTTAGGGAAGTACAACCTACATAAAAGCAAGACAGAGCTCTAAAACCCTATTGTTCTATGATTCCGTTTGCTGGGAAAATGTAAACCCTACTGACAGCACATCTCTGTTACAGATGTATGGGCAGATAAATGGGCTAAGAAAGAGATTATGTGATTGATTATGACCTTTCTATATTGTACCTGACTTACATTAAGTATGTTTTTAATACTCAAAACTAGTTGACTAAAAATGCCTTTAAAAATGAGTCTTTATATATATATATCTTTTTTTTATTTTTTATTTTATTTGTTTGTTTATTTTTTTTGAGACGGAGTCTCACTGGCTGGAGTGTAGTGGCGTGATCTCGGCTCACTGCAACCTCCACCTCCCAGGTTTAAGCGATTTTCCTGCCTCGGCCTCCTGAGTAGCTGGGATTAGAGGCACCCACCACCATACCCAGCTGATTTTTGTATTTTTAGTAGAGACGGCGTTCCCCATGTTGGCCAGGCTGGTCTCAAACTCCTTACCTCAAGTGATCCACCTGCCTTCGCCTCCCAAAGTGCTGGGATTACAGGTGTGAGCCACCATGACCGGCCAAAAATGAGTCATAATATAATTCAAACTTTGCACGTAAATATGTATAAAGTCATGAACTTACATAGTGACTGAGGATTTTGTGTATATAATTTGAGTCTTTTAAAAGTTGACTTTGTTTTATAATGCTTGCTGGTTTTAGCCATCTATTTTAAACCATATGTTCCCTTTAGACAAATTTCATAATTCTTAAAACTTTGATATTCTGATTTCTATATTCTTGATACTGAGTTAGGGAATTCCTAGTGATAACTCATAGTAAATTAGTAAATGCAATTAGATTTCAAGGTCTCCATGGCTATGATGGTTACATACTAAAATCCTTGAATTAGAGTGGCCAAAAAAAAAAAATAAATCTCTTGGTATCATTTGCAGAGAATAATTATTCCTTTATTTATATAGTGCATCATAGTTTGCAAAGTGCTTGTTACTGCAGTTTTTAAATTTATTTGACAAATAATAGTTGAATATATTTATAGGGTACAGTGTGGTCTTTTGATATGTATATATATTGTAGAAAGATTAAATCAAGCTGATAAATATATATCCATCACTTCACCTTCTTATCATTTTTTTTTGTGATGAGAATATTTAAAATCTATTCTTCTATGTTCCTTCAGTTTTTGTTTCATCTTCATGAAAACCTTAGAGGCAGGTGGCATAGCTATCACTACCTCTATTGTTACAGATAAGGACACCAGACATAGGGCTTTGGTGACTTGTCCATAACCCACATCTGACTTCCAGGAGAGTTCTTTAAACACACACAGCCTCTATCACTATTATTTGATTACAACTCCTCAGTTAGATGATACCTGAAAGCAGTTTTCTTGATTTTCTTCTCCTTTGTATATAGTATTCTATTTTGGGCCTTAGCAGAGTTGATATTCAAATACAATATTTGAATGAATTCTTTTACTGAGAAAGGTAGTAATATAGTCCACCTTAAATAGATTGCTAAAATACTTAAATCTTATTCTGGCTGATGTTTTGGAAAAATTGGATATAGGGACAGGTCAACAACCATGCGTTCAGCTTGATTCCTTCGCAGAGACTTATTGTAGCAGTCAAACACAGCGAATAAGGTGGGCAGACAAATCTTTTAATTGGCCCATGATCATGGAGTGTGCCTCAGTCATTAAATAAATCTGCAAGGGCACAAGAAGTGGTTGCTTCAAATCATTTTTATACTGTTTTTGTGGCTTATATACTTGGCTGTTCAGGAGCTACCAGACCATAAAATCCAGCCAGTGAGAGCATTGGAAGTCACGGAGCTCAAAGGTTGATTACGTGGTGTGAAACTCTATTGTTTTGTGCATGTGTTAAATAATTGCTGTCAGTGCAAGACTGTTAAAAATTCCCGACTAGTAATAACATGAATGCACTTTATGGCTTCAAAAGGAGATAAAAGAAATTTCTTAGTCAGCACTTTGGCGGCATCACAGCTAATGTCAGTTTTGTTATTGTGAGGACTTTACTTTTGGCAGATGCTCTCCCTTCTGGCAGCAGAGCTCTAATTACCATATAAATTAAGCTGGGAAGTGAGCGGAGGGCATGCAACTCAGCCCCTTCTGCCTTGTACCCAGGTTTCCAGGGCTGCAGTGCCAGGCAGGCGTAGCGTGGGCTGACGCCATGGAGAGGGCTCCACTCCCCTTCTCCCCTTTCTTCCCATTCAGATCCATTAGAGGGACATTAAGCGGCTTAGCTGCTGTGCAAACACAAAGATCATTCTTTTTTCTTCTTCTTTTCTTTCTTTCTTTCTTTCTTTTTTTTTTAAACCTAGGGTCTTCTCTCTAATAGCATTCCAGGAATTAGCCTAATCCATCCTGCTTTAATTCATAGGCACTAATTATATTTCAGCATACATTCTTACACACTAAATTATAAGTATCCTTACTTTAATCAGTTGTAACTGGTCCTTAAATTGAGGGTTTAGTACTCTCCTTTTATCGGATAACAGGCTTTGCTGTGTTATGTGATGGGATTAAACTGTTTATTTAGGATGTAGAATTGAAGACGTGGATGATGTGTTATTTTTTTTCCTAAAGTGCTCTGTATTTTCTTCAGCCAGAGTGTATTTCAGAACTTCATAATGACCTTTTATAATTTGTAAAATGGTGTCTAATGTTTAGGTCCTTTTGGGATGTGAACTGACAAGCACAATTTGTAGAAACATAATTATAATGCAGGTGAATAATCGTTTATAGTTGCAAAGCATTTCACACATAAGCTATTCTGTTTGGTATTTAAGTAGCCCTCCAGGTGGGTAACTGAAGGATTCCTGTGAGGTGGTCACTGAAGGCCACATAGTTGGTAGTGCAGCTGGTGTGGCGTACAAGTCTCATCTCCCTCTGGGGGTTCTTTCCTTCCACCTCACACTGCTTATTGACTGGAGTTCCCCCTACATTACAAAGCACCTAATAAGATGATCTTTTCCTATCAGCATTAAAAATTTTTTTTTTCGACTTTGTAGAAAATAATCCTTTTGCAGCACTTAAAGAGAATCACTTGCGGGCATTCTGTAAAATTTTACATTTTACTGACAGCACAAAACAGGAAATTGTTTTTTCTTTTTGGTGAGTAATTGCTAGTCTAGCTTTTAAAATTCTCTATCTATCACTCGCTCTCTATCTATCTATCTATCTACCCCCTCACAGGGCTTTAAGCCTCTTGAAAGAAGTATAAAGAAGATAGACTGATGACTGTCCCCCTGGTAACTGGCACTTCAGAGAGGGTGAGAGAATTCACAGATAATTCTCTTTTCTGAGCTAGGAAGGAGTCACATTAGTTGAGAGACTTTATCACTTTCAGTCCAGTACTTCCCCAGCCCCATGAAAAAAAGTGTACCCATCAAACAGTCCCCTTCTGCCATCTTTATCTTATCAGGATCTCTCTTCTTTAATAGATGAGACTCTTTGGAAAGGACTTTAATTGGCTGATGCCACAGACTCATCCCGGAACCTAACTTCTTGAAGAAGAACATTCTGCCTTAGTTTCAGGCAGGACGACTGCGTCACTGTACACTGTCCAGAGGTGACTGGCTGAGGGAAAGAAGTGGCTGAAATCTGCTGTGTTCCATTTGATGAATGGTGCTTGCTGGCACACTGCTTCTTCTTACACAGGAGGCTCCAGTCACTGGCCAAGCCTTGCAGTGGGGCGACTTTCATCTGGGGCCACTGCCCTGTTGCTGGCACTCAGAACAGGAGCAGTTGCATCCCCATCTACTTAGTCACTAAAGACAGACATTTCACTTCTTTTTTTCTTTTCTTTTCTAAATTGTGAGGAATGTCCAGGCACTTGCTCTTTAGGTGGACATGGAAAGTCACCCTTCCCCAAAGACTGGACTTAACCCTATTAATTATGCAAATATAGTGCAAATGAGTAACCATGATTCTGGGAGAAGAGTGACAGGAAATTGGTGGCGAGACAAAGTCTCACAGTGCTGATTGCCTGTATAGGGGCCAAGGAACTTCCTGGAGGAAAGGCAGTCCAACTCTAGCTCCTTTCTCTTTTTTGGCTCAGTTTTACTCGAACCTCTCTGATGGATTGATGTTGTCCCAGCAGAGGTCCCTTGGAAAGAAAGGACTCCAAGGGGCCCAAAGGGAAACTCACTATGGAGAAAGGAGAATGTTGAACTGGCTAGCATTAGGGCCTTTCTAGGCTCATGAAGGAGGGCTTGTGGCTGAGCCTGGGTTTCTGGCACAGTATCGATCCTTTGACAGTGTATATGAGTTAAGGTAAAGCAGCAGTCCCCTGGGATCCCAAGTGTGAGGCATCACAGTTGTCTTTGCAGGGATCTGGAACACCAGGGTTTGTGGCAGCAATGGACAAAAGTAACAACTCTATGGTTTTACCAGGAGCTGCAGCAGCTAGAAATGTGGACTCATCTTGGACTCATCAGGCTTTCTATTCTGTTTCGACCTGGTATTTGGAACCAGGACAGACCTCAGCATTTTTCAACAATTTGGGGTAGGGCTGTGGAGCAGCTTCAGGAGGGAGATACTGGAATTGTTGCTAATAACATAGACTAATGGGGTCTCAAAACCAATGAACTGGGAAAAGAAGAGATTGGACTATATTTTTACCCCACAGTTATGAAGGGAGTCATATAAGTGTATTCTTCCTCCTTAATGTCTTTCAAATCCTTTATCTCTGTCTTACCACATTAACTGCTCCTTCTGCAACTAGTCTCCTCAGTCCATTTCCACACTGCTGCAAGAATGATCTTTCCAGAATGCAAATATGATATGTCACTCCCCTGATTAACATCCTATAATGGCCCTGTAACCATTTAAGATGAATCCAGATTCCCTGGCTGGCTGTACGCTTTTCAGTCTCATCTCTCGCCATAGCTCCCAGTCCACCCAGCGTGCCCACCACTGTGAACTACTTGCTGTTCCCTAACATACAAACCTTCTTTATGCCACTGAATCTTTGCACATGTTATTCTTCCCTGTTTTTCACTTTCTCATTCTTAAAGGCTTATTCAAATATCTTCCCCTTTATGGTAGAAAAACTCCACTCCATATCATCTGAATCCCAACATTAAAGCCTAATACATGGGTACTGACCTTCTACCTAAAAGGCTGGTTTTGAATGAGTGATTTTCAGTATGAGAAATGAATGACTCAAGAAAAGCCGTATCAGAAGAAGAAAGGTAGAAAATGATAATGGACTCAAATGATTCTCCATTTGCTTCTAACATTTTCTTTTTGAGGACTTCAGTGATTTATGCCATTTGTGTGGACATTTAGATAACTAATCTTACTATTATTATAAATACAGTAATTTGATTAAGTATGTGTGATATTGTGATATAATAAGAAATACATATTTAGTCTTTGTCCCCAGTTCCTGGCACAGAATTCCTAAAACCTTTGTAATATCCTGAGTGAGAGGGGTGATAGGAGCAACTTTTGTTATAATAGTTGGTCTTGGTCTTCGGTTCCTGACACAAGACTTTCTAAGACCCTTGGACTCTCTGGAGTGAAAAGAGTGTCTTGTTTGCTAATGAGATGACTGGTGACTGGAGGCTCCTAGATAATTTCAGGATGAAGGCTGGTCACTGGAAAGACCAGAGCATGATTAGAAGGTTGGAACTTTCAGTCCACCCTAGATGTCCAGGGAGGGGAGAGGGTCTGGAGATTAAGCTCATCACCAATGACCAAAGAATTAATCAATCATGCCTATATAATGAAGCTTTCATAAACACCCCTAAATCATGGGTTTTGGAGAGCTTTTGGGTTGGTATACATGTAGAGGTGCTGGGAGGGTGGGGTGCACAGAGAGGACAATGACATTCTGTGCTCCTTCCACGTACATCTCCCTATGCATCTGTTCCGTTTGGCTGTTCCTCAGTAGTATCCTTTATAGTAAAGCAGTAATAGTAAGTTAACTATTTTCCTGAGTTCTGGGAGTCATTCTAGTTGTTGAACCTGAAGAGTGGATCATGGGAACCTCTGATTTATAATTAGTCAGTCAGAGAGTCCAGGTCAGAGAGGCCTGGGATGTATCTACCTGACATCTTCATATGTCAAATAACTCATCCAAACTAGTTAATGCCACTGAAAATTCTTGGTGAAACAGACCTCTAGAAAATACACTTCCCCAATTTTAAATTGTTCTTAGTAATTCACTAAAATTTAGCCTATGAAAATTTTTCCAGTGGTGGGCTCTACTTAGCAGGCACAAAACTGGAGAAGGACACCACCTCACCCACAGGTGTTAGGCAAAGAGATTGGGTGCTGGGTCAGAGCCACATGAAGCAGGGTTTTAGAGGGCATAGGCCTGTATGTATTTGGACACTCAATGTGGAACAGGGCTGTGCTTCTGCATAGGACTTAGAATCTGGAATAAAAATAGATATTTTTCTCTGCAGTCCTATACCTTTGCTACCCAGTTTTAAAAGTTTGTGGCTTTCTAGAAATCATAGTACAGATGGTCCCTGATTTATTATGGTCAATTTAATGATTTTTCAACTTTATGATGGTGCAAAAGCCATATGCATTCAGCAGAAACCTTAACTCGAATACCTATACCAACATTCTTCTTTTCACTTTAGGTACAGCTTTCAAGAAATTACATGAGATATTCAACACTTGATTATAAAATAGGCTTTGTGTTAGATGACTTTTCCCAACTGTAGGCTAATATAAGTGTTCTGAGCATGTTTAAGGTAGGCTGGACTAAACTATGATGTTCAGTAGGTTAGGTGTATTAAGTAAATGGATTTTTGGCTTACTGTATTTTCAACTTACAATGGGTTTATCAGGATGTAAGCCCATTGTAAGTTGAGGAGCATCTGTATTCTGATCATTGTCATCTCCCTGAAGTTGTGGTTTCTTTTAGGTGTGTATTTTGTGAATGCATACGATTGCATCGACTGGTCTGATTTTGTCAGCAGTGACTAGTCTGTCTACTTCTACTTTGTATTCAGAGAGATTACCTATAAGCAGAGTTGGTAGCTTCCTACCAATATAGTTCCATGGATGCTTGGCAGGCCCCTTAGCCTAATAATATGCCTCTCTTCTGATTCCTAGTGCTTGAAGTTCTTTGGCTTGGTTTGGTTCCAAATTTTGGGAGTTAGAGATTCCTTTAAGAATCTCATTAAGGCTGTGAACCTCTTTCCTGGAAAAATGCTCATATAGATGTACATAAAAATGTGTTCTTGAACTCTAAAATTAAGAACTCCTGTGTTAGGTAGAGGTAAAGTCTTTCCACAGTTAGAGAAGAGGCTTAAAATGTAAATCAGGCAAGGCAAGAGGATACATTCATTAAACAAGCATTGATTAAGGGCTTAATGTTTACAAACACCATGGGTAGGTTTTGGGCATACAGATTAAGACCTGGTCTTCTTTCTTGACAAACTTTTAGCTTGGTAGAGGAGGCCCTCATGTAGACAGAGAGTTACAATGTGAGGTATTCAGGCCTGAAAAAGAGGTGGATACAAAGTGCCAGGGAACCAGATGGGAGGTAGGGACCAACTCTGCAAGTGACTGGCTCATGTTTACCTTAGAATAGAAATGGCTGATTCTAGACGCTTGCCTCAGTCAGTTTAGAAAGGTGAAAGCTGGGTGCGGTGGCTCACGCCTGTAATCCCAAGACTTTGGGAGGCCAAGGCGGGTGGATCACCTGAGGGCAGGAGTTTGAGACCAGCCTGGCCAACATGGTGAAACCCCATTTCTACTAAAAATACAAAATTAGCTGGGTGTGGTGGCACATGCCTGTAATCTTAGCTACTTGGGAGGCTGAAGCAGGAGAATTGCTTGAACCCAGGAGGCAGAGGTTGCACTGAGCCAAGATCACGCTATTGCACTCCCACTCCAGCCTGGGCAACAAGAGCAAAACTCTGTCTCAAAAAAAAAAAAAAAAAAAAAAAAAAAAGGAAAAGAAAAGAAAGAAAGAAAGGTGAAAGGGCATTGGGTGTCAAAAGCAGGAGTGTTATTGAGTAAGAGGCTGCAAAGCAGGGAAGGACACAGATTGGAGAGAAAAGGAGAGATTGAGATTGCCAAGGAGAAACCTCACATTTAAAAGGTTTACTTGGGACCCAGCCATTTGTAGCTACCTGAAACTGGGATGATATTTTGCAAATAGATACAGACAAGTAGGCAGAACTGTCTGCCCCATTCTCCTGCCAACAACAAACAAAACATAAAACATAATTCCAAATAAGGGAAATGCCCATTACTCAGACTTTCCCTTTGAATCTAATAATGTCACCCAAGTCTTGAGGAATTTGCTAATTGTTTGTAGATCCTACAAGGTCATAATCTAGACCTGTTTTAAAAAATCTTTTAAAACTTCAATATATTTATTTGAAAGGGATGAAGAAATGATATACATTCTACCCAGTCTGCAGGATTACTTGACACTTGCCGTCATAGGCTGGGACTCAAGAAGTATTAGAGGCCACCATTTGTTTTTTCAGTTAGTCACAGCCTTTGCTCACAGGGCTTTTGAAATTATTTTAATTCAGTTACACATATAGTTGAAGCTACAAATTTATCTCAGTTCTACATTGTAATACTGGAACAATGCATTGCCAAGGGGCGATAAAGTCAGAATACCAATTTATATTGACAGTTTGGTGAGATATTCTTCTGTGATTATACACCAAAGCCTTAGATGTAGAAATTAATGGGAAAAGTTTTTAATTGAAAATGTATTTTCTCATTTTTTAAATTTATTTTTTGTTAAAGTGAGGCACCTGGGTTTGAATTTTATACTGCTAATACTTTGGGAAGGCCATAGTGGAGGTGGAAATATGGTTTTGAGATGAAGCAGTGTGAAGGTGCCACCTAGTGGTCACATAATCACGTCTGTGTTCTCTTTCTTGCCAGTGGAAATTGGGTACCCGTGGTGGGTTTCCTAGAGAATCCCCTTATAGGTGGTGAATTCGGTTAGCCTATTGCTGTCCTTGATAGGATAAAGTTTTTACTTTTACTTTGTGGTCACTGAAATTATCATCCTCCAAATTTGTTATTTGAAATTAGTTTTGTTAACTGGACAGCTCTTGTTACCCTTTTTGCTAATATTTTTAGCTAATTATGTCAGCAAAAACTTGGGTTAAATGTTAAAATTATAGTGTAATCATAGTTTCCCATTCCATTGGAATGGTCTGACATGTAATGTACAGAGAGCATGCAGAATGTCTGGAGTGTATCGTGGGACACAGCTAAAGCCTGGGTGATGGCCAGCTGCTGTGAGGTTTCATTAAAGGCCTTTCTTGTTGTTTTGGGATTAATCTCTCTTTAGTAGAATGCTGTAGAAGAAAAAAGATCAATAGAAAAACTCATCTTTTGTATAAAAATTTTTTTTTCAGATGAGATGTGTTCAGTAAGCACATACCTCATTAGAGAGATGGCAATGGATGGCTGACTACAGTCATTTCTTTTCTTTACCCTTAAACTACATGTAACCCAGAATTGAAACATATACTTGTATTGAGGTTTTCCAAAACAATTAGTGATAGAGATCTTAAGAAGGACCAGAATTCCTGGAGGGTGTTGTATGTTTTGTTTTCTCAGTGCAAGACATCTTTGAGGTTTCCTTTGCCATCAAAGGCTTTCTATGTGTGTTTGTTGGGGATGGCGGGGGGATTTATAGGAAAGGACTTTCACTGAGATATAAAATAATTTTCCCCAGGAGGATTTTTACTTTGCTAGTCTTGTTTTGGTATCTATTTTGGGCAATATTTACATTAAAAACTTAACATCTGGTAAGTACTAACATTTTATCTTTATCACACATGAACAATTTTTTTTTGTCATGGAAATCCTCATGGTGGAATTAACTAAAACATTATAGAAAGTTCAGGAGGGCTCTTCAGAACAACACAAACTTTAACTAAAAACTTTCCCTAAAGATGCTCTTGGAATTTGCAAATGCAGCCCAGATAGCACACCAGTCATTTAGATTTTAAAGTATGTGCTGCATACCCAACCTTGTCCTAGGTGGACATTGCTGAGAAAAATACACAAAAATAGTGTGATTTGTAGGAGTCTGGGTTCTCAAGGTCCTCAGAAGAGGCAGTACTGAGGCAAGTACGGAGCCAGATTGCCTGTGTTTGAGTCCCTGCTCTGCCCTGGACTAGCTGTGTGACCTTGGAGAAGTTACTTGACCCTCTATGCCCCAGTTTCTTCATCTGGGAGAGGGGATACTAATAACTTGCTTTGCAGGGTTGAGTGGAAAGCACTTAGAACAGTGTCAGGATATATGGCAGGAACTCCATCAATACAAGTCAGCTATTTCCATCCTCACCACATGGTAAAGCCCAGGCACCACACACAGGAGGACAGTTTAACACTGTATTTGATTAAGAAATGTTAAGGCCACTTACTAGAGGAGTTCATAAAAGAGAAAGCAGTGTAGGCTGGGGTATTTAGGAAAAGACATTCTATTTTAGGATTTGACATTCTAAAATAAAATTTATTTTTAAAGCAGCTTTCTCTATTTGGTTTTCAATTAAGGAGATCAATTCATTAGGATTCTTGGTGCTATTTCCTTCTATAGGGTTAAGGAAAAAGAGTAAGATTTCCCTTGGTGCGTCATTCACTTTTTATTCATTGAGCAGCTATTTATGGACTATGTGCTCTATGCCAAGCATTGAGTTTGAGTGAGCGAATGAGACAGGCAGGAATCACAGCTGTAGTGTCTGTTCTCCAGCCTTTTAATAATGTTCCGCATGTGCCTCAGTGACCTTTCCAGATTCCTTATATTTGGTTTATTTTAAATTTTATTTTTAAAAATTGTTTATGATGAAAAATTTCAGACACACATGTGTCTGTTCCTTTGCCAATACCACACTGTCTTTATTGCTGTTGCTTTATATTAAATTTTAAAATCAGCTTATATGATTTTTCCAATCTTATTTTTCCTTTATCAAAATTGTTTTGGTTATTCCAGTTCTTCTGTCTTTTCATATAAATTTTAGAATCAGCTTGTCTGTACCTACAGAAAATCATGCTGGGATTTTTATTGGGATTGCATAAATTTATAGATAAGTTTGGTGAGAACAGATGGCTTTATTATGCCGAATTGTCCAATTCATCAACATGGTATGCCTCTGTATTTATTTAGTCTTCTTTCATTTCTTTCAGCAGCATTTTGTCATCTTCAGCATGTAGATCCTGTATGTGCTTTTTGAGACCTGTACTTAAGTATAAATTGTAACACTGTAAGTGGTATTTTTTCTTGGTTTCTAATATGTGTGTTTTTTCTTTTGGTTTCTATGTATACAAGAAGTGTATATATAGAAAAATGGTTAATTTTTGTGTTGAACTTTATCCTGTGAACTTGCTAAAATGACTTATTAGTTCTAGAAATTATTTTCCCCTTGATTCCTTGGGATTTTCTCCATAGCCAGTCATGTTGTCTGTGAATAGGAACAACTTAATTTATTTCAAATCTGCATGCCTTTTATTTCTTTTCCTTGAGTTTTTTTCTTGCATTGGCTAGAACTTCTAGTACAATGTCAAGTAGGTGTGGTGGGAGTGGACATTTTTGCCTTGTTTCTGGTCTTAGGGGGAAAGCATTCAATCTTTCACCATTAAGTATTATGTTAGACGTAGGTGTTATCAGAATGAAGAAGGTCCCTTCTATTCCTAATTTGCTGAGAGTTTTTTTTTTTAAATCATGAATGTATGTTGAATTTTGTCAAATGCTTTTCTGCATTGATTGATGATGACTGTTTTTCCTTTTAATCTGATAATCTGGTGGATTACATCGGTTGTTTTTTGAGTACTCATCCAGTCTTGCATTCCCATGACAAAGCCCACTTGGTCATGGTTTGTATCAAGTTTTGAAGTTCCAGCTGGAAATCTCTAATAAGGGACCAGCCAGCAGAGAACAAGTAGGCTTGTGTTTGGACCAGTGTTTTGGAAACAGTTGGCTCACTGGGCTAGTGACCACCCTGTTAACTTCTGCTGACCTGTTTTCCAAGAACCCACCTGGTACCAACATGCCTTTACTGCCAGTGTATTTTGTTTCCACCCTTCTTTTGACTTATATTTATTGTTATTCTCTTTCCCTTTCTGTACTGGACCAGGAACTTCCATCAACTGGAATCATCTCTGGGCATCTTCGTCTTCCATTTGTGTTTTAATTTATAGCAAGAGAGTTTGGGAATAATCGTATTTTAAGAAACCAACATTTATTTAAATATAAACACATGTGATTAGAGTATTAAAATTTAAATGCTATTAAAAGTTTTTGCAATTTTTGTCATTTCATGAGGCAAGAAAAGAAAATATACGGGTGTCTTGTTATATGTAGTCTTCTAAGATCTGATTTTAAATTGCAATTTATTTTGGAAGGTAGTGGAAACAAACCAGAAAGTAATGTAGATGTTTGCTTGTGGTTAACATAATTTGCCTGCCTCCTCAGAGGCTAAATTCCAAGGAATTTTGTTTTCTGTATTCTTAAGTCTAGAGACACAATGGTCCAGAGATCCCTGTGAAAGGGAGCCCTCATCCGGGGAGCCCCAGCTTGCACAGTCACCCCCTCACCCCTTCCTGGGGAGCAGTGAGAATGCCGTGGGCTGTGCCTGCACTGAGAATGCTGCTTTTCTGTGAAAACACAGTCAAGTGCACATGATAGGTTTTAGTTCCCAAGCAGTGTTAAAAGCAAATGTGTGGGGTTTTATATTTCCAGCTGCTTTTTTTTTTCCAAAGTAAAATATGTAGGTTTTGGTTTGCAGCAGGCCACATTTCTTCTAATAAAAACAGTTAGAACAAAATGTGTTTTATAAGCATATAAAAATGTCAGACCATAATGATTTTAGTGTTGCATATTTAAAAATGGTCAGTAATATTTAAGACATAAGTATCTGCAAAGAAAGTGAATTATGGAAAGTAAATTACAGTATATCATTTGTATAAAGGAGAAGGTGGTTGGAAACTTGTCCAGGAACTATATTGAGACCATTTTATTTGCATTTCTATATAATATGCATGCCTTTCAGCTTTCAGTTAAATTTTGGCCCCCAAATTATTAAACTTTTATACTTGCAACTGGGCCCCAACATTTAAAAAAAATCCTGTTTGTGTCTGGACACACAATTCATTTTGTGAAAAAGCACCTTCATTCTGTGGACTCATTAGAGAAAGCATCTCAGTAGGTCCTGGTGCCAAAATCAGTTGTGCTTCCTTCTGAACCATTCACTTATTATTATCTGATGGACACTCTGAGCTCCTTTTTGCCTTGTCTGCTAGGAAGCTTAGAAAAAAAATTCAGGGTATCTGTAACAAGGCTACAGAACCTGAGCCCATGTGTTTTGCACACTGACTGTACATCTGGAATCATTTTCATCTTATTTCTTTCACCTTTACTTTCCTTTTTGCTTTCAATTTTTTTCACTTAACTCTCCTTCTGTGTTATACTGTAGTTGTTGTTATAAGCTGCTTTAAATCCATATTGGAATAATATAGTTGGAAATAGATTTTTAAAAATTGGTATGTTTCTTTTATTATTTTATCTCTATAATTACATTTCTCTAGCACTTTGACACTTTTAATCATAACTTACAATTGCATTCTCATAAAAAATAAAATTCCAAGCAGGAAAATTTCTGATACCCATTATGACATGTTTTAAAAAATCTTTATTGTCTCTTTAGATGATAAAAGTAATACTGGATGATTATAAAAATTTCAAACCTTATAAAAACATATAATGTAGAAAATAAAGGTCCTCTATAATCTCCTCCTGCTGAAAAAAAACAAAAAACAAAAAACCAAAGCCAAAAAACTATAAACCTTTTGGTGTATAACTTTATGGCATGACTTTAAGTTGCATTGTATTGGAGTGGCAGTGGGAATGATTTCTTTTTCCCCTGTGAATCTTGGCTGTATAACTCTTTCTTCATTTCTGTGCTATGATGCAATTTTTTTTTTCTTCTTCACAGTCCTGAAGATATGCCAGTTAAATCTGGGGGACATAAAACTCAACGTTCTTGGAATGCTTTGTAGAAGGGGGTCGTGGCTGGTCTCCATCCCAGGCAAATGGAATTTATTGTGTATGTGGCTGTGGCTCACAGCCTGACCATGGCATCAGCATCAGATAGGCCTATGTTCAGGCCCTAGTAGCTGAATGACTCTGAGAAAGTTATCTTTTCTCCATAAGGCCTGGCTTTCTGAGGATAGGAATAATTGCTTGAAACTGTTACTGTCTTGAGCAAATGAGAGAGTTTATATAAAGCTCTTAGCACAGTGTCTGGTATGTAGTAAATGCCAAATAAATGTTAGCTATTGTATTATTTTGACTAATAATTGTTATTTATAGAGAAAACTCAAGTAATCATGGTACAAACAAGATAGATATTTATTTCCCTACTATCTACATGGCTAGAATGAAGGTCCAGGCCTGACTGTGGTTCTACAGTTACCAAGGACCCAGGCTCCTTGTACCTTGATGCTCATGTATCTACTATTTCATGGCCTAAGATGGCTCTGACCATTTCAATCAGATTCTAACTAGGGCAAAGATCATGACTGAGAAGTTGTGCGTAATATGTATACTCACATCCCATTGGCCAAATCTTAGTCATGTGACCATACACAGCAGCAAGGAAGGCTGGGAAATGAGTCTTGAGTTAAGTGACTGTATGGGCAACTAGAAATTATGATACCATGTCAAAAGAAAACAGACATTGGGAGGCAACTCACAGTCCCTGCCACCCCATCTATAGCATTGTCTGTCAGATGCTCTGAATAAATACACTCTAAGAACTGGTTCCTGCTCTATTATCTATGCATTTATCAGATACTTTTGTAAACTTGTTTATATTCTCATCTTTTGTTGGTTTTTGAGATAGTGATTGCTAGATGTTTATTAATAGAATTTTTTTTCTTACATTATTATTATTTTTTTTGAGACAGAGTCTTGCTATGTTTTAAGATCTCCCCATGGTCTAGAATTTCAGGCCTATTCTTTGCATTTCCCCAGTTCTATCACTGGCATGTTTTAAGAGGTGCACTTTCTTCACTGAAATTAGTTAAGTACTGTGGGAGCTTGCTCAAGAGTTCACTACTTCAGATTAATGTTGTATAGACTTCAGTTACGTGGTTATAAACGTTCAAATGAATGCTAAGTTTCAGGCCTGAAAAAGCTGAAGGTTTATAATCTATAAATAATATATTTGGTACCTTGTGGCTATTTCAAATAGTAATGTTAAAATTTGCATTTGTGACAAGTGGAAAATTATGTAGCTAGGGAGATGCCTGTGATGACGTTGTTTGTGATAATGTTGTTTTCCCCCCTTAATCAATTAATACTTTTTTTGCATTGAATAATCATTAAAATGCTTTAGCATAAATATTCCTGTCAGTAACTGCAATATTCTTGCATATAGTAGTAAATTCTCCTGTTTGATCAGGTTATCTTTACATGAGGATTTTTGTTTTTTGTTTTATTTTGTTTTCAGAGACAGGGTTTCATTCTGCTGCCCAGGCCAGAGTGCAGTGGCCTGATCATAGCTCACTGTAACCTCAAGCTCCTTGGCTCAAATGATCTTCCCACCTCAGCCTCCCAAAATGCTGGGATGACAGGCGCGAGCCACCATACCTGGCCCAGAACTCTTATTTTTAAGTTAGATTCCAAGGTTGTCTCGGCTGAATAGTAGCTGAGCCTATGACCAGAATTTGGGTATTCTCTTCCCCTGTCAGTTTGTCGGCGCAACAGGTCAGACAAATGCACAAGGCCTTACAATATTTGTCTTGATGTCTTTGGCTTGTAAAGCTAGATTTTAAGATATTCAGGGTTCCTTATTCCTTAGCCGTTAGCGTTTTTGGACTTCTTGGCTACTGTAATAATTATTCTGAACCATTCTCCATCTTTCTTAAAAGTTTAATATAGGTTATCTGAGAATAGAACTTCCTAAGAATTCATAAAAGGCAAATTTAGCTTGTTTTAATTAACAAAGAGAAAAACTGATTCAAAGACACTAAACAGCTTAGTAAACTCTGCTGAAGAATGAACCTGTGTATATGGATAGCTGAACACCCAGACAAGATCCATTCTTTTCAATTCTGTTTTGAGACCTTTGTAGTAGGGACTTTCCCTGGATTAAAGAAAAAAGATAACAACAATAACAAAACAATACCCAAAGAATTAAAAAACCTAAAAACCTTTTGCTGGCCTATCAGTGAATCAATTCTCCACTGTTTAATTTTAGTAGCTTTTGTGGTTTGGTTTGTATGGACTATACAGGGAAGCAGACTGAGGCTATGTGATTTCAGATTGTTTTCCAATAGGGATGGAATGTTTTCATCAGATGAGCCCAGAATTCTGATACAGTTATTGACTTTAGGGAGTGATAACGTAAAACAGCATTAAAAAAGGAAAATACCATACCCTTGTTAAGAATTAGTAGTAGGATTTTATTTTTAGAAAGTAAAATTTGGAAACAACTGTATTTGTTTTCTAGTGTATATTATTTTAAAATATTTTAGAATATTTTTGTAAGGTATGTTTCCCGATTACATTACTCTAAATACGAATGTTTTTATATTTCCAATAAAATATTCACTAATATTTACCTTTCCAATGAGATATTTTACTTGCATGACTATTTTTAAAGTATGTGCTCATTTTGGTGGAGTTGCTCTTGTGGTGGTTAAACCATATTTGTGTATTTTCCTTTTCCTTATGAAGGTCTCATTTCTGAATTATAAGACTAAATATCAAATGCTTTTTTGTGGTTGTCGGATAGTTTCTAGATAGAGCACATACGCAAATGGAGTATGTTTATTAATTAAAATTATTTATATTTCATTTTTAATAAAATTTTAGTTACTTTTGTAAATTTTAAAGTATATCAGCTAAGTTCTATTTATTAGCAAAATATGTTAACAATTTGGTGTATTTTCACACTTTTTTTCCTACAGATATAAATATACTCATGCATATGTATATAATACATTAGAATCTAGGTGTATATATGTATTAAATATACTGGACATATTATGTTACATTATGAAAATTTTCCTTGTCAATAATTATACTTCGTAAACAGACTTTTTTTTTTTTTTGAGACGAATTCTCGCTCTGTCACTAGGCTGTAGTGCAGTGGTGCGATCTTGGCTCACGGCAACCTCCAACTCCCTGGTTCAAGTGATTCTCCTGCCTCAGCCTCCCGAGTAACTGGGACTACAGGCATACACCACCACACCCAGCCAATTTTTGTATTTTTAGTAGCGACGGGGTTTCACCATGTTGGCCAGGATGGTCTCCATCTCTTGACCTCGTGATCTGCCTGCCTCGGCCTCCCAAAGTGCTGGGCCACCACGCCCGGTCGTAAACACACTTTTAAATAACTGCCTAGTACTACGTTCCTTGTGTGATTTATGACATTTTATCATTTCTCTGTGATTGAACATTTAGATTTTGTGCTATTAGATATAATACTCTAACAAACATCCTGTATATGTGTCTTTGTGTCTCTGGTTATTTCCTTCAGATAAATTCCTAGGGGTAGAAATACTGGTTTAAAGGGGTGTGAAAATAATTTTAAAAGTGCTTGGTATATAATACCAAGTTCATTCATTCAGTCAAAAAATATTTTCTAAGCACCAGAATTGAATCACACCCTTGGGATACAACAAGGAATAAGACAGTCCCTGTTCTTAACTCACAGCCCAGTTGGGAGGACAGAAACATATATGGGGAAGCTCAAGCCTGTTCTCTCCAGAAAGCTCATATGAATTCATATGTCACCAACATTGTCAATACATGCAAGTGGTTTTGGAATGTGTATGTTTGTTCTTTTGAAATCTACTGATTTCATCATGGAATACTTTTCTGAAAAGAAAAATATTTTTATTTTGGTTATTGCATTTAATGAATCACATACGTAATGGTTTTTGACATTATTGATCCAAAAAACCTAATTCATTTCGATATCCTTATTTCTGTAACAAGGAATTTGTCTACCTTTGTACCATATTCTCATTTCCATAGTTTTATGGGGGCTTCCTTAACTGCCCTCTCCTAGTGTCTTGATACTTTCTGCCACTCACAAATAGAACACTACTCTGACACTTGCAACAGTTAATTAAGAACTCAACTCATATTGTTTAAAACTATCTTACCACTATTTTGTTCTTTATCAAAGGCAGAAAAGACACTAATTTTATGCGTATTCTTTATCAGTGTGGATAAGTCATGTAAGAATGGAATCTAAATACCTATAGTAAGTGAAAACTCATGGTAATCCTGTTACATTTAATTTTACAGATTCTCCAGCATCTGCTATGTACTTCCTTAATATTTAGGACAGGAAGAGCAGATTTTCCAGTTTTCAGGACAATAGGCTGAGTGGCTACATCTCTATATATGTATAACTACTATACTAAATATCTGGCTATTAAAGACAGTTGTTTATTATCAGAATATGCTAATGACATTTAGGAGGGGAAAAAACTCATTTTTAGTATATTCTGAGAGTTGGGAAGGCAAATGTGCCTTTCACGGAGCACTGAGCTGCTCCGTGAACACACAGTCTTCAGGAATATATCCAGAGCACACAGTCTTCAGGAATAATTATTCTATTCACTGCTCAATAGGTTTCTCACATGTGAAGGCTGCCAGGCTCCTCTGGCTTCTAATTTAGGAGCTAAAGAGATTTCCTTACTGGGCCCAAAAATTATCTTTAAGCAAATGTATGACCTTATTCACTCAAAAATGGTCACAGATGGACACTGTATTGTGGCAAGATGAATGATGTGACTGAGCTGTTTTCCAGAGTGTGCTTTTTCAGGATAATACACCTAGTATTTTTCTGGTCCACTAGTTTCTCAAGACTCTTTATGACTGAGTGTATGAGGTATGATATTCATTTTTTTTTTTTTTTTTGAGATGGAGTCTCACTCTGTCACCCAGGCTGAAGTGCAGTGGCGCGATTTTGGCTCACTGCAACCTCCGCCTTCCGGGTTCACGCCATTCTTCTGCCTCAGCCTTTCAAGTAGCTGGAACTACAGGCACACACTGCCACGCACGGCTATTTTTTTTTTTTTTTGTATTTTTAGTAGAGACAGGGTTTCACCGTGTAGCCCAGGCTGGTCTCGAACTCCTGAGCTCAGGCAATCCACCTGCCTCAGCCTTCCAAAGCGCTAGGATATTCATTCTTAAGTGAGCAGGCAAACTATTCCTAATAAATAATGAGAGAGGGTGTAATATCTACTGCTGTACAGTTGTGGTTTTATCTATTTGCATCTCACTTCATCTTGATGAAATGCAGAACTTTATCACATGAAATAAGTGAAGGAGACTGCATATGACACCATGGAAATTCTGGAGGTTTGTACTTTTAAGATCAGTTTTTATTGAGGTAGGGATTTCAGTTTGATTGTTACGTTGATCCCTGGTTTAATATATCCTTACATTTTATATTTAAGTTTATATTTGATAAAAGAGTATCTTGGTATTGGTCATCTTTCAGGAGTTAATTTTTCAGTCTGTATTATGCTGCCAAGATCTATCTATATTTTTGTATGCAGTGGTGCACCCTTTTTTAGGACTGTATAACATTCCATAGTGAGAATGTACCTAAATTTATTTCTGCATTTTCTCAAATAGACATTTGGGTTATTTTCAGATTTTCGTTATGAATGCTACTGTGATAAACATTCTTGTACATGTTATCTGCTCTACATGTACAAAATTTCCTCTAGTTTTCACAGAGGAATGGCATTTCACAGAGGAATGGCACAGAGGAATGTATATATACAGATATAGAGTATCTGAATGTTATAAGATAATGCAATAATGCCTTCCAAAGTAGTTGTACCAGTTTACATTCCTACCAGCAATATTTAAGAAATCTGGTTCATCCATATTCTCTTGAAACACTGGCTACTATCCGACTTAAAAATTTTTGCCAATTATGTGAGTTTATAATTGATGTGCATTTCCCTGATCACTAATGAGGTCAAATATTTATTCAAATACTTATGTCTAATATATTCCACCCCCCCTTTAAAAAAAAAGCCTATTCATGTCTTTTGCCCAGTTTTTTTTGAATTGTCTGAGTTTTTCTTGTTATTATAGAAGTTCTTTATATATTCTTGATTCTAATCTTTTGGTGGTTATACAGATGGGAGCTATCCTCTCCCAGTTTGTAGCTTTTTTCCACTTTTTATAAGGTGACTTTTGATGGTCGTATGTCCTTGTTTTTAAAAGAGTCAAATTTACTAATACTGTATCTTGTTTTATAATGGGTACTTTTGTGTCTTTAAAAAATACTTTTTTATCAGATTCAGAAAGAAGTCCTTAAAACATATTTTCCACTAAACATTTTAAAGATATGCTTCTGATATTTTAAGTCCTTAATCCATCTGGAGTTAATTTTTGTGTAATGTAAAATGGAGGTTCAGTTTTCATTTTTATTCACATAAACTCACCATCTCTGTCATATATTAAAGTTATGCATATGTGTGGGATTTTTTTTTTTCTGGGCCCTCTTCTACTCCATAGGTCAATATGTCTCTCCCTGTCCAGAGTTAGATTGTCTTAGCCTTGTAAGAAATGCTGATATCTGATAGGGTGCAGGTCCCCTCCTTGCTTTTCGTTTTCAAAAGTATCTTGGCTGTTTTACCATGTGAATTTTAAAATCACCTTCTCAAGTTCCATGAACGACCCATGTACGATTTTGACTAGAATTGTACTTAATTTTGGCCGGATGCAGTGGCTCACGCCTGTAATCCTAGCACTTTGGGAGGCCGAGGCGGGCGGATCACAAGGTCAGGAGATCAAGACCATCCTGGCTAACACGGTGAAACCCTGTCTCTACTAAAACTACAAAAAATTAGCTGGGTGTGGTGGTGGGTGCCTGTAGTCCCAGCTACTTGGTAGGCTGAGGCAGGAGAATGGCATGAACCCGGGAGGCGGAGCTTGCAGTGAGCCGAGATCGCGCCACTGCACTCCAGCCTGGGCGACAGAGCGAGACTCTGTCTCAGAAAAAAAAAAAAAAATTAAATCGGGTCGGGTTAAGGATGTTCCCTTCTCTATACTTAATTTACTAAAGTTTATATCAGGGATTTATATAAAATTTTATTAAATGCTTTTATGAATCTATTTATATGACATCCTTTTTCTCCTTTAAACTTTTAATGTGTTAAAATTAAAACTAAAACTAAAAAAATGCTTTTAAGATATATACAAAATATATGATATATATATAGAAAAATAAGCCAATTATTATTATTCATGATAGCAGTTAATGCAGGTGGGTTGAAGAGAAACACTTGATAGGTGTAAATTTTTAATGTTCTAGTTCTTGTGTCAGGTGGTGGGTTCATGAGGGTGTATCGTATTATCTAAAACATACAAATACATGCATAAAATATAAATGATTAAATATAAAGGCAGGCCATGCATGGACCATTAAGGAGAGATAAATGTATGTGTTACGAGCCAGGCTCAATGGCTCATCTTCGTAATCCCAGTGCTTTGGGAGGCTGTGGCAGGAGGATTGCTTGAGGACGGGAGTCTGAGACAAGGCTAGGCAAACAAAGCGAGACCTCGTCTCTACCAGAAATAAAAAAAAATAACCAGGTGTGGTGGCGTGTGCCTGTGGTCCCAGCTACTTGGGAGGCTGAGGCAGGAGGATTCTTTGAGCCCAGGAGTTTGAGGCTGCAGTGAGCTATGATTGGGTCACTGTATTCTAGCCTGGATGACCAAGTGAGACCCTGGCTCTTAAACAAAAAGCATATGTGTTACGAACTAAGGATTATGATTAATCTAACTTTGTAGTTAAAAAAGGAAATTTGATATTTGCTTTTATGAGACTGTGTTGCGTTTACTCCTAGGTTAGTAAAAAGAGAATTTTAAAAAATGTCCGTATTTGTTCTTCATTGTTATTCTTAAAGTTTCTCTTTTTCAGAAACCTTTTGGGCAGTTTTTGGTTGTGAGACTTGATGTCATGACTGACATATGCGTTAGAGTCCATACGTTCTAGGACTGACAAGTTCCGTGATTATCCTGTGGTCTCAGTTGTTTGATCTTAAAATTACCAGATGATTAATGGCCCTCATTTTAGATTGACACTTTGTGCGGAATGTTCTGTAGAAGGCCTGACCATTTCTTCTGGTTTTTTAGGCCACATAGTTCTGTATTGAGCATGCCATGAGTTTCCATCCTACCCCATCTCATCCATCTGATTCCATCATGTAGTGGTTTTGTATGAGGCTTCTAGCTTGTTGGGAGGACACTTGGAACAGATTACAGTGATTATGAACATTTGGAATGAAACAGACTTAGATTCTAATTTTGGCTCTTCTCCTTACCAGCTATGTGGTCTTCAGAAATTTTAATAACTACCGTGAGTTATCTGAAAAATCTGTGTGATATTACCTCTGAGGTTGTTGTGTTAAAGTGTATCTTTATTACTATTATTATTATATCGCCATCAAATATAATTAATTTTTGCATTTCCAAGTATACTGGATGCACTTTCAAGCCACTGATCTGATTTTCCCTTGAGTGTACTCAAGGTGCCAATTGCTTTAATTCCTAAGTGTTATAAAGAACCGCAGTGCCAAAATATTCTTACCTCTTAGTTCTCAACCACTGACTCTTCTATCTTGTCTGTACTATTCCTGGAGAGAAGGGAGAGACAGTCAATAGTGTTGCTCACAGCCAAGCCCTTTCTAAGCATAGCTGACAGATGTAGGTGTTTGGGCTGATCACAATGTTGAGGACGACAGTAATCACAGCAATCGCCTCTTCATGGAGCACTGCTAAGGCAGCCGCTGTGCTGAATGCCCTACCCTCAGCATCTTGCTGGATTCTCACCGAATTCCCTAAAGCAGATCTTCATCTTGACGCCTTCATCTTGACACAGGGAAGCTGAGCTTGGACAGATTCAGCAACTAGCCCAGTGTCATACAATTAGTAATTGGCAAAATCAGGAGGTAGTCGCTAGTCTCCTTGACTCCAAAACCCACAGTCATAACCGCTGCTTATGCAAATGCTATTCCCCCAGGTCTTTATCTCTTCCTATATTTTCTGGATGCAGGAAAGTTTGTGGAACCTGTATCTGGTGAGACCTGGTGGGTAGGTGACTCTAGTTGGATTCTCTGTGCTCTTTGGGAAGGCTAGCTCCCTGCTGAGGCAACAGGTTCTGGAAACTTTGGGGGCTATTTGGTTATTTTGCACTGAAAATTAAATCTAAAATGATTTAATGATGAGAATGGTAACTTTGAGAGATTTTTGCATTATTCACTTTGGAGCAGGAATATTTAGATACGTGGGCTTCATGACTGTATTTTGGGTTTTTAAGTCAGAAAACTAGGAAGGTTTATAAAAACCTTTGGAAAATATCTGTTGCATGCTAAACTAAAGTGAGAGCTTAATAAAAATATGCATTAATGCAGGACTCCACTGCCCTCAGACTAAGCACAAGAGATCTCTGTTGAACCTTGGGAAAAATAAACTTACTCCCTTGGCATTTATGAGGGTGGCACTAAAATTTGGTGGTTGCGCCCAGGAGTGGGGTAGTAGCATAGAATGAAAACAGTCTGCAGGAGCCTTCAGGTTTTTTAAAATATAACCAAATTAAACATTAACATAGTCTTCATATAATTAGTCTCTGATTCCCTCATTCCACACAGTTGGTTTTCTTTTTAAAAAAAATCAACATAAAAAGATAGTTTACTTTTCTCCTTTTATCAAGTATTTAATTCATCATAATGAACTAAAGGATAAAATAATAAAATTTTCTGTTTAAAATTGTTTGGGAGTGATGGAAAACGTGAAAAAAAATTATTTTCTTCTCTGGAACACCAAAAAATTGACAAATAAATTTTAGGAAGAATTGTTAAATTTTGCCTTTTGCCCTTCTGCTAGTTCCCTACCTTAATCCAGTTAATATAAAATGCTCAAAAAGCGATTATCATTCATCTTTCAACTTGATGAACAAGTATTTTCTTTGCAAATGAAGTATGTCCTGTAAATGATTACACATTAATAAAAACAAGAATCAACCTGATTTGTTTTAACACCTCTATTTCTCTGCAGGAGGTAGCATTTTTCTGTCAGTTTGTCAAGTGTTATTTTTTCAGCCTCCCTCTGGCCTGAGTGGTATATATGTGGTTTGGTTTTGAATTTAGTGAAGAATATGACTGAATTCTAAAATGAAAAATAGTATCATACTTCTCAGATTTTGCTTATAAAAATGTTGCGTAAGTGCTTACGACACCTTTAGAAGTTTGTGACTCTCCAGAATTTCTGTGGCATTCCTAAACACTCAGTATTTACAATGAATGTTAAGTGATTGGTAACATTTGAATGACATGCAGTATAACATGGCAGCCCTATTGGGCTTTCCATTTGGCAGTCTTAGTAAGACAGCAGTTGACCAAAACCTGGCAGCTGTTTCTGCCTATGAAATAAGTAGGGTTCAACATTCCAGGCTGACCTTTCTTCAGTATTCTTTTGGACACCATTAAGAAAATAATATTGAGGCTGCAGTGAGCTATGATCGCACCACTGCACTCCAGCCTGGGCTACAGAGCGAGACTCTGTCTCTAAAAAAAGAAAAAGAAAAAGACAAAAGAGAGAAAATAATCATGAATCTTTTGTTTGCATCTAATATATGGTTCTTTTCATTTATTTTTAATATGTAGGAGTATATTTTTTGCCATTTCTTAAGTGTAGGGATCTTTTGGCAGAATTTGTTTCCTGCATTCCTGTTTCTGTTCACCAAGCAAGATAACCACTATCGGAATAGCTCTGCCTACCCAGACATTGACTGGCACATAGTTGGTGCTCACTAAATAATATTTGAATGAATACATTCTGGACGTTGAATGAAAGGACCTTTTGGGCTCTATGCATATCTGATTCAGTGGTCATATTATTTAGGGGTTTAGAATGACCATTTCACTTGTTATCACCACTATCCATGTAATGTTTTAAAACTTATCCTCACTTGGATAGCTTAAAATTACAGTCTTTAAACATTACCTCCAGATTTAGATAAAAGTAAAATTGTAGTGTTGGCTATAAGCAAGCAGAGAAATATATTAATTTCCAGTTTCCGGGAGGGTTGGAAGAAATACTTTTCCAGAACGAGCATGATTCCACTCTGATATGAGAACTAAATTAAGTGACACTAGTTGTATAAAGCTTTGGCAGTGGGCCTAATATCCCTTGTTGGTTTTATATGCATGCTGCTGGCTTTGCTGGCAAAAATGCTGGTTGTTAATTTATTGATGCCAAGCACTTATAGAACCAGCTTTGTGTAACACATTAAAAACTAGACTGAAATGTATTTGTTGTCACTGAAATGACACTCTAATTATATTAGATGTCCCAATTTAGTTTTATCCTTTAATTTTTAGCCTCATAACTTTCTTCCAAAGTTATCTGGGATAAAAACTTGAATGTTCAAACTTGGCATATAATTAAATTGAGATTAAAAAAGGCTATCAACTAGGACTTGATTTGTTTAAAATATGAAATAAAGATATCTTTCTGTTAATTAATAGAACAACTTCAAATCAAGTTACTCAACAGGCCTGTTCTTGGCACTTCAAATATGTAATTAAGTTTTATGATGACCTAGTTAATATCTCCAAAGTAAGAAAGCACAGTGTCATGGTTTGGGTTCTTTAGAAGCACTGCCAAGATAGAATTTGGGGTACAGGATGTTTATTAGGAATCATTACTTGTAAAAGGAAGGGGGAGGAAGCAGTTTTGGGTAGAGAGAGGAGCTGAACTGCCATGCAGGCCTGGCAAGCCTTGTGAATGCAGCAAGGGTTTCTAGTCAGTGGCGGCCTGTGTAGGCTGAAGTGGACAGCCCTTCTGTCACCCTTGTTCAGGGACTGAATATGGGCCACCTTGGAAAGTGGGAGAGCTCAGGCAAGCAGCACTCTGCAGCTGAGGCTGGCCCTAAGGTTGCTGCCTCCTGAAGGCTGTCTGCTGACCACCCACTCCACAGCTGGGCACAAAGGCCTTTCTTGAAGGGCATGGAGTGGCACCTCTCTGTGTCTACTGCTTAGAACTCTCATTACTAACAATAATACTCATAATTCATATACTTATATCATTATCTTCATCTGACCAACGAAAAAATAGAAGCAGAATACTTTGCTTAAGATCTTATGGTTAATTCTGGGCCACACTAGAAAGAATAACCTGTGTCTTATTCCTAGCTTTCAGCAAACTAACATCATGCTGCAGTGGACGTATTTATTATTTTTAAATGGGTGGCCAGTCAATATATGTGAAGAAAAAGCGAGGCGAAGGAATTGTAGCTACTTGAGAACTAGTGTGGTAAGCAAGCAAGGAAAGGCTGGGTTTAGATTCCAACTGACCTGATCTCCCAGTTCATGTTCTCTCTGGCTCTGTGACCAGACAAGTGACACGGTCACTCTGACCTCTAGGGAGCTGATCTGGCAATAAAAGGAATGAAGTTGGCATGTCATTTAAATAGTGTAGATGAAACATAGTATGGCACCTGGTGTTCATAGCAGGAAACACAATATAGGCTAATTTTCTTAAATACCCAAAAGAAGTCAAGCTGCAAAATGCTGGTTAGAGACATGAAAATTTCAACTTGAAGACAGAGAGAATTTTTCTCCCTAGTATTTTTCCTTTGTATCCTCTTATTCCTTTAGTGTCGACATATTAAGATATGAGTTGACAGATTTTTGTTCTGGAGAAATTGCTTCTGCAAGGTGGGTCCACTCCAGACAGACCTGGGGAGGGGACTTCACAAAAAAGGCGAGGAAGAAGGAAGAAGCATGGAATGAAGAAGATTAACTGAATCAACAAATATTCATGGAATGCTTATTACGGGCCAGGTTTTTTTTTTTTTTTTGGAAATTTAATGATATAGTTCATTAGAAGATCATCAAAAGTACTGTATCTGAGATCATTAAAAACGGCCCACTTCTCTCTTTTCCATTGCCACCCTCTTGGTTTAGGCTACCATTATTATCCTAAGTTTACTGCAATAGGCCAGCCACTGTTTTCCTCCTGTCTGCTGTAGGTTTATTTTCAACCCCGTTCTTCACTCTACAGACATTCTGGTCATGTTATTCTCTGCTTCTCAGGACTTTAATAAAGCCTGAAAGACTAGACATGAACTGTGGCCTAGCACCCACCAGCCTCAACTTTCACTAGTTACATTACTAGACACCAACCCTCAACACCTGCCTTTTCAAACTCACTAATTCCTCTGACAGGCTTTGCCCCTCTTGCTTCAGGCCTTTGCCTAAATTGATTTCTAATTTTGGAATGTCCTTTCCCTTTCCTTTTATGCCTGGTTAACTTCCACTTGGTGTAAACATTTCTCCCTTTGGGAAAGCTTTCCCTGATCCCTGGAATAGATTGGGTCTCTCTCTCTCACTCTCCCGCTAAGACTGCCTCCTAGAACTGCTCATGGGAGGTAATAATGTGTTCCTTTGTGTGATTGTCTGTTTCCCTCAGCAAGCTTCAGCTCCAGAAGGGCAGTGACTGGGTCTGTTTCGGCTTACAGTTGCCAAGCACGGTCCTGACACAGAGTAGGGATCTGATAAGTCTTTTTGAATAAAGGGCTTAAAAGGGTCACACAATCCTCTTCTGATAAGCCTATGCTTTCCATCTCACTCCTGGGGGCATCTAAGGATAGACAGAGACCGGTGTAAATCCCACTTAAGTCAAGCTCTACATGTGCTACCAGAGACTAAGAACCAGGCCTTTACTCTGATGTCTACACTTAAATTCTTTTTTTAAGCTTTGTACTCTTCATGATATTATAGTGTATGCTGTTGTGTCATGTTAAAAAAAACTCATGGTACTTTTGATTTATTAAAAAAATTATTTTCTTTAATCAAGTCATTGAGTTATGAGAAGTGATAACCTTTAAATGTAATATCAGTTTTCTAATGCAGCAGTTTATTTGGAGGGGGAAGGGAAAGTCAAGCACTCGTCCATGTTTGTCCTCAGAGCTCTCCTGATCAATGGTTTTTCCTTGAACCACTAGGCCATCTTTTCACAGCGCCCACTGTCTTGTGATAGTAAGGAAGAGCTGAGAAGCAGATTTAGGGTGGAGCTGAAGAATGGTAATCTCTAGAGTTTGCTTACAAGAGCAGATGTAAACCTCACAGTCATAAGTGTGCTTCTTGGCTATTTTATGCTGGTATGAGTTCAGGCTGGCCTACTTTAAAATGGACATCTATTTTTATAGGAAACTCATGGAATGTCTGGAATTCTGCTTAGAAAAAGGAATCTGCATCCTGCTGTGAAGGAGCAAAGTACTTGCTTTTTGTTAGTTGTGGTCTTAAGACTTCAATTCCAAAGGCATCCTAAAAATTGGACTTGATTGACTCTGAAGTTCAGTGCTGCCGCTAAGAAAACACGAGAACACTTAGATGTGGAGCAGCTGAAAATGAGGGACTCTGTATAGTTTGAAAAATTAAAAAATTTGGGTTCATTCACTTTGATAGTGTGATTTAACTGGTTATTTTGTCATTCTGTTTTATTTTGAAACTATTTACTTTATGAAGCTTTCCATATGAATATTTATTTTCACTATGAAAAAATTTAAACAATTGGGAGTTTAGTTATTACCTCTGTGACATTCTAGTACTTCCTATAAATAAGTGCCTGAACGAATGGATGAAAAAATAGTTCATAATCATTCATGCAAATAACAATATTGAAATCATAATAGGAATAACTTTATTTGGAACCTTTTCTTATCTTTTTCATGTCACTGTTAAAACTACTTCTTGTAAATTGCGGACTTATAGATAATGTTAGTCTTTCCAAGTCTTGAATATGCCATTCTGCCATATCTGCTAGCCAGAAACTCGGCTGGCTAGATTTTTAGTCACACACAAAGGTTTATCTTATTTTGTTTTTCAGCATAGTTCACCATTTTCACTTTAAGGAAACACAGAATGACAGATCGACATAGTTGATTAACGCAGAGTTTCTTGCTTCACTGTTTATACCCTTTATTATTAACCAGAGGCTCCAAATTGCTGATGCCGTATTTTATTTAATTTTTAAGTTTACTGGGGTTAATAAGTAAGTGAGATTCTTCTAACAGTTTCACTTTCCACATTGTGAATATAATCTCTCTGGGAAATATAAGAATCCAAGAAAAAAAGGAAATTAGGTGTTTTTCTTGCTTGATCATTATCTTGTAAGAATCTACAGAGAAAAGCAGCTCTTGTACTCTGAGGGAGTTTTCTTCAAGTGGCTTTTGTTCAGCTCTCTGTGGTATAGCCCAGAAGAAAACCTGTTTGTTCTTTTAATAGCTCCACCCACCCCTGCACTTTTATTCAGTATAATTAATTAAAACTTTACTCTTCTTTTACTAATAGACAAAATTATCAACTACTTCCATAATAATAAAAATCTTGAAATCTATGGATGTGGGTTGGTGGGAAATGAAAGCTCTTTTTGGTGTTGGTAAGATAAAGAGTAGTTAATTGACTTTGCCACTGCCTTAGTCTGTGACCTTGGGGAAAAACCATTTTCCGTTTTCTCATTACAAACTTAGACTATCTTTCCATTAAATTAGTGTTAAGTGGTACCCTGCTTGTCTACTTCATGACTAAATAACTTCTGCAAGTAAAGAAAAGTAATATTTTGTTATTTATTAAATAGGTATTTTATCTTACATATTTCTTTTGAAAAAGTAGGGGATGAGTTAGAAATCAATTCATAAAGTAGTTTGGACTTTCTCCTCAGTACAGTTAAAGAAACTCTCTTGAGCTCATTCAGGCATTGATTTAGGATCTAATAACCGATAAATAAGGCAGTCGTTCCTCTTAAGTACCTTGTTTTATAGTGTGGAATGAGAATCGGAGTTAGGAAGAATGTATATAAAAATGTCTCTTCTGTGTTGTAGGAGGGATTCAAATGTTATGGGAGCCCAAAAGATGTAGTAATTAATTTTCCCTGGATGCAGCTGGGGTCATGCTAATGAATGAAGCTTTCGATGGGAGTGGTGGGAGAAGGGGAAGGCTTAATAGAAGATAGGACTTGCAACAAATATTTAAGGAATTTTTATTTCACAGCTCCAAAAATGGACACCCTTGCATGTGTTAGACAGCCAGGTGAACAAGATAATGTCTGTGCTCTCATGGAGCTTATATTCTAGTGGGAGGAAATAGCTACATTAAAAAATTAGGTAGTATTTTTACAGTTAGAGAGGAGGGAGATCACTTCCAGGCATCCCTGCACTTTCTTCCCTAGGATGGGTCTTTTGTGCTTTGAGGAAGGTCGACAGCACATGTAGGGGAGCTTAGTATTGTTTGGAGAGAGGGACATCTCTCCCTGGTAATAGGAGGGGGCAAAGGGACACTGGAAATGGATGCTCCAAGGTTTGTAACTTGATGGTGGGGATTGGGGGAGCTCTTACCTAAAGGGTTTTGTTTTCCCAGTGAAATGTAAGGTCATCATCTGAGATTGGGGTCAGGTGTGTGTGTTGGGGTGGTTGAAGGAGAGAAGAGCAGGTATTGGGGTGGCGATAATGAATCTAAAATAAAATACATTCGCTTGCTTATGTGATTTTTCTCTATGAATATTCAGCTCCTTGGCTACAGGTTGATTGCTGGATTTTGCTGTAGTCCTAAAGGAATGAGCTTTGGCTTGGCTGTAAATAAATATGATGAATGGATGGATTCTAGACCAATTTTATATAGGTCTGAGGGAACTTAAATTTTTCTTTTAAAAACCCCTTAAAATGTGCTCATTTAGCCAAAATTTTAGCAGATTTCTTAATTCTAATTCTTTTCAAGCATAAAGAATTTTGCAATTTGACATTAAAAATATGACTCACTCACTTTTCAATTGACTTATCAATTCATTAGTTGCTTTTCTAAGTAGAATAAATTACCTTAGGTGAAACAGCTATTGCAGAATATTTTTAGTTGTTGAAAACTAACATAATTTTAGTAGTATTAAAAAAACCTGCTTTCTTGCCAGTGCTGTCTAAATGTGAAGACCCTTCCCCCACCCACCCTGGCTGGTTATGCTGCGGGATGTACTGCTCTCTGCATTTGTTTCTTTTAACAGCCCTTTAATGTTTTCAATTCAAAAAGCTTTTAGTTACCATTAGGAATGGATCCAAAATCAGTGACAGAAATTAATAAACAATACCTTGGAGCAATGCTTTGTTACATTCCATTGCACAATATCTATCTGCATGAAATTCTTTTCTTGCCGATGAAGTAGAGTTTAAATAGAGCATAGGATCACTGAATAATGCCTGTAAGAAACATTTTAAAAACCTAGTTGTCCCTTTGAGACTTTTGTCTATTTCCTTTTTTATCTCCCCTTGGACAGTATTTTATCCTGGAACTTAATTCTGCAACCCCTTTTGTTTCACACCTTATTTTTCTCAATACGTTGCACATTGTTACTTCTGCCCAAGTTACCTTCAATGAAAATGGTTTAGTCCATTTTCATTCCTAACCTTATATTATAAGGCTGTATTATGATTGTGCCAAGTACAGTTCCTATTGTTTTGATTTGAATATAACTGCAGCTACCATAGAGGTCTAAGGGAATTTTCATTACCTTCCCTTTACTCCATGTTGGAATTAAATCGGACTGGGTATTGAGTTGGATATATTTACCGTAGATTTGAATACACATAGACAGATATAGAGGTTATTTGTATCTGTTTAGATACAATTAAGATTTATATACTATTTATATTTATATCTTATGTTCTCTGGGGAGTACATTTCTTCCCTTGTGATATCAATTATTTGTGGTGTACTTAGAAATTCAACGTTGGCGAATCTGTAGATTTTGTTGAAAACATATACACAAGTGTCAGTGGGTTTAATAATGTGCGCTACTCGTTTTCAAGTAGGAAAAAGTCGAATTAAATTTTGTCACTATTATATGGTATTTAGAGGATTTGAAAACAACAATAATAGATAACAATAATAAACAACAATAGACCAGTAAGGGATTTTTTATTTTGCACATTATGAATCTTGTTATTTTGGGCAGAATTAATTTTTTCAGAAGAAAATTTTAAACAAGGAAGCTTGTTTGAGTTTAGCAAGGTTGCTGTCTAAGATTATGCTTTGAATATGTCATTTTGGGTTTTTGCTAGTTTTTTTGCCAGTGAGAAAATGCATAGAATATACAGGACAGTAATGCTTTAGCTGTATTTTGATTTATGGTCTCTTATTTTATGACATTATATTCGTTTATATATGCAATTAGAAGTGAATTGTTTGCCTTTCCTGAGTGCTATTTAATAGGATTCACACTTGCATTCTGTTACCAAATTAATGGACTTTCTTTTAAAGTTAATACAAAGCATTAATTATAGTCTTTTTTTTTTTTTCAGTGACTTAGTGGGTTTTTCTTAACCTTACAGTCTAGTGTTGGATAGTAAGATAATCATCCCTATCCAGCTGAGGCAGAAGGAAGTCGATTTGATTTCTCAGTACTGTTGAGTGTGGAAGGCTAGAGAAGACCTCACTGCTGATTAATGTATCCACCTCATTATTTTTCATTGAGCAACATTGTGCAAATTAATTGAGAGTTGCAGGGCCTGTGACTACATATCCTTAATTTCCAGAACATCTGTTACTTCAAAACATCTTACCTGCTAAATCTTTCCGCCTCCTTTTTTGGGTAGATAATGGAACTATAAAAGAACTCTTCTAAAGAACTCTTCTGGGTGCTGGGTTTTCAACTTCTCTAAACTTTATACTTGTAGCTAAACTTTAAAACTTTATAATTTTGGGGGGCTTGATTACATTTATTTTAGGTATGGCACATCTAGACTCCTGCTAACCAGTATAACTTTATTAATTAATATTTTAAAATAATACAACTTGCCTAGTTTTTTGCTTGGGTGCCTTTGAATAATGATCTTCCTCCCCTCCTCACAGCCCTTTCCCCCACTCCAACTATAGCCAGAAAGAGAGGTGAAAGCAGTTGAACATTAGAAAAGAAGTCTTTTAATGTGGTAGTTAACTGTATTTCTGAAAACTAGATACTGCCCTGCTTCTAGTTAGTCCTGTGACTCATTCATTTGTGTTATAGTTCTCTTCTGGGGGTGATCTAATAATTTTTCAAAGACATTCTGGCCTGTCCAAGAATATAACCTTTACAATGTTTATGCTGTATTAGAAGGTGTTAATGGAATGCAGGAGAGCAGGCTCCTGAATGGCTGATTAACTAATATTTTTATATCCTCAAGTAATGTTAAAACCATGCAGTCTTAGTGGAAAAAAAGAGTGACTTCCAGCTGGGCAGAACTCTACTTGATATGACCCAAAAATTAATATGTGTGGTTAGGAAGCTGTATCTCTTATAGAGGCAGTTTTACTCTGGTGTATGACTTGAGGGAAAGAATAAGGTAATAAAGTTAATTAGTTCTGCAATCTATAACCAAACCCATAGTGCTTTGGGACTAGATTGTCATATTTTCAGCATTTTGGGCAAAATGAATTTCCACTCGTACTGTCCAGAAAAATACCTGGTCATCTTTGAATTCAAGGTGAATGAACCAAATCCATTTGGAATTATTTTCTAATTTTCATATAATTCATATTTTTTCTTAATGTAATCATGTTATTAGGTCCTAGTATAAAAAATGATCCAAGTAATAAGATTGTACAAAATAATCTGGGATTAATTTAAGTGGTAAACTTTTACATTAGCTAAGCTAGGCTCAGATGAGTCAAAATTTGTAGCAGATGCTCTGCTTCCCAATTATCTGTCCAGATCTATTGTATACAGAAAGCCATCTCATCATTTGGATGTGACGTAAGTAGAAGTTAACCCTGTTCTATATATTGAAATAGAGTTTGTTAAGAAAATAAATGGGAGAAAAAATTGCCAGGGAAATATGTAGCTCCTTAATATTTTGAAGTCCCTAGTTTGCATACCAACAATCTAGTGTGTTTTTCCACTAGAGACGTCAAAAGCTGTTCAAATGGTTAATTTTCTAATTATTGCATTTATTTATTGATTTATTTATTTATTTTATTGGAGACGCAGTCTCTCTCTGTTGCTCAGGCTGGAGTGCAGTGGTGTGATCTTGGCTCACTGAAACCTCCATCCCTGGGTTCAAGTGATTCTTCTGCCTCGGCCTCCTGAGTAGCTTGGATTACAGGCGTGCGCCACCATTTCCAACTAATTTTTATAGTTTTAGTAGAGATGGGGTTTCACCATTTTGACCAGGCTGATCTCGAACTCCTGACCTCAGGTAATCCACCTGCCTCAACCTCCCAAAGTGCTGGGAAAATCACAGGTGTGAGCCACCATGCCCAGCCAATTATTGCTTTAAGATTAAGGTGTCTACTTCACATAAGAAAATTCACTAAACTTTAGCATGAAGATATTAAAAATTTAGATAATACTAATTTCCAGTTTTCTTTTTCTAAATAAATAAAATGTTACTCTAAATAATCTTTTGTTTTAACCAAGTAAGTTCTTACTTATGTACTTTATCTTTTGGACTTTTATCAGCCATTTTTCATTTAAGCTAGAAAGTGCATTAATGTTACTGAAATCTGCCAAAAGTTACTTGCTGATTGAAGAAATCTAATTGTAAGATTTATAATCAAGAAATTGATCCATTGACTTATATTCAATTAAAACTGTTACAACATCATAAATACTCAGTGATCTCTCCTCCCCCTACCCTTTTCTGATAATTCAATTCAGCTAACCTTTCTTGAGCCTTATTTGAATGTCGTGTGGGCTAGAGAATATATAAAAACTGCCTGCATTTACTGAGTGCTTCTGTCTGGGAGGAGATTGTTCTTCCTCTCTCTAGGCATGGGGACAGAACTCAAGGACATGTTGCCCCTTTCTTCACCCTCTCTAGCCTCACCTAGAAGGTGGGGCTGCTAATCCACTGGTTGAAACTACGGGCAACAGTGTGCTACGTTTTACTTACTACGTTGTCAAGGCAGAAATACAGGCCCCTCCTTCTCTCTTTCCTCTCTCAATCCTAGGGCATGCTGGTCATTCTTGCCCCTGGAGTTAGTTGGAGGTTGGCCATTTTTCTGTTTTCCCATGGATGGGTACTGGTTTTGTGAGGATGGGAGAAGGGATAGAAGTAAAAAAGAAGTCACACTAAGTCTTGTGTTTATTTCATATTTTGAAATGATCCTTGGACTTAGAGATACTGCATATTTAGAAAACATTTCAGAAGTTCTTGCTGTCATAACAGTACCCAATGACACTGAATTTTCTACATTATTACGTTCCAATTTTAGAAGCAAAATTGCAATAAAAATTCCAGAATGAACATGTTATAGTGATATACACACTGACAAATCTCTCATATTTATTCCTGTAATTATTTTTATTTATTATATATGAGGAAATTAACCAGACACAAATAAAAACAGGCAAAAAGAGGCCAAGGAAGTTCAGGAAGGATTTGAAAAGCCATTGCTTTTTTTTTTTTTTTTTAAAATAACAGCTTTATTGAGATATAATTCAAATACAGTGAAGTTCACTTTTTAAAAAGTGTGCAATTCAGTGTTTTTTTTTTTTTTGAGGAGGAGTCTTGCTCTGTCACTCAGGCTGGAGTGCAGTGGCACGATCTCGGCTCACTGCAAGCTCCGCCTCCTGGGTTCACGCCATTCTCCTGCCTCAGCCTCCTGAGTAGCTGGGACTACAGGCGCCCGCCACCACGCCTGGCTAATTTTTCGTATTTTTAGTAGAGACGGGGTTTCACCATGTTAGCCAGGATGGTCTCGATCTCCTGACCTCTTGATCCGCCAGCCTCAGCCTCCCAAAGTGCTGGGATTACAGGTGTGAGCCACGGCGTCCAGCCCAGTGTTTTTTACTGTACTCACAGAGGGTACATCCTTCACCACTATCAAATACTGGAATACTTTTTTTACCCTCAAAAGAAACCTTATATCCATTAGCAGTCACTCCCCATTTCATGGCATAACCACTGATTTTTTTCTGCCTCTATGGATTTTCATAGCCTGGACATTTCATATACATGGAATTATACAATATGTGGTCTTTGGTGTTTAGTTTCTTTCACTAAACATAATATTTTCAAAGTTCATCAGTTCTGTAGCATGTATTAGTACTTCATTCCTTTTTATTGCCAAATAATATTTCATTGTATGGATATACCACATTTTGTTTACTCATTAGTCACTTGGACGTTTGGATTCTTTCCACTTTTTGGCGATTATGAATAATGCTGCTATGAACATTGGTATACTAATTTTCATGTGGACATGTTTTTAGTTATCTTGGGTGTATACCTAGGGGTGGAGTTTCTGGGTCATACGGCAGCTCAATGTTTTGCTTTTTGAAGAATCCATTGACTTTTAATACAACTTCTAAATAGGAAGCAGTCAAATATATGCAAGATTTTGGAATTAGATCATTCAGGATGAGCTACGTATTGCTATGTCTATCTTAAAAATCTTATCTTAGTACAACATTCTTATTTTGTAATTATAGAGAATTTAGGCAAACTTAAGTTATCTTTATTAAAGAAATAGATTATCATGTCTGTTTAGGCCAGTTGCGGTGGCTCACGCCTGTAATCCCAGCACTTTGGGAGGCTGAGGTGGGCGGATCACCGGAGATCAGGAGTTTGAGACCAGCCTGGCCAACGTGGTGAAAACCCGTCTCTGCTAAAAATACAAAAATTAGCTTGGCATGGTGGCAGGCACCTGTAATCCCAGCTACTCAGGAGGCTGAGGCAGAAGAATTACTTGAACCCAGGAAGCGGTTGCAGTGAGCTGAGATCGCGCCACTATACTCCAGCCTGGGTGACAGCGAGACTCCATCTCAAAAAAAAAAAAAAAAAAAAATCATGTCTGCTTAGGTTGAAAGATAAGTCAAATTTCCTTATATAATATTGGTTAATTTGCATTGATTATTCATATTTAGTTGCCTAAGATGGTAACCTGAAAACTAATGTTAATGGATTCTTCATTTTTTAAAGGACAAGCTAAAAAACACAGAATAAATATTAAAAGTTGTGGAAAGATAGTCACCCATTTTATTTTATGTTAAAAGTACACAGTTAATACTCTTGTTAAGTTGCAAATTAAGTTAGTGTCAGAGCGTTTTTGTATTGGCCATCCATCACAGGCCCTACTATATATGCTGTTCTCGAAGGAATGGCCCAAACCTTGAGGCATTTTTAGAATTTTTTGTTGATGACTTCTTTCCTGTGTATTTGTACAGTCATCCCAGTCTTTAGTAACTTTCTTTTTACCCTGAATTCATGATTTTTGACATCAGTCCACATTGCGGGCTATAATTTTTTATTAATATTGATTTTATGATCAGAGTGTAGAGACTTTGGTTGTTTTCATTTTTATGTCCTCCAGGATAAAACAATGGTGGCATATCCTGGGTGCTACCAATGTGTTTGTTTTATGAATAAGTGAAAGGATGAATGGAATTTGGCACTGTACCATATTAATTTCAAGAAGGAGGAATGGTGGGGTAACATTTTATTTGCTATTTTTATAAATAATATTTAAGCCTCCTCAAAAATGGGAAGTTCACTACTGCTTTAAAGGTGTGCCAAGTTTTTCTCCAAGAACAGAAGAAACGGAAAAATCAAGTAAAATTTTTTGCTTAAGATTAAGACAATAGAAATAAACATGTTGTTTTTGTTGGAGAGTGTTTTTGGGTCATAATATCAATCTAGCATGGTGACCATGTGGATCAAATATGATGTGTGTGAAGTCAGTTTGTAAATTGTGTAATCTTGTCCCTGATTTTTTCTTTGAACTTCTTTCCAAATTGAAGACATGAAGTCCTTGGTATGAAATAGATCTACACAGGAAGACTTAGTTGATTCTTTCTATTGATCCTGAGCTGGATTACTGCTTCCCTCTTTTCACTTAAGTGAGGTCTCTCACATGGAGAGTGAGCCTTGTCTCAGAGGGTAGCAAAGGTTCTGAGGTGTGGTGTCCTCCATCTTCCCTGGGAAATGCCCGGTCTTTGAGACTTGTGTTAGCACATTGCAGAGAGTTTGTGGAAGGGTCCCAGGTGCTGCTTTCCAAAGAAGGTGCTGTTTTAGCTGGCTATAAGCATTATCAATGAAGTTTGTAGCTTTTAATTGGTGAACAGATCTGGGAGCCACAAGGCCTGGGCTCAGTTTGCCTTTGTCAGCAACACACACGGGCCCTCAACCTGTCTACTTTTCCTCCTCTGCAAATGATGGCATGAAATGGAGGCACACATGATCCTCTGAGTTTGAGTAGTTAAGAATAAATGATTGTCTTGTTCTTATAAACATTTTTTGATTTTTTTCTCTTTTAAAATATTAATAGTTCAGAACCCTTCCAAAAAATGTCACTTACTTTAGTAAACTTCTGTTGTCTTTTGCATATTAATGCAAGTCCACAAGATTGTGTTAGTGAGAACTCATGGGTAACAGAGTGCTTTCCACATAATTGTTTTGATTCTTACAAAAACTGTATGGGGTAGGTTATTCTGCTGACTTTATAGATGAAGAAATTGAGGCTCATATTGATCAAGCAATTTCCCTAAGTCTCCAGCTAGTAAGTGGCAGAGTCAGAGTGTGAACCCAGGTCTTTTGCTTGAAGTGCCACACTCTCAGACAATCGTTAGTTTTAGAGGAAGGAGGTTGGAAGACCTAGAGGTGTCGAAAAGCCAGAAAGAGGACAAGATTTAGAACAATATTACCTGGGTTTGTAACTTCGTTTTGGTTTTACTTTCATTGGCGCTATAGGTATAAGGAATATTGTACACCTTTAAATAACACTATGATAATAACAACTTAACTTTGTAAATTGTTTACAAATGGCCCATGCAATACTCAAGGCTGAGAAGCATGGTATTAAAGCATTATGCTATTGAAGCCTTTTTTCTTCCTTACATTCTTATGTCAACTGTGACCACAAACTTAATTGGCTTCACAGCCTCCACTCACTCCCTACCCCAGTCCAGTCTGCTTGGTGTCGACAAACATCTTTTTAGGGTTCAAACCTATTCATGTCTTCCCCTCTCTGTGTACAGATGTTTTCATCTGGCATTCAGAGCCCTTTGAAATACACACAGCTGCCCTTTCAGCCTCATCTAATCAATAGTTGCCATTCTAGTTATGTGATTCTATATTGAATTCTTCCTGAACACTTCTTTTAATCATTTGTTAAATGTATTAATTTTCTCTGTCTGTATGCAACAGAAATGGTTGCATTTAGTGCCTTGGTGAGTGATCCTTGTTCTTGGAACAGTGGAAAGATCCAGAGCAACCTGCTTGAGATTCTGTGTCCTATCCTAAGATCATTTCAAAATATATCATAGTCTTCCTCTAGGTTGACCCACGCACCTTCCTCCCAGTAGGGCATCTGAATAAGGAGGATGGGGTTTCTCTAGGTTGGTTCATAAAAAGTAGCTGCATACCAGCAACTAGTATTTTAAATAAGGATACCGAAACTTGAGAGTTTAAGAAACTTATCCAAGGTTTCATAGGTTTTGAGTTTTGGAGCCATGATTTTCAGAGCCTCAGTCGTTACAACACTGAACTTTGTAGTGGGCATTCAATAAATGTTTGCTGGATGAATGAATGAATGAATGAATGGATTGTTAGTCTTATTAGAATGTTGAATCAGCAGAAGAATTGATTGGGTGATTGCATCTGCACAGAAGAGTTACATTTTGAGGCTTGTTTTTCTGAAAAATATTCTAGGATGAAAATGTCCTTTTGATATAATAGGTCTCTAGTTCAGTACATTTGCACATAAAAGCTAACAGCTACTGGAGGAGGGGGATGGTGTATATCCATGGAGACCCTTAAGAAATCCCTGTAAGTTTACATTTCTTTTCCAGAAAGGATTGTTCTCATATGACAAAGTCTATGATAGATTTTAAATCTCTTTTCATATAGTATTCCTTCTCACCATTGCCAATAAGGAGAAAACAGATACTGGGAAAACTTCAGTTTGAGGGAACACAAAAGACATGGAATTTCCTTGGGATTTTTCTCTAAGTTTTATCAACTTCCATACCCTAATAAACTTTGGTTGATGAAAGTGATGAGAAATAGAGAATGCCAGCTCAAGCAATAGCACATAATTATAAATATTTTGATGTTTTTAACTGATTATTGGAGAAACCATGTTTTTATCAGCTGGTGTGTCTTTTTCCAGAAGACACGTGATTTCATGATTTGCCTTTAAGCCTCTGGGCAGACAAACCTCCCTTTAAAGGAAAGGAATTTACATGATCAGAAGATAGACCAGTTGCTTTCTTGCCATTCATCATTTACCATACTTGGGGTCGCAGAATTTTGTTTCCTGTTTAGTCCATGAGCACATGAGAGCCATTGGGTCACAGGTCTTCCTGACTGATGTGGTTGTCCTTGTGAACTAGCTCCAGCCAGCCAGTAGTCCTGCAACTGCTGAAAAACGAATATACGTGTTATATCTGAGAGAATATATGCTCTTGCTTCCTCTTAAAACTTCTGAAGGGGTTGTCTTTGCTCTGACTGGGCAGACTGAATTGGATTTATTGTCTCTCAAAGAGCTCTAGCAGTTTTTCTATAAATGATCCATTTAAAATTTCTGCTGAGTTGCAATATTTCAAACATTTAGTACACAGGTATCACATAAGGATGTTTTGGTCATTGAAGTACTGCATATACGACGGTGGTCCCATAAGATTATAATGGAGATGAAAAGTTTCTATCACCTAGTGACTAGGTAGCTGTTGTAACATCACAGCACAACAGGTTACTCACATGTTTGTGGTGAAGCTGGTGTAAACAAACCTACTGTGCTGTCATTCGTATAAAAGTATGGCACATACAATTATGCATAGTATGTACTTGACAGTGATAATAAATGACTATATTACTGGTTTATGGATTTCCTATACTATACTTTTAATCATTATTTTAGAGTCTTTTACTTATTAAAAAAATAAATTAACTGCAAAGCAACCTCGAGCAGTTCCTTCAGGAGGAATTCCAGAAGAAGACATTGTTGTCGTAGGAGATGACAGCTCTAGGCTTGTTACTGCCCCTGAAGACCTTCCAGTGGGACAAGATGTAGAGTGGAAGACAGTGATGTTGGTGACCCTGACCCTGTGTAGGCCTAGGCTAATGTGTGTGTTTCTATTTAGTTTTTAACAGTACCATTTAAAAGTAAAAAAAATAAAATAAAAATAGTGTATTAGTCTGTTTCACGCTGCTGATGAAGGCATACCTGAGACTGGGCAATTTACAAAAGAAAGAGGTTTAATTGGACTTACAGTTCCACATGGCTGGGGAAGCCTCACAGTCATGGCAGAAGGCAAGGAGGAGCAAGTCTCATCTTACGTGGATGGCAGCAAGCAAAGAGAAAGGGCTTGTGCAAGGAAATTCCCCCTTTTAAAGCTATCAGATCTCTTGAGACTCATTCGCTGTTATGAGAACATCATGGGAAAGACCTGACCCCATGATTCAATTATCTCCCACCCGGTCCCTCCCACAACAGGTGGGAATTAGGGGAGCTACAAGATGAAATTTGGGCAGGAACATAGAGCCAAACTGTATCAAATGGAAAAAAGTTTATTGAATTAGGATATAAAGAAAGAAAGTTTTTTTGTACAGCTAATGTGTTTGTGTTTTAAACTAAATGTTATTACCAAGACAGTAAAAAAGTTTTAAAAAATTTAAAAGTTTAGAAGGTAAAAAAGTTATGTTAAGCTGAGGTTAATTCACTATTGAAAAAAGAAATATTTAAAAAATAAATTTAGTGTGGCCTAAGTGTACAGTGTTTATAAAATATACATTAGTATATAGTAATGTCCTGGGCCTTGACTTTCACTCACCACTCACCCAGAGCAAGTTCCATTCATGGTAAGTGCCCTAATCAGTAATCAGGCATACCATTTTTCGTTTTTGGGTTTTTTTTTTTTTTTTTGAGACAAAGTCTGGCTCCGTCACACAGGCTACGGTGCACTGGCGTGGTCTCCACTCACTGTAACCTCTGCCTCCCAGGCTCAAGACATCCTTCCACCTCAGCCTCCCAAGTAGCTGGGACTACAGGCACACACCACCACGCCTGAGTAATTTTTGTATTTTTTGTAGAGACAGAGTTTTGCCATGTTGCTTAGGCTGATCTCAAACTCATGAGCTCAAGCGGTCCACCCACCTCAACCTCCCAAAGTGCTGGGATTACAGGCATGAGCCACTGTATTCAGCCTGCATACCGTTAAAAAAATATTTTTAACTGTACCTTTTCTGTGTTTAGATATACAAATATTTACCATTTTGTTGTAATTTCCTACAGTAATCAATGCAGTAACATGCTGTACGGGTTTGTAGCCTAGGAGCAATAGGCCATACCATATAGCCTAGGTGTATAGTAGGCTACACCATCTAGGTTTGTGTATAACAAATGAAATAAGAAAGACTTAGAAAAAAGTGTTTGAGAAATGTCACAGATAAGATTACTTTGTGTTTGCTTTTGAAGTTATTGAAATTATATCCAGTAGAAAGGAAGCCTGCTTAGATAAGTAGGATCCAAGATTAAGAAAAAAAATGGAAAGAAATGTTTAGGTAGATGAAATCTTTTGATTAATCACCCGAAATGTGCAAAATCTATAGCAAATTTTTATTTCAACAGCTCTTAGTCCTATATATATAAGTTGAACTTGCTTCTATAAATACAGATGCAAGTTCAAAATATAACTAACAAAGTACTGCTCTGAATGTAGCAAATGTTTAGAATTCACTTTTAATCAAAACATCACTTCTTGCTCTCTTAATAAATGTACTGGAAAGCATTTATCTAAGTAAATGAGTTGAAGTTGTATTCCAAAGGACTGAGAATTAAACTTCATTCTTGAATAGCACTAGCATTCTTTTTTAAAATGGTAATATTTAGCCCGATCCTCCCCTTCAGACTTAACTTTACAGAAAGCAACAGTGTGGGCTCTGAGGCTGAGCTGGAAGGGAACTATGGAGGTCATCTATTCTAATAGTTTCTCAACCCACTCAGAGTCACACAGCTGGTTATTGACATTTATGGGAGTGTAACTTATGCCTGCTGCCTAGGAAGAAAAACATCTCTTCCATTCACCCCTTTATTTGTCCTCCAATCTGTGTGTCAAGAATTGAGCTGACTGCTTTAATGTGGCTTTGTCTAATTTCATCTTAACTTCTTTCCCCATTTAATTGCATTAAGCTTTCTTTGATGATGTGAATTGGGGGAGATAGATACGTAGTGGTTGAAAGGAGGAATCTATTAAAGGCAAAAGAGACCACACGATTTTATGGGCTTTTCCAACTTGTATCTAACAATTTGTATAGGTTGACTTAGAACAGTGCAGAAAGAATTGGCTTTCAAATCGAAGTGAGGTAATCTCCAGAGGTTTAATAGAATTCTTTCTAACTGTCCTTTTTATAACAATAACACTAGTCAAACGATAATCATAGTAACAACAACCATAAGCAAAAAAGCAATAACAGTCACACAATGATGTGTTAAGTGTTTTGAATACATTATTTTTTTGAACACCCAGGACAACTCTATGAAATAAGCCCCATTTTACAGATGAGAAAACTGAGGCTTAGAGAAGTAACTTGCCCAAAGTCACACACCTGCTGTGAGGAGGAAATAATGCACTTTTCATTCATTAGAGCTTTCACCAGATGTCATATTTATCTATTTTTTACAGATGGTTAAAAGAATAATATGGAAATTTGAGTTGCTTGTCATTTTGCATTAAACATTGTGTGAAAATCACATCAATGTCACAAAATTTATTGGAATAATGGAATAGAGATTGTTTTGACATTCATCATTTCCAGAGTCTTAGAATTGTGATGATCTTTTTCCAGTGGGCTCTGGAAGCTTAAGAAATTTAAGATTTGTTAACTTAGGAAACCCTACATTATAAAACAAATTGGTTGGTTGGTTGTTCATCCACTAGAACCTGAAGTATAACTAGATATGGAGACACATGACAGCTGTTTTTCATGGGTTCATGTCCATGGGTTCATGCCCACCCTCCCATCAGATGACTTCCTCTCTCTGTGGCCCATGCCCTCTGGGACTCCATCTGACCAGTTACTGGCTGCACTTGGGAAACGAAGGAGCACTGCAGGTGTGGCTGTTGCTGTGATTGCCGAGTCATTCCCTTCCCTGTCAAGTAAAGCCTGTGTTAACTCAAAGCCAAATGACAGGAAACCTAAATTAATAGGAATTGTTTTTATTCGAAGGAGGAAAATCATAAGAAAACAAGCTATTATTATATTAGTAAGAAAGCAGAGCACAGAGACTTCCGAAGAATGTTCTGGGGGTGATATCTGATTGTTTAGCTCTTACCTTTATAGGATTGTACAGTGAATACTTATTTAAGAATCACAACGCTGAGATGCTGTACGATAGACCGTCAGAACTGGGAAGTTCCCTTCTTGTTCAGATGAGGACGCTGAGGCCAGGGAGGTGGTCTACATAAAGTCGTTTTCAAAAGTGGTGCTGTTGTCTTTTTGCCATTTCAACCTGTCTCAGCCATCAAAGATCCATTGATTGTACTGCTTACTAAGGCAGGGAGGTAAATAAATACATATTAGAAAACTTTCCCCAAGGGTTGAGACAGTATTTTTTGGTTTACTCTTTACTTTTAGTCATAAGGGAGGACTTAATATTTTGGGTATTTGAAAAGGACAAAGATGTATAGAAAGAAGACAGAGAAGTAACAGGATGATACCATATAGCCAGCAATGTGATTAAGTGATAAATTGTGTGGTACCAATTTTAAATAATAGTAGGCAACATTTCCCAAATAAGATTGTCCTGGGATTTCAGCAATTATACTGTAAAATTTTTATGGCCAAGGAATTTTGTGAAATTCTGAATATTATATAACCCTCTTAGGAATTCACAACTGATGGTAGCTTATTAAAGCCTCTGAGAATTCCATAGTAGAGAAACCTGTCCAACTGAGTTTGAACCAGAGTTTCCAAATTTATTTGAAACAGAATGTCTGAAAGTATTCTAGAAAAGTGCTGTGTGAGTTCAGGTTGCGAATGCTGATGTGGGGAATCCCGAGGATAAGGACGCTGAGTGGGGAATCAGCACAGCTGAAGAGAGCTTTGTGGAGGACTTGGCATTTGAGCCAGGCCAGCAGGAACAAAAGTGTGGGGCCAGAAATGAGCACGAGGCCTGACACTCAGCTGGCACTCAATAAGTGTTTACTGAGTAGGTATGTGAGTGAAAACATGATTTCTATGGAAGGCAATCGGGATATTGGCTTAATTAGAATGAAAAGGTTGGGGAACGTGGAAATAAAGTTGAAGAGGCAGATTCTTCTGATTAGAGAGGGTCAAGCTGAGTGTTCAGGACTTGATCCGACAGGGAACGCTTTGTTGGTTCCTGGGCAGAGGACGACGGCAGAGTAGAAAAAGTGTCTGGGAAGAATAGCCTGAGAGTGGTGTAGAGTCAGGCAGGGATGGAAAAGACCAAAGTACAGTGAAGAGCAAGGAGCCTTAGAAAATGATGCTAACCTCTGTCTGGGTAGTAGTAGGTCACATATTGATTTTTATATGTGCCTAGATAAATGCAAAAGCAAGAGATCTTTTTAAATATAAGAAGTAAGCTAGAGTAAATTCCATCTCAGTCATTTCTGGTATCTTGAAAAACAAAGGGATAGTAAAGTATTATCAGAATAGGTGGGACAAATGTTCTTGGAGATTGAAAACTTGAAGCATTTCTACTCGGAAACTTATAGTGTCTTTATGACTAAAATATATTTGACCCTTATGCTTGCAGGATGTGAAATTTAGGATAAATTACTCTGTCAGGAAACATTACCAGCTAGAGTTCCTGGAGTGGGAGCCACACTGGCTTTACAGGTGTTTTTGGTCTTTTCATATTGCAAAACAGTTTATGTGAATAAACATAATTTATCCTTATACATCTTATTCCAGCTGAAAACTCTTAAGACTCTTAAGTCCCTCCTCTTAAAGAAGACTGAAATCGTGTCCAGTCAAATGTGTAGGTGTTTATGGTACTCAGCTTTTGAGCTATTGGTTGTTTCCGTTTGCTTAGTTCTCTTCCACTCACTCTTAGGCTGGATAAAGATTTCCATTCCTTTTTGGGTGAAATATTTTCCATAAGTTACAAAAAACCCAAATAAAAAAAAAAAACTTTGCACAAGAAATCCCAGTCTGAAATAGCTTTCCTTTTTAAATAATGATATAAAATAAAGATAGAACACATGATAATTATAGTCATTATTACTTGGTGGCTTGAATGCTCAGATTATTTGAAGGGGTCATCTTTAAAATGCCTGCCTCTTTATTCTGTGATTTACTGACTCTTGACCTTTATAATTCAGTTTATAATTAAGACTTTCCCAAGAAGTCTCCCTGATAGGCCCCAAACTACCAATTACATCACACATTTCACCATTTCCAACCTACCTTTACTTTTGGGCACCAATGTTAGTATCTTATTTACATCACTATAATTTTAAAAATCTGTTTAACTTACTTCTTCTGAGTTACTCCTGGGTTCTTAACTGCTATACTTGTGTTTTCTTTTCCTAACAAGGTGGGGTCTTGGAAAGCATTGGTCTGTGTCAGTGGTTCCCAACCACGGCAGATGAGAATCACCTGGAGAACTTTTAAGAACTTACGATGCGTATGTCTCACCTTCTAAGGTTATGATCTAGTTTGTGGAACCACTGGTCTACATCAAACCCAAGTTAAGCAAACATTATATATTGTTAGTGAGTAGTACAAAACCTTCAATTCTATGGACATTTGGCAAATATCTTATATTAAGGTAGAGACTAAAATTAAAATTTAGAATTCTAGAAAATTTCAAGCTGCCAGTACAATCTCAAGTTTCTCTAATTTTTCTTTTTTTTTTTTTTGGTAGCAATTTTATACTAGATTCTTTTTTTTTCTTTTTTTTTTTATTATACTTTAAGTTTTAGGGTACATGTGCACATTGTGCAGGTTAGTTACATATGTATACATGTGCCATGCTTGTGCGCTGCACCCACTAACTCGTCATCTAGCCTTAGGTATATCTCCCAATGCTATCCCTCCCCGCTCCCCCCACCCCACCACAGTCCCCAGAGTGTGATATTCCCCTTCATGTGTCCATGTTATACTAGATTCTTGTGTGCATTAAATACCAGTGACTAACTTACTTTTGATTAAAGGGCAAAGCGTAGTGATATTAATTTATTTTTGGATTTCAGACATTCTATGTCATGCAGTATTTTTCCCAATATAACAGTTTAATATCTATTTGTCCTTATGCAGTAGATTTTGTTAGAACATTTAAACATAGACCTTTTGGAAAATTGACCTTAAGAAGTCTTTTTTTTTTAATGCCTTCCCTCTCCTATTCATGGTACATGTGTGTTTTCATTCTATTAAGTGATAATTTTTTGAATGGCTGTTCTGAAGCTTTAAGTGTAAATTTTTTTCCTATGTCCTGAGACTGTTAGAAAACACCAAAATCTGAGTAACATACCAGTGATGTCATGGGGTAGAAAAGATGTGGAAAGGGTAGCACAAGTCTCTTCTGGGTGTAGGTTTGGCATGCCCAGGGCCAGAAGGGACAGAGGTGGATACCTGAGCCCTACCATAAGGCAGAGTCTCATATGTCAAGTGGAATAAACCCCAGATGATGCATCCACAGGGCTTTTGTTTTTGTATCTCTTTTTTTTGACCACCAAAAAAACCACTTTTTTAAAATTATATATATTTGAAGTATACAACATGATGTTTTGATATACATTGTGAAATGGTTATTATAGTCAAGCAAATTAACACATTCATTTCACATAGTTACCCTCTTTGCGTATGTGTGGAAAGAACACGTAAAATCTACTCTTTTTGCAAGAATCTCAAATAAAAGGCAGTATTACTAACTATAGTCCTCATGTTGTATGTTAGACCTCCAGACTTGTTCATCTTACATGTCTGCAACTTTGTATCCTTTTATGTATATCTCCCCATTTCCTACCAGTCTCACCACATCCCTGGTAACAACTACTTCTATCACCCCTGGTAACAACCACTTTATTCTATCTTCATGTATTCAACTTTGTTTTTCTTTTTTTAGATTCCATATATAAATGAAATAATGCAGTATTTTTCTTTCTGTGTCTGGTTTATTTCACTTAGCATAATGTCATCCATGTTCATTCGTGTGGCAAATGGCAGGATCTCCTTTTTTAAGGCTAAATAATATTTCTCTGTATGTGTGTATATCACAGTTTCTGTATCCATTCATCCATCAACAGACATTTCAGTTGTTTCAGTATCTTGACTATTGTGAATAATGCTGCAATGAACAAGGAAATGTGGATACCTTTATGAAGTTAAGTGGTGATTTCATTTCCATTAGACTTTTTTTTTTTTTTTAAGAGACAGTGTGTCACAGTGTCACTCTGTATCCCATGCTGGAATGCAGTGGTGCAATCATAGCTCACTGTAAAGCTCAAACTCCTGGGCTCAAGTACTCCTCCCATCTCAGTCTCCAGGGTAGCTGGGACTACAGGCACACATCACCAAACGCAGCCTTTTTTTTTTTTTTTTTTTTTTTTTTTGTAGAGATGAGGTCTCGCTATGTTACGCAGGCCTGTCTCGAACTCCTGGCCTCAAGCAATCCTCCTGCCTCAGCTTCTCAGAGTGCTGGGATTACGGCCCAAACCAGTAGTGTTAGGAGATCTCTTGGGTGTCGATTTTTCTGGTGGGAAACCTCTGTGGCCCCAGCACCTTTGCCCGAGTTCTTGTCCTGCATCCAGGAAAAATGAGGTACACAGACAAGTGAAGGGTGAAGAAGCAGAGTTTTATTTAGTGTTAGAACAGCTCAAAGGAGTGAGTAGCTCCTCTCTACTGGCAGGTCATCTCTGCAGCTCTCAGCAGTGAGGGTACTCCTCTCTGCAGCTGGTCTTCCCATCGTCTCCAGCTATCAGCAGACAGGGTAGTCTTCTCTGCACCTTGTGGTCTGCTCCCATTCTCTCTGCCCTCTTCGTCCTTAGCCATCCTCTGCCCTGCTCTGGCTGAGTACAGAGCTTTTATGGAGTTCAGAGAGGACAGAGTGCATGCCAGTTGGTCCATGGGCAAGCCAAAGAGGCACCATGAGTCTCCTCTCCCGTCCACAGGACTGGCAGCCCGGCCCCCAGTGTTCAGGCCAGGGACGGCCTGAAAGTGGGGCCTTACTGGGGACCCTGCCCCCTTCCACCCCGGACTCTGTCTGCCTCCTGCTGCCGTTCATGGCCCTGGGGCTCGGCCCCAACCCCGCTCCGAGATTGGAGCTGGGGACTGGGAGCGGAGAGAGGCCAGGCAGTGGGAGCAGACACCCCTGAGCCTTCAGGGACAGGGGCAGGGAACCTTCCTGGGGTGCCCGAGGGTGCAGGCTGCAGAGACGCCCTGCACGTGGGAGGGCAGCAGCAGCTGCAGCCAGGAGCTCCGGCCTGGCCAACTCGGAAGAGGCAGGGCTCCCGCTTGTCCCCGGCTCCTGCCTGCTTCCCAACTGGGAGTTCCAGATCTGCAGCCACCAGTGCCGTGGCTCCAGCTGCACCCAGGAGGGCAGATCCTGACTGTTCCTGGCTCCCCCAAGAGCACAAGGGAGGCTTGGATTCACAGCTGTAGTTTAGGTGGCCTGTAGCCTCACCCAGGAGGGCGAGGCTCCTGCTTGCTCACTAGAGCAGGAGGCCTGGGTCTGTAGCTGCAGTTTGGGTGGCTGCAGAGGCACGTAGCTCTCTTTCCAACTCAGAAGAGGCAGGGCTCCCACTGGCTCCATGGAGTGTGCAGCCCCAGCCACGCCTCCCTGCTGCAGCTGACATGATGGCAGCAGCCACTGTATCAGTAGTTCTATTTTTAATTCCTTTAGGATCCTTCATACTGTTTTCCACAATGGCTGTACCAATCTACATTTCCACTAAGAATGTAGAAAGTTTCTCTTTTCTCCATGCCCTCATCAATACTTGTTATCTCGTCTTTTTGATAACAGTTATACTAACAGGCATGAGGTGATATCTCATTGTGGTTTTGATTTGCATTTCTCTAATAATTAGTGATTTTGAGCACTTTTTCACATAGCTGTTGGCCATTGTTATGTCTTCTTTGGATAAATGTTTTTATATCTCTTAATGACAGCTTTGTTCTGAAAAGTTTCTTTTGACTATAACTGCCTGATGATTGTTCAGCTCACTTATATGTGGATGAGAAATGGAATGATACCATTTTACATCAGCAATTTGAAAACTTGAATTAAATCATTTTATTTTCTCAACCTTTGATGGCAGCCGGCCTTGGAATTTCCTGAACAATGAGATGCCAGCTATAAAACAGGTTTACCTTTAGTTACAAATTCAAAAAATCCTCTTGGCTAAGTTTTTTTTTTTCAGTACTTGCCTGTAAATCATAGTGCTGAAAAGTGCTTTTGAACATTGTGTATCTAGATACTGCTCCTCATCCATGGTGGAGATGCTCATTTGTCCCAGCTTCTGAATTTGAAACTACTTTGGCAGAAGTTCTCATGAGTTCTTGGAGACCATAAAGCAAATCATGGGCAATTAAAACAAAGGTCTCTCCCCTCGTGTCTCAGATGCACACCTGAAAAGAATCATCCTGGCAGGTTTGACTGATAAATGGGCTGGAAAGGGGATGCATGGCAGCCTGGTTCAGCAGGATGCCTTGACTGGTGGCGATAACACAGGGTCTGGGGTGACCTGTCCCCGGGAAACGAAAGGTCTTCTCATTTGCAGTCATTAATCACCTCAGGAACAGCCGTTTTAAATGCTCAAGCCTAATTGATACGGACATGGCACACTCGGCCGGGCAGCTGGAAGTTAATGCATTTTCCTGTAGCGAGGGGAAGTGTTCGGGACAGTCGCAGGCATTCAGCTGTGATGAGCATGAAATTTCAGGAGGGAGGTGTGTTTGGAAGGATCGAGCCTATAGGCGAAATTTCAGAAATTGAGTTTTTAAAATACTAAAAGCCTGATGAGAAATCTCAAAGTGTAACTGGGTGTCTGACAGAATATTTTAAGTGATAGAGAGTTTCAGCTAAGGAAAATTACTGTCACCAAGGTTTGTTACTCATAAACCTCATGACGTTAGGTCCTTTGTAGGCTTATAAACTATGTAGGGTACATTCAGATGTTATTTTAATTTATGGTTGGCACACTTCCTTAGCATTGCAGAATTTTCCAGTCATACCAAAACTAAACTGGAAGGTTGAAAAATGTGATTGATACTAAGTTTTGAAGCTGAGATTCAATTTGAGTACCTTGCTTATGAAATAATATATGCTGAAGAGTAAACTGCAAAGGCACTTTTGTTATGGATGTAGCAACTTGCAGGCAACCTCAGAAATAAAGACCAGACTTGATGTTCCCACTTATTTGGGTAACACCTACTGTTTTTTTACAAAAAGAAAGAAGTACATTGTCTCAATTTCCCCAGATATATCTAGAAGCTCCAGAATAAATTCAGGCAATTTGAGACTCACAAGTATTAACCAGTCTCTAATGGGTAGTTGGCAGGCTTATTTCTGATCAGAAAACACTCTATATTATTTGTTTCTCCATCTTTTATTTTTGTTTTATCTTTTCTCTGACAACTCCTTTTAGGTACCTCAGGATTTGGTAATGCCCGCATTAACCTAGCTGGGAAACTCCAGATAAGAACATCATTTGGAATAGGTCTAGTCAGGCTTTGTGTGCACAAATATTTTCTAGAATTACTCTCAACACTTAAAAACTCATTTTTCATTTTCTCTAACAATTTCAGTTTTGAAACCGTAAGAAGGAAACAAACTTCTTGTGATACATCATTTCATTCTTGTCTACTCATCTTTTAAATGTTTTCCTAAACATATAAGCAATGTTGAAATAAAATAGCAGCCACTTCATATGTTGGATCTTCCTTTTTTTCCTTTTATCTTTCCCACTTTTTATTGAACTTAATTCTGCTCTGCCAGTGCCTAAAAATGATGTTATTATTCGGCCACATTTTTAACCTCAGGTGCAAAGGATTAATTATACTGCTACAGGATTTTCTCTGAAGGCAGAGTCTGAATAGGAATTTATTGATTCAAATGTATGGCTACCACCTAATAATGAAGTGCTTCGAGGACTGAACAATTGTGTCAAGAAACTGTCTCCATTAGAGGAATTTTATTTTCTCTCTAAAACTCCTGGGAAAAAATTATAGTACAACATTGTTTTAGAGATATGCTCAATGATGGTGGATGAACACAATGACAATAACCAGTGAGTTTATACACTTTGCCATAGGAATCAACTTATATATAATGTTAGAGTCCCCAGTGGAGCTTCATGGATGTCATCTTGTGATACTGACCACTACTTAGCAAAACAGACAAACAAAACAAAACAAACAAAAAAACTTTGAAAGTTTGTTTTGTATCTTCCTTGAAAAAAGGTTTCAGGTTTTCGTACTTTTACTGAGACATTTTCCCCTAAGAAATGAAAAATGAGTTTATAACTTTGATCTTGTAAGCTGAGTCACAGCAGGCCTGAATATGAAGCAGCTGAAAACACGTGTGTGCATTCCTACCCCATGCAGCATTCTTTATTCTGCAGATCCCTGTCACTAAAGAATTCAGTTAAATACAAAGACCCTCAGGTAGAAACAGGCTGCTAAGAGCCGCCCCCAAGTCTGTGAGTGAGCTGGAGACAGCCACTCATGTATGTCAGCCCTGCTGGAAAGGCCATTAGTAAATGCCTAGCACTCCAGGCTAGGAAATGGTTTCTTGGACCAGAAGCAGGTTAAAAATAATTAAATAAAAAACAGGGGTGGGAGAGGGGAAACTTGCGTTAAGACTCTTCGGTCCCATTAAAATTAGCAAGCATGCTTAGGGCTTTATTCATTGTGATGACTGGATCTACAGGGAAGGTCTTTTGTCCTATGGCATTCTTTTTTGCACCATGAATACTTGCAGTATTATATAATTGTGATATTATAATAATATGAGTCATAGATAGTATCTGTGACTCATTTCAGTTTCATTAACTCTTGACAAGTAGAACGTTCAAACTGGAGGCTTTATAGCAAAATATCAAATGTCAGGTCAAAAAATGAAGGTTGATTTCAAGAGTCCCAACCCACATCCTATTCTTGTGACTGCAATTTGCATTTCTATAATACACTATAATCAAGGACTGCTCAATAATTTTATAAATATTACTAATATTATGAAGGCTTATAGACTGCTGTAAATTTACACAGCAGCTGGGTAATCTGTTTAGAGCTCTGGTGTTTTCCGTTTTTACGTTTGCTGGTTGCTGCAAAGCTCTAGGATATGGGTAGTGAGGCTTACGTTATAGTCTTGCGCGGTTTTGTTATGACATAGGAAGGAGAGCAGATTTTGGCCTTAAATCATGTAAATGGTAAAGTGGCAACCAGAGACTTGAAGCTATGACTCATAGTTCATGCAATGAACCTCTGAAACATTTCATCAGGTAAACCAGGAAAACGACTTTCACTGGAAAGTCAGAACATCAAGTCGGTTTTACATCATTTTTATGCATCATATTTTATTATATTTGTCATAGTGCTTATTTGCTTTCAAATACCATAAACCCTGTTAATTATAGTCAATAAACAGTTTCGAGGATTTTTTTGCTTACTTATACAGCTGGTTACTATGCGATGAGAGGCAAATGACAGGCATCCAGGGAAGTCGTGTGTTTTTACCCATTGGTGAAATTGACGGTCACCAGCCACCCATGTTGATTCTAAAATGAGGGCCTGAACTTTGCTTTTGTGCTCTAGTGGTGGGTAATATGCTGACACCACAGCTCAGATGTAGAGAACAATTTTTGCTTTCCTCTCTCTGGAGAATGACAGGAATTAAAAAAACATTTTTTTTTTCAGTTTGAATTAGGCATAGAAAAATTTTGTATTTGTAATGTGTTAGCTTCCTTATGCATTCCCTTCTATGGCTATTTGAAGCATCTTTGTCTCCAAAGATTTCCAGGTGTCTAATAGATCTTTATATTCAGTAACAAATCATTTCTGTCCATGAGCCTTTTGGGATGTATAAGTTAGTATTCTTTGCAGTATGTTAAAGCAAACTAAATATGGCCTGAGAAGGACTCTGTACTTTTATATTTGAGTGCTTGTGGTGAACTGTAACCTAGCTTAAAGGCAGATGAGATTGAAAACCTAATTTAGTAGTATGCACCTGTAACAATAGCCAAGTCTTGGCCAATCCCAGTGGCCAGAGGCCAGATTTCAACCTTTCATACACTGCTCAATGTTCAAACGATGTTCAAATAAGGCATATACACTGACCTGTAACCAACCGGCAGTTCTGTACTCTCCTTCCAATTTCTGTATGTCATTTCCATTTTTTTTTTTTTTTTGTCTGTAAATCTTCTTCTACCACGTGGTTGCACTGGAGTCTTTGTGAATCTGCTGTGATTCTGGGGGCTGCCCAATTCGCGAATTATTCATTGCTCAAACTCCTTTAAATTTAATTCAGCTGAAGTTCTTCTTTTATCACGTACCCCAGAACTCTGTGGAACAAAAGAAGTTTTCTTTCCGCTGCGACCCGGGGCAAGGCACTCAGAACCTCTGGGA